>NC_000016.10:31953765-32268973 GCF_000001405.40 Homo sapiens
TGTACATAGAATTAGCCATTTCTCTAAAGCTTGCTTGTTTCTAACGTTAACGAATAGCAGTAAAATAAAAAAATTGTGATACCGTGTATAATTACTTCTAGGACCTCTCAACCTACTGGCCTAGCAGACGTGCATGTTTATATGAACCCATGTTTATGGACGCATCAAAACTACTTATGTACCTAATCTTCTGTAACTTTATTATATTAAAAATGAGAACACACTGGTCTCCTGACCCAACTATGCTACCACGTGGACCTTTCTAGCCTTCCTTCCTTGACTGTCCATAACCATCCACTTTAAAGTGAGGAATCCTATCCCACCAATTGCCTTATTATTACCTGGTTGCACAATTTTAGGACACATGCATAGCGGTATCAGAAATGTAAAGCTCATTGGAAATATGTTTATCTACTAGAATAGAGTGCTATGTGTAGTTTCTTTACATTTTAAACATACAGAATTTCCTCATTTTCAAAGTTAATTAGACTAGCAACTTCATTTTCTACTTTCTTCAGTGAAGTCATTTCAATTACACCGTATAATGTCATTTATTTGAAATTCGGTATAAACCAAAACTATAGTCAAGTAAACAGATAGAGGATATTCAAGGAATTTAGAGAATGAGTATTAAATAAGTAAAAATGGCACTGTTTAAGAATAGTAAAATTATTTTTAGTGCTATAAAATGGTTGAGACACGATGCAGTTAATTTGTCTAAGCTCATAATTGTGTGATGGAAAATATAAACCTAAATATATACAATTTTTGTAAAAAGTATTTAGCAGTTCATTAAACCCAGGATTAAATGCAGACTGTATAAAGTTATCTAATAACTTATTTGGTGAGGGTGGGGATATCATGAGATGCATGCAAAAAAGAATGAAGTAATTTTCCTCATTTGCATATAAGATGTTACCATTCACTAAAGACCTTTAATTTAAAAAAATCAATTTTCAACGTGACCCAGGTTTTTTCTTCCTGACAAGCAAATAACCCAGATAATTCTTTTCTTTCCTTGGTTGATAAAGATTTTCCCCAAACTTCAGCTCAGTTCAGGCACACACTGTCCCTGAATGGGCATTTACCCACAGATGGGTACACACACCTGTCAACATGGGGACTCTTCCGTCAGACAAACACACCTTTACTCACGTGGATTCTTCCCTCAGACAAACACATATGTCCCCACATGGACTCTTTCCTCAGACCACCACGTATGTCCTTACATTTACTCTTTCCTCTGGTAATGACATTTCCTCATGTGGACTCTTGTCTCAGACAAACAAACATGTCTGCATGTGAACTCTTCACTCTGATAAGTACACATATTTCCACAGTGACTGTTCCCTGACACAAGCAGATATATCCAATGTTGAACTGTTTTATGGGAAAATGATCTCAAGATAATAATTATAAAATCCCTCCCTGACAAGTTGTAGATCTGCATTTTTTTATTGTACCTTAACTTTGCCTTATTGTCAAGAACAGTAGTTTGTAGCTCTAAATGCACCGATTAGAGATTGGTGTCCGTTTTCTCTGGAAATATATTTTTAAGTTCTTACTGGATGTATTTTTTTGATAATGTTTGCTACTGTGAAGATACCTGAACAGGGTCCACACTAGAAAATAAAAAAGACTAATCAGCAGATTAACCCTGTGCATCCAGACCCACGAGTCCTTTGACCCTGCCCCCCTGAAATGGAGACACAGAGGACGGATGAGCAATGCTGAGCGGTGCACCCAAGACCACAAAAAGAAAGACAAGGAAATGTGTCCCCTCCCCTCCTCATGAAAGGCAGCTCATCCCCTGTTCCTTCAGGCCCTGGCGAGGAGCCAACCCATGTCTCTTCCCTTCCTCAGTGTCCACACCGTGGGGTCTGCACTGATTTGGGCTTCCCTTCTCATCACCCTCAATATTAGTGTCCCTTGTGAATCAGGTCCAGGTGCGGCTGCTCCACATGGGGCCGTTCTTCCATTTCCTCAGTGTTTGCAGAAGTCCTGTGTGAAATTTATTGATGGAGTCAGAGGGGGAAAAATTGTACACCCAGTGGCTCACTGAGACTCTCATGCAAAGCCTCTGATTTCACCTTTACTGGCTACAGCAATGAGCTTGGTCCAGCCAGCTTCACGACAGGGATTTGTGTAGGTGGAAACAGTGAGTGATCAAGTGGGAGTTCTCAGAGTTACTCTCCATAAGCACAAATAAATTAACAGTCCCAAGTGACACCTTTTAATGTGCAGTCTACCTTAAAGGGACCAAACTGAAAGTCAAGGACAAGGCCTTGTAATACTGTGAGAGACACAGGAGAGGGAATATCTGTGTGAGCCCCAACAGAAAAATCTCTGCAGGAAGACAGGAGGGAGCTGCATGGTAGATGCTCCTCAGAACCACCAGGGCGCCTTGAGGACAACCTGGGGGCACTCAGAACCACCAGGGTGTGCTTAGGACCATGGGGTGCTCAGGATATTAGGGGGTGCTCAGGATCATGAGGGGGTGCTCATGACACCAGGGGGCACTCAGAATCACAAGGGAGCACTCAGGACACGAGGGTTTGCCCAGGACCACCAGCAGGCACTCAGGTCACCAGGGGGTGTTCAGGACCACCAGGGGGCGCTCAGGACACCAGGGGGCGCTCAGAACCACCAGGGGGTGCTCAGGACACCAAGGGGGGCGCTCAGGACACCTGGGGGCGCTCAGAAGCATCAGGGGTGCTCAGGATATCACAGTGCCCTCAGTACCACGAGGGGGCGCTCATGACACCAGGGGCACTCAGAACCACCAGGGGGTGCTCAGTACACGGGGGTTCTCAGGAAGCAGCTCCAAATCAGGAGCCTGAGAAGCTGTGGTTTTCTTTTAAACCTTGGTGATTCCCGACCTGGTCAAGCAAAAGTCTTCCCCAGGATCTCTCACCATTTCTTCCTTGTAAATCCACGATTACTTTTACCTACAAAACATTAACTTAGAACAGGAATTTAATTCAATTTTTAATGCTGCATATTTTCCAAGTAATACTAGCAATGATCTCTCAGGACAATTTTTAAAATAGGTTATTTATATATTCTCTTGATTAAAAATAATACTATTATTAAAATAGTAAAATTATAAAAATCACACCTGTAATCCCAGAACTTTGGGAGGATAAGGCAGGCAGATCACTTGAGCTCAGGACTTTTAGAACAGCCTGGCAGCACAGTGAGGTCTTTTCTATACAAAAATAATAATAATAAATACCTGGGTATGGTTCCACCTGTGGTAGCAGCTACTTGAAAGGCTGAGGTGGGAGGATCCCTTAAGCCTGGGAGGTTAATACTGCAGTGAGCTGTGATTGTGCCACTGCACTCCAGTCTCGTTGACAGAGTGAGACCCTATTTAAAGAAAATGTATATCCTCAATATAAACTGTTTCAATGATTAGAGTTTTGTATTTTTGTGCTGTAATAGTCAAACAATTGTACATGTTTTTTAACATTAACTCAGCGTATACATGGTATTTTGTTTCTTTTTCTTTCATCTGCTGTTTTTGGAAATTAAACAAGACTTTAAATGCTCTTGTTCTCCATTTTGGTTGGCTTCAGGTGTCCTGTTTTTCAGACTGTTTCTCCATCTTCCCTTTTTCTTTGAAAGTATTTTACATTCCTCAGTCTCCATGAAGGAAAAAGAAAGTCACTTTACTTTCTGACCTCCAAGTCTGGTGAATCAGTTCCCTTGTCTTCATAATCACTGAAGCCAACCAAGTTTAGAGGATAATGGTTCTCCTTAGAATATGCTCATCTACCTGCAGACTCTGCCCTACTCACCCTTTTCCAGGGTCCTGCAGACCATCCCCTCATTTCCCTAAGTACCACAGAGTGGGCTCTGCAGCTCCTGCTGCCCTCTGTGTGTTCAGCCCTGGGGCTCACTATGTTTTGATGATGAAGTCCAAATCCCCATGTGCTTGGACCCTCTGAGACCACCCTCTAGGAAGATGCCATTGTGAGTGAGCCCTGAAAATCATGGGCTGTGTTCAGTTTCATTATCCTGGATGTTCTCTATCATAAAGGAATATTGACAAATAAATACTAGAGTTTGTATTGAATATTCATGCCAAAAAAGTTTTTTTAAAATTTTTCAAATGAAACAATTTTATCTTTCCTGGTTTGAAAACTACAATCTAAATTTAACAAATAATGTAATACAATGTTTGTCTTATTAGTTATTCAATTTATTAAAAACAGACTGATATTTAAAGTTAATACCATTGCACATTTGAGTGACATATTTGGCAAGAACAGCATTTACATTCAGCTTTAACAAAACATGTATTTAAATATATTTGTCTTTTTAGTATTGGAATAGGCAGACATACACGTAGAAGAGCATTATTTTCTACTACAACCTCAAACTGCAAACACAGTTTAAATTCAATTAAGTAATTAAAAAATATGAAACAAATAGGTGTGCTATTTTGGTGTTTAGATATACATTCACTTTTGCATGGGCATATGTATGTGTCTTTGCTGGGCTGTTGTGTATGTATGTGTGTTTGTAGAACCATGAAGTTTTCAAATACATCATTAAATGACATATTAATCTTGGCCAGGCATGGTGGCTCAGGCCTGTAATCCCAGCACTTTGGGAGTCATAGGCAGGCAGATCACCTGAGGTCAAGGGTTCAAGACCAGCCTGGCCAACATGGTAAAACCCCGTCTCTACTAAAAATACAAAAAATAGCCAGGTATTGTGGCAAGTGCCTTTAGTCCCAGTGTGACAGGGAAATGTGGGGTCAGAAATCCCACACAGAGTTTCTACTGGTGTACCACCTAGTGGAGCTGTAAGAAGAAAGCCACTGCCCTCCAGAACCCAGAATGGTAGATCCACTGACAGCTTGCACCATATTTCTGGAAAAACCACATACACTCAATGCCAGCTCGTGAAAGCAGCCAGGAGGGAGACTGTGCCCTGCAAAAGTTTTTTAAAACTTTTCATGTGAAAAGTTTTTAAAAAGTTCTGCCACAGGGGCAGAACTGCCAAAGACCATGGGAACCCACCTGTTACATCAGGTAACCTGGATTTGAGACATGGAGTCAAAGAAGATTATTCTGGAACATGAAGATTTGACTGCCCAGCTGGATTTCAGACTTGCATGGGGCCTGTAGTTTGGACCAATTTCTCCATTTGGAATGGCTGTATTTACACAATGCCTGAACTCCTATTCTTTCTAGGAAGTAACTGACTTCGTTTTTATTTTACAGGCTCATATGGAAGAGACTTGCCTCATCTCAAATGAGACCTTGGACTGTGGACTTTTGAGTTAAGGCTCAAATGAGTTAAGACTTTGGCAGACTCTTGAACAGGCATGATTGGTTTTGAAATGCGACAGCAATCATGACTCTAGAGGACCACATGTGAAATGCAACAAGCAGGAGCAGAAGACAAGTAATTCATGATTTCACTGTAGGGCATTAAAATGGTAGACTCACAGAAGCAGAATAGAATGTTGGTTACCAGGGGCTGGAGGGGTGGACTGGAAAAGGAGAGATTTTGGTCAAAGTGTAAAATGTTCCAGTTAGACAGAAGGAGTAAGTTGCAGTGTTCTAATGCACAAGATGGAAAATATGGCTATGAATGCATTGTATATTTCAAAATGGCTAAAAATGTAAATGTTAAAATTTTTCCCACTAAGAAATTATACAGGTCGGGAGTGGGGGCTCACACCTCTAATCCCAGCACTTTTGGAGGCCGAGGTGGGTGGATCACAAGGTCAGGAGTTCAAGACCAGACTGGCCAAAATGGTGAAACCCTGTCTCCACTAAAAACACAAAAGTTAGCCAGGCGTGGTGTTGGGCGCCTGTAATCCCAGCTACTCGGGAGGCTGAGGCAGGAGAATTGTTTGAACCTGGGAAGCAAAGGCTGCAGTGACCGAGATCGCACCACTGCACTCCAGCCTGGGCGACAGAGTGAGACTCAGTCTCAAAAAAAAAAAAAAAGAAATTACACATTTATGAGGTGATGGATATATTAAATAGCTTGATTAACAATTCCATGATGTATACATGTATCATAGCACGTGTGAAGCGACCTACCTGTATGAAGGTGAGGTGACCTGGTCACGTGACAGTGAGGTGACCTGGGGGATGTGTAAGGTTACCTGGGGGTATGTGTGAGGTGAACTTGGGCTCATGTGAGGTGACCCAGGGTGCATGTGTGGTGGCCTGGGTGCGTGTGAGGTTACCTAGACATGCATGAGGTGACACGGGGAACTCATGAGGTGACTTGGGCATGTATGATGTGACCTAAGGCATGTGTGAGGTGACCTGGGGGACGTGTGAGGTGACCTGTGGGACGTGGGAGGTGACCTGGGGGATGCGTGAGGTGACCTGGGGGATGTGTGAGGTGACCTGTGGGAATGTGTGAGGTGACCTGTGGGACGTGTGAGGTGACCTGTGGTTCGTGTAAGGTGATGTGGGGAATGTGTGAGGTGACCTGTGGGACGTGTGAGGTGACCTGTAGGACGTGTGAGGTGACCTGGGGGATGTGTGAGGTGACCTGGGGGACATGTGAGGTGACCTGTGGGACGTGTGAGGTGACGTGGCGGATGTGTGAGGTGACGTGGGGAATGTGTGAGGTGACCTGGGGGACGTGTGAGGTGACGTGGGGAACGTGTGAGGTGACCTGGGGGACGTGTGAGGTGACCTGGGGGATGTGTGAGGTGACCTGTGGGACGTGTGAGGTGACCTGGGGAATGTGTGAGGTGACCTGGGGGATGTGTGAGGTGACCTGTAGGACGTGTGAGGTGACCTGGGGGATGTGTGAGGTGACCTGTGGGACGTGTGAGGTGACCTGGGGAATGTGTGAGGTGACCTGTGGCACGTGTGAGGTGACCTGTAGGACATGTGAGGTGACCTGGGGGATGTGTGAGGTGACCTGGGGGACGTGTGAGGTGACGTGGCGGATGTGTGAGGTGACGTGGGGAATGTGTGAGGTGACCTGGGGGACATGTGACGTGACATGGGGAATGTGTGAGGTGACCTGTGGGACATGTGAGGTGACCTGGGGAATGTGTGAGGTGATGTGGGTGCGTTTGAGATGACGTGGGGGATGTGTGAGCTTAGCAGGAGTGTGTGTGAGGTGACATGGGGAATATGTGAGGTGACCTGCCTGATGTGTGAGGTGACCTGAGCACATGTAAGGTCACCTAAGGCGCATCTGAGGTGACATGGGGGACGTGTGAGGTGACCTGGGGAACGTGTGAGGTGACCTGTGGGACATGTGAAGTGACCTGGGGAATGTGTGAGGTGACCTGTGGGACATGTGAGGTGACCTGGGGAATGTGTGAGGTGATGTGGGTGCGTTTGAGGTGACGTGGGGGATGTGTGAGCTTAGCAGGAGTGTGTGTGAGGTAACATGGGGAATATGTGAGGTGACCTGCCTGATGTGTGAGGTGACCTGAGCACATGTGAGGTCACCTAAGGCGCATCTGAGGTGACATGGAGGATGTGCGAGGTGACCTTGGGTGAGTGTGAGGTTACCTGTGGGATGTGTGAGGTGAATTGGGACTTGTGTGAGGTTACCTGGGAAATGTTTGAGGTGACCTGCGGGATGTGTAAGGTGACATTGGGGATGTGTGAGGTGACTCAGGGCACATGTGAGGTGACCTTGGGGATGTGCAAGGTCACACTGTGTGAGTGTGAGGTCATGTGGGATATTTCAAACTTTGTAAGGAAAGCCTGCAACAATATATGGCTCTAGAAGCTTCACACTCCAACACTGTTAATGCGCACATCCTCAAGGAACTCTAAATGTTTCCAGGTTAGCTTAAATGCCATGGAGTGACACCTGCCCCAGGTACACTCATATATGCATCCTGGGTCTCCCTATCAACCCCTATCCTCAAATTTTCAGTTCATGTTTGCTCCATGATATCAACTCTGATATGCTGAGGTTTTTTTTTTTTTATCTGTAGTTGTTCAGGTTTGCTGTTTCACTCTCATTACTCTGGGCTCAGTCCTCTCCTCAGGTGTCCCACTTCAGAGCTTGCTATGTAATAGGAGACATGCAAATAGGACCCTCCCTTTTCTGATGAAAAGCAGCCCAGCCCTGACCCTGCAGCCGTGGGAGAGAAGCCCCAGCCCTGGGATTCTCAGGTGTTTCTATTGGGTCAACAGCAATAAACAAATTACCATGGAATTTGGGCTGAGCTGGGTCTTTCTTGCTGCTATTTTAAAAGGTAATTCATGGAGAACTAAGGATATTGAGTGTGAGGGGACATGAGTGACAGAACAGTGGCTATGTGTGGCAGTTTCTGACCAGGATGTCTCTGTGTTTGCAGGTGTGCAGTGTGAGGTGCAGCTGGTGGAGTCTGGGGGAGGCTTGGTCCAGCCTGGGGGGTCCCTGAGACTCTCCTGTGCAGCCTCTGGATTCACCTTCAGTAACAGTGACATGAACTGGGTCCTCTAGGCTCCAGGAAAGGGGCTGGAGTGGGTCTCGGGTATTAGTTGGAATGGCGGTAAGACGCACTATGTGGACTCCGTGAAGGGCCAATTTACCATCTCCAGAGACAATTCCAGCAAGTCCCTGTATCTGCAAAAGAACAGACAGAGAGCCAAGGACATGGCCGTGTATTACTGTGTGAGAAATCCTGTGAGGGGACACAAGTGTGAGCCCAGACACAAACCTCCTGCAGGAACGTTGGGGGAAATCACTGCAGGGGACGCTCAGGACCCATTCATCAGAGTCAACCCCAGAGCAGGTTCACATGGAGGCTGGGGTTTGTTTCCTGTCAGGATTTGGGACTTCCTCTGCTTCTGACAGTTTCTCTAGGGAAACTCTTTAATTTTAAATTTCTGTGCCCACCAATGTCATCTCTACATATATTTTTATAATCATTGTAATATGAGGACTCATTCTCACGTGCACAGTATGTACATTGCCACCTACCGGAATGAGAACTCCTCAACCATGGGCACCAGCATCAGAGTCGTGAGGAAGCTCAGGGGTGCCCGGTGAGTCTTCTCCAGTCAGACTCAGGACAGGAACTTCAATGGGATTCCCTGACTAGAATGGCTTTTAGGGATTTTGATTACAGCCAAGAGAGAGGCTGGACCAGGTTCAGTGTCATGTAGGACCTCACAGGTTTTATGTATGACATTTCTCCTGAAAATATTCAAATGAGTATCAGCACTGATCTGGTGCTTTCTGACTTTCATTTTTAGTGGTTCTCGCTTTTCCATTTGCTTTTCCTGCTTTCTGGAAAAAAGGATGTTGTCCCTGTGGTCTAAATCCTGGGACTCAAGCCCTTTCCCTGGAGCTTAGGTGGGGCTCAGGCTGTGACTCCTGCAGCCATTGGGAGAGGCTGCTGAGACTTTCTTCTCTCTCATTATTCAGGACACTCCACTCTGTTTTCTGGAGACGCATCTGGGAATGCATGTGGCCATTAGGAATGAGGGCATAAGCTTCTTTGGTCAAAATGGGGTGAGGATGTGGAATTGATCCTGTGCTGTGTAAACTGTCACAGAGTCACCTTCTTCACCGGTAGTGTTAGAAGAGCCTGTAAAAGTTGTCGGAATCCAACTGGAGTCCCTTGTGTTCAAACCCTGACAAATGGAGCTGGGGAAGGCCATTTATGGAAGATTCTCATGCACATACCCCTGAGAACAAGACCTAGCTTTATAACACTCCAAAAAACCACAAATTGAACAAAGGCAACCACAACAATAAAAGAATTACTTATATCCCTAAGAACAACAGCTAGCTTTATAACACTCAGAATAGCCACAACTGTGCACAAAGGCAACCACAACAACAAAATAATTACTTATATCCCTAACAACAAGAGCTAGTTTTATAACACTCAGAAAAGCCACAACCTTGCACAAAGGCAACCACAACAATAAAAGAATTATTTCTGTGAAAATATCTGCACAGCAACTGCCTGTCCAACCTTACACTGATGTCAACCTTGTTATTGATGCTTCTAGCCTGGGATCATTCTCATCAAAATGTCATTCAGATGCTGCGTATGACAAAAATTGTGTTTTTCAGTGCAGTCATGTTCTAGTAAAGCCCTCAGAGACCCTCTCCTTCACCTGTGCCGCCTCTGGATTTCTGATCATAACCAGTACTTCCTCCTGGAGCTGGATCTGCCAGCCCCCAGGGAAGGAGCTGAAGTGGGTCAGGTGTGTAGGTCATGAGGAAGCACACAGTACCACCCGCTTCTCAAGAGTCCAGTCACCACCTCCAGATACACATTCAGAAAGCAGTTTTTCCTACAGCTGAGCTACATGTGCAATGAGTACACCACCATGGATTTTTATACAAAAGACACAGAGGGGGAAGTCATTGTGAGGCCAGACACAAACCTCCCTGCAGGGAAGCTCAGGACACCAGGGGGTGCTCAGGTCACCAAGGGGCGCTCAGGACACATTAAGGCAGGTGCAAGAGGGGAAAAAAGGTGCTGGAGGTGGGGTTTTTCATCACTGACATATTTTACTCTCCACCATATTTATTCTAATGTATATTATTGTATTATTAGACAATGATATTTATATAAATATATAGCCATACGTAGGTGCACCAAGTTGTCCTCTCCATCTAATGTGGACCTTGTCCTTCAGGACTAAGTCCTTGTATATATTTGAGCACCTCATAAATTATGGTCAGTTATGTAGGATCTCTCACTTGTTCTGTGTCCCTTCCTCCCTCCTCTCTCACACACAAACTGACACACACAAAGAGTTCTACAACTTTAATTACCTGATGTGTTGAAGAAAATGTATTGAAGTGCAGCTTTTTCAGTTTAACTGCTGTTCACGTTGATGTAGGAATAAGAACATTGTCTTTCTCAACTGTGTAGTTCTCTAAGCTGAGTAGCACCTTTCTTTACAATACCCAGATACTGAAAGCAATCCAAATATTGATCAGCAGGTTAAGCAGTAAACACTTTGTTCTAAATTCATTCACTTGAATAATACCCACTGTTCAAACAAGTACTGCTGGAAATGAGCAACAAGGGTAAATTCACAAGTACTTATGACGAGTAACATAAACCAAAGAAATACAAGTACATACATACAGTTCCACTTTTATAAATTCTATAAAATGAAAACTAATCTAAAGTTACATAATGAAAACCAGTAGTTGGCCGTGGTCATGGTATGAGAAGGGAAGGTGTAGGAAGTGGAAATTACAGGACAATGAGAGGAAATTTTGAGGATAATTTTTTCTGTATTGAGAAAAGTTATGGTTATGTCATTATTTGTTAAATGGTACACATTAAGGGAAGATTGTTACTTTCTAATTTCAACTTATTAAAATACTACAAATTTAAACATATATAATGTGGTAGAAAAGAATTTAGAGATGGGTAAAATATATGAGAAATAAAAAAGAAAATCTCAGAACGATGGCATAAGGACTTCAATCATCAAACTAAAGAAATTTTAAATTTCTCAACACAGAATTAAAGATTCATAAAACCAGCTCCTGGATCATTGATTTTTTGGAGCTGATTTTCATGTCTTTATCTCCTTCAGTTCTGCTCTGATCTTAGTTATTTCTTCTCTTCTTCTAGCTTTTGAATTTGCTCTTGCTTCTCTAGTTCTTTTAATTTTGATGTTAGGGTGTCAGTTTTAGATCTTTCCTGCTTTCTCTTGTAGGCACCTAGTGCTATAAATTTCCCTCTACACACTGCTTTAAATGTGTCCCGGAGATTCTCATATGTTGTGTCTTTGTTCTCATTGGTTTCAAAGATCATCTTTATTTCTGCCTTCATTTCTTTATTTACCCAGTAGACACTCAGGAACAGGTTTTTCAGTTTCCATGTAGTTGTGCAGTTTTGAGTGAATTTCTTCATCCTGAGTTCTAATTTGATTATTGCACTGTGGTCTTAGAGACTGTTTGTTATGATTTCTGTTCTTTTGCATTTGGCGAGGAGTGTATTACTTCCAATTATGTGGTCAGTTTTAGAATATGTGCGATGAGGTGCTGAGAAGAATGTATATTCTGTTGACTTGGGGTGGAGAGTTCTGTAGATATCTATTAGGTCTGCTTCGTCCAGAGCTGACTTCAAGTCCTAAATATCCTTGTTAATTTTCTGTCTCATCGATCTGTCTAATATTGACAGCGGGGAGTTAAAGTCTCCCACTCTTGTTGTGTGGGAGTCTAAGTCTCTTTGTAGGTCTCTAAGGATTTCCTTTATGAATCTGGGTGCTCCTGTATTTGGTGCATATATATTTAGGATATTTAGCTCTTCTTGTTGCATTGATCCCTTTACCATTATGCAGTGCCCTTCTTTGTCTCTTTTGATCTTTTTTGGTTTAAAATGTTTTATCAGAGATTAGGATTGCAACTCCTGCTTTTGTTTTCTTTCTTTCTTTTTTTTTTTTTTGCTTTCCATTTGCTTGGTAAATATTCCTCCATCCCTTTATTTTGAGCCTATGTGTGTCTTTGCACATGAGATGGGTCTCCTGAATACAGCACATCAACAAAATAGATAGACAGTTAGCCATATTAATAAAGAAGAAAAGAGAGAAGAATCAAATAGATGCAATAAAATGTAATATAGGGGATATCACTACTGATCCCACCGAAATACAAACTACCATCAGAGAATACTATAAAAACCTCTATGCAAATACACTAGAAAATCTAGAAGAAATGGATAAATGCCTGGACACATACACCGTCCCAAGTCTAAAGCAGGAAGAAGTCGAATCCCTGAATAGAACAATAACAAATTCTGAAATTGAGGCAGTAATTAATAGCATACCAACCAAAAAAAGTCCAGGACCAGATGGATTCACAGCCAAATTCTACCAGAGGTACAAAGAGGAACTGTTACCATTCCTTCTGAAACTATTTCAAACAATAGAAAAAGAGGGACTCCTCTCTAACTCTTTTTATGAAGCCAGCATCATCCTGATACCAAAACCTGGCAGAGACATAACAAAAAAAAAAAAGTTCAGGCCAATATCCCTGATGAACATCAATGCACCAATTCTCAATAAAATACTGGCAAACTGAATCCAGCAGCACATCAAAAAGCTTATCCACCACGATCAAGTCGGCTTCATCCCTGGGATGCAAGGCTGTTTCAACATATGCAAATCAATAAATGTAATCCATCACATAAACAGAACCAATGACAGAAACCACATGATTATCTCAATAGATGCAGAAAAGGACTTCAACAAAATTCAACACCCCTTCATGCTAAAAACTCAATACTCTAGGTATCCATGGAATGTATCTCAAAATAATAAAAGCTATTTATGGCAAACCCACAGCCAATATCATATGGAATGGGCAAAAACTGGAAGCATTTACTTTGAAAACCAGCACAAGACAACGATGCCTCTCTCACCACTCCAATTCAACATAGTATTGAGAGATCTGGCCAGGGTAATCAGGCAAGAGAAAGAAATAAATTGTATAAAAATAGGAAAAGAGGAAGTCAGATTGTCTCTGCGTGCAGATGACACGATTGTATATTTAGAAAACCCCATCGTCTCAGCCCAAAATCTCCTTAAGCTGATAAGCAACTTCAGCAAAGTCTCAGGATACAAAATCAATGTGCAAAAATCACAAGCATTTCTATAACCCAATAAAAGAAGAACAGAGAGCCAAATCAATCATGAGTGAACTCCCACTCAAAATTGCTACAAAGAAAATAAAATACCTAGGAATACAACTTACAAGGGATGTGAAGGATCTCTTCAGGGAGAACTACAAACCACTGCTCAAGGAAATAAGAGAGGACCCAAACAAATGGAAAAACATTCCATGCTCATGAATAAGAAGAATAAATATCATGAAAATGGCCATATTGCCCAAAGCAATTTATAGATTGAATGCTGTCCCCATCAAACTACCAATGACTTTCTTCACAGAATTGGAAAAAACTATTTTAAAGTTCATATGGAACCAAAAAAAATCCTGCATAGCCATGACAATCCTAAGCAAAAAAAAAAAAAAAAAAAAACAAAGCTGGAGGCATCATGCTACCTGACTTCAAACTATACTACAAGGCTACAGTAACTGAAACAGCATGGTACTGGTACCAAAACAGATATATACACCAATGGAACAGAGCAGAGGCCTCCCAAATAACACCACACATCTACAACCATCTGATCTTTGACAATCTTGACACAAACAAACAATGGGGAAAGAATTCCGGAACTATTTAATAAGTGGTGTTGGGAAAACTGGCAAGCCATATACAAAAAACTGAAACTGGACCCCCTTCCTTACAGCTTATACAAAAATTAACTCAAGATGGATGAAAGACTTATCAAGACCTGAAACCATAAAAATCCTAGAAGAAAATCTAGGCAATACCATTCAGGACATAGGCATGGGCAAAGACTTCAAGTCTAAAACACCAAAAGCAATGGCAACAAAAGCTAATACTGATAAATGAGATATAATTAAAGTAAAGTGCTTCTGCACAGCAAAAGAAACTATCATCAGAGTGAACAGGCAACCTACAGAATGGGAGAAAATTTTTGCAATCTATCCATCTGACAAAGGGCTAACATCCAGAATCTACAACAAATTTACAAGAAAAAAAAACCCATCAAAAAGTAGGTGAAGGATACGAACAGACATTTCTCGAAAGAAGACATTTATGCAGCCAAAAAAACATGAAAAAATCCTCCTCATCACTGGTCATTAGAGAAATGCAAATCAAAACCACAGTGAGATACCATCTCACACCAGTTAGAATGGTGACCATTAAATAGGAAACAACAAATGCTGGAGAGGATGTGGAGAAATAGTAACATTTTTACACTGTTGGTGGGAGTGTAAATAAGTTCATCCATTGTGGAAGACAGTGTGGCGATTCCTCAAGGATCTAGAACTAGAAATACCATTTGACCCAGCAATCCCATTACTTGGTATGTACCCCAAGGATTATAAGTCATTCTACTACAAAGACACATGCACCCGTGTGTTTATTGCGGCACTATTCCCAATAGCAAAGACTTGAAACCAACCCAAATGTCCATCAATAATAGACTGGATAAAGAAAATGTGGCACATATACACCATGGAATACTATGCAGCCATAAAAAAGGATGAGTTCATGTCCTTTGCAGGGACATGGATGAAGCTGACAACCATCATTCTCAGCAAACTAACAGAAGAACAGAAAACCAGACACTGCTGTTTTCACTCGTAAGTGGTAGTTGAACCATGAGACCACATGGACACAGGGAGGGGAATATCACACACTGAGGCCTGTCAGGAGGTAAAGGGCTAGGGGAGGGATAGCATTAGGAAAAATACCTAAGGTAGATGGCAGGTTGATGGGTGCAGCAAACAACCATGGCGTGTGTATACCTATGTAACAAAACTGCACATTCTGCACATGTACCCCAGAACGTAAAGTATAATTTAAAGAAAGGATTACATATTCCATTAAATATATATGAGAAATCAGTGACTCCTGAATATACACATGAATACACGCTGGGTCTACCTGTATTTTTAGGGAAACACTAGAATACAGCAAAATAATGTCATGATTTTATTAAAAATGGGGGTTTATCAAACCACACCAGGCATGTCCAGCTCTGTCCTGGAGTTGGTTCAGGGAACAGGTGGGTCCTGTGTTTAGCAGCCATGACAACAAGCTCACAGCGTCAGTTCTAGTTGACACCTCAAAAAGGCGAAGGGATCTCAACTAAAATGTCATGTGGATGTCACATCTGTGGGTGCTGCGTACTCCCTCGATGTGAATATGGAAAAGTTAATTACCTCTTGAGGCATCTGTTGAGATTAGTGCTGGTCTCTAAGGAACACCCAAAATGGCTCAATAGAGCCAGAAAGCAGACTGGCTCAGGGCTTTTGTGATGGTTTCGTGGTGGGTCAGAGTGAGGCTTCCCACTCACAGGAAGGGGATTGCACAGTGTGAAACACCCACTGGTGTCAAATGAGGAAGCTCCTGCGATTCCTAACTAGATTCACATTGTGTGATAAAAGACACACAATAGACATAACTTCATGGTCGGATATCACAAAATGCTGTTAAAAGATGTGGTAAAAAGGCAACTTTAAATTTTTAGTCATTGGAGTGTGTATAACACAAAAATCATTTTCAATATTTTGTAACACATGCATGCAATAGGACAAAGGTATGTGATGAGGGTAAAATCTCGAAAGTGTGAATCTTCCAGCTACCAAGTCATAGGGTAATAACTGATGTGTGCTGAGGGAGGAAACCATCATGCCATAGTGCTAATGGTATAACCCTTGGTGAAGAGAGTTCAATATTTTATTGAAGTTTTCATAATTTTTATTTGAAGATGCCATTTTTCAACATATTCAGATGATTGTGAGTACCATTGATTCTGTATCATATGAACAATGGCAATACCTTCCATGTTTACATAATATTAAAAACCATGTTAAGACTGAATATTTGGTGTAATGGTGCATCACATTATTCTAGCTTCCATACTAGTTGTTTTATTTGTTTGTTTTCTCCTTTGTTGGCATTTGGTTTCAAATTCATATGTCAGGTCTCTATAATGTAGGAATTTATTTAAAAGTGTCTTTTTTTGTCCATTTTGATGGGGCTTCTAGGAGACATAAGAACCTCCTCTGCTTGCAACACATTTCAAAATTACACACTAATGTAGAACATCTGTATTTAATCCTGGTTTTTAGTTAATTGACAAGCTCTAATAAGAGAAGTAACTTCTCCATTCTGGGCTGATTTTACATCAGGTATAGGAATATACCCTAGGTGAAAGTTTGTACCAGTAATATGAATTATTAGGTAATAACCTCCACCTTTATGATTTAGGTGTTATTCATCAAGAAATAGTGTTAAATCAGGAGTCTCAATGAAAGTATTACTTAAGGGATATACAAAATATGTTGCTAATCTACATAAAACAGATGTGAACACACTCTTAGTATCCAGCCATGTTTCCTGTCAACCACACAGTAACTTTGACTTCACTTGGGACTTGTTCTAATTTTCAAATTAGTTACTTATTAATCTTAATGCTTCTAGATATTATGTGTGACTATTTTAGCAGAGAGTGAAGAAAGACAACCTAGGCTGACTACACAATGAGGAAAATCACAACCTGATGAAACAGGAAGCCTCTGGAAGTGAGTGGCTCCAGGATTGAATAATTTGACAGCTCATGTGCCCAAGAAGTTTCTTTTCTCAATTTTCCACACTGATGCATCCAGAAAGTCAGCTTCACCCCTCAGGTGACTCCCATCATGCAGTTACATGGTGACAATATTCCCATGGTCACATACATATTTTATATATTGGCTGGAAAAGGGGCAGAGACAGTTCTGCAATTCTCCTCTGAAGGACCAGGAACACCTGAACAGACCACCTCCCCTGCCCCCATGACTAGAACTGCACCACGTGCCCACATGGATACTCATCCCTGATGGGGATAATAAGACTCCATTGATGAGGCCAACTATTTTAGCATATAAATTAGTAAATACTGATATAAAGGTTTCAACAACTAATTGAAGTGTGTTCTTCTATGTCCACCAGAGACTACAGATGCTCCAGTGATACCTTGTTTTTCTTTGCTGCGTGACTGTGTCTCTTCTCCTTGTTCCATCCTCCAGAGAATCTCTTTCAGCTCCCACAGGTGCATTCCTCTGTTATATGTAACTGACAATTGATAAATTAGTGGAAGCCCTTACACTGAAGGAAGAGTCTCTGACCTCATCTCGGTCCATATTCCTAGAAAGGCATTGTGCCCGTAAGTCTGGGTGTGACCTTCTGAGTGTTCCTGACCCTTCTCCAGATGAGATGCTCATCTGTGTGTTCTTGTCCCTTCCACTGGGGTACAGCCCCCCTGTTTCCCCCAGGTGTTCCCTCCCACAGCTCCAGTGTTCCCCATCAGTGTCATCACCTCCCAGATCTGCTGCCCTGCCCTGCAGACGAAAGCTCTGATTCCATAAGAAAGAGAGTTGTGTCTCAACAGAACTTCGTGGCAGTGACCTCTGTTCCCATCTCAATTCCTGAGGAGTTGCACCAGTGCCCCTAGGGTACTGGTTTTGGTGGTTCCCCTGCAAAGTAATTTTTAGTTCTGTAGTGGATATAAGGGAGTCGAGTCTGAATGCCTTTCAAAAATGGGGGCTCTTGTTCTCTCCCAGACAGACACTTTGGGAAAGGAAGATTTTGTGACTGCCCCTTTTTTGGGGAAAGGGATTCAAGAGGATAGAAAAGCTCTTCAGTATGTGGTCCCTTAGAATTTCAAACTACAACAAGCTAACCATATTCAATTTCAAGCAATCCCATATATATTTGTATTTTTATCTTTAACAGCCTATATTTCATATGCCAGACTCTGCCTTAGGTAATCTCATATGCTGGCTTTGTTACTCTCTACAAGAACTTGCTTCTTGTTAAATTTAAGATTTTTTTTAACTTCAGTTATCCTAAGCATTCAGAAATTTGCAAAATTTCATCTTGACTGTTTATCTGTTATTGTTGATGTAGTTGTAAGAAAAAAAGAAAATATATTCCTCATTTATGTACATTTTCAAGTTGAGTAGTAGATTTTTAGTACTACCAGAGTAATAAAATAATTTGAACATTGTTAAGCTGCTTAACAGAAAATCAAATTATGGTAAATTTGTTCAATGGAATACTACACAACATTTATAATAAATAATTGTCTGATACATGCAACAAGAAGGTAAAATATCTAAGTATTTTTGCTGAATAAAATAAACCAGACAAATGAGAAGATTTACCATATAATTTCATTTATATAAATTCTGGAAAATAAAAACTGAACTTAAGCAATATAACAACAAGGTAAAATATCTAAGTATTGATGTTCAGGAAAATAAAGCAAACAAGAATATGTACTATGTTATTCCATTTTAATAAATTCTGATAAATTAAATTGAATCTACAGCAATATAAAGAAGATCAGAATTTACCATTTGGGGAAATGGTAGAAGAAGGGAAGAGGAAAGGAGGAGGAATATGGAAGAATGAGAGGGAAATTTTGAGAATTTTCTGGTTCACCTTGATAACTAGGATGGTTACATCAGGTTTATCAATTGTACACTTTAAATATGTGAAGTTTATTATCAGTAAACTGAAATTTATAAAATTTATTACCAGCAAACAAATGAAAACTTGCACAAGAAGTAAGTGATATAAAGATAGAAAAAATACTAAATTTCAGAAACACCTAATAATTTATCTTCGTGAACCCTAGTTCTCACCATATTTTTAGGTGAATGCTAGAATGCAGCAAAATTACACATGTTCTCAATACAGAAAGTGGGTTTCACAAACCACACTAGGCATGCCCAGCTCTGTCCTGGAGTTGGGTTAGGGAGTAATATAGGGCCAGTGGATGAGGAGCACAGGCCCAGATACTGGGGCTCACTAACCTCAGGTATGAGCTCTTAGATACATACAAAGCCCCTCCACGTATGGGTTTACTTCACCATCTGTAAATAGAGAAACCATTGACCCCTAAAAATATGATTTACACAAATATGTAAAAATGTAAGAGAGTGATTAGTGCAAAGTGTTTATCACAGCACAATTTCCTAATAAGACAGCAAGTTTTCCAAACACCATCATTGTCATCAGATTCTTGCAGGGCATCATTACCTTATCTGGGCACTGCCCTCTGCTCAGGCGTCCCACCCCAGAGCTTGCTATATAGTAGGTGACATGCAAATAGGGCCCTCCCTCTCCTGATGAAAACCAGCCCAGTCCTGACCCTGCAGCTCTGGGAGACGAGCCCCAGCCTTGGGATTCCCAAGTATTTTCATTCAGTGATCAGGACTGAACACACAGGAATCACCATGGAGTTTGTGCTGAGCTGGGTTTTCCTTGCTGCTATTTTAAAAGTTGATTTATGGAGAGCTAGAGAGATTGAGTGTGAGTGGACATGAGTGAGAGAAACAGTGGATATGTGTGGCAGTTTCTGACCTTAGTGTCTCTGTGTTTGCAGGTGTCCAGTGTGAGGTGCAGCTGGTGGAGTCTGCGGGAGGCCTTGGTACAGCCTCGGGGGGTCCCTTAGACTCTCCTGTGCAGCCTCTGAATTCACTTTCAGTAACGCCTGGATGAGCTGGGTCCGCCAGGCTCCAGGGAAGGGGCTGGAGTGGGTTGGCCGTATTAAAAGCAAAGCTAATGGTGGGACAACAGACTACGCTGCACCTGTGAAAGGCAGATTCGGCCGGGCGCGGTGGCTCATGCCTGTAATCCCAGCACTTTGGGAGGCTGAGGCGGGTGGATCATGAGGTCAGGAGATCGAGACCATCCTGGCTAACAAGGTGAAACCCCGTCTCTACTAAAAATACAAAAAATTAGCCGGGCGCGGTGGCGGGCGCCTGTAGTCCCAGCTACTCGGGAGGCTGAGGCAGGAGAATGGCGTGAACCCGGGAAGCGGAGCTTGCAGTGAGCCGAGATTGCGCCACTGCAGTCCGCAGTCCGGCCTGGGCGACAGAGCGAGACTCCGTCTCAAAAAAAAAAAAAAAAAAAAAAAAAAAAAAAAAAAAAGGGAGATTCACCATCTCAAGAGATGATTCAAAAAACACGCTGTATCTGCAAATGAACAGCCTGAAAACCGAGGACACGGCCGTGTATTACTGTACCACAGACACAGTGGGGGGAGGTCAGTGTGAGCCCAGACACAAACCTCCCTGCAGGGGCGCGCGGGGCAACCAGGGGGCGCTCGGGACCCACTGAGGACGGGACAGGTCCCAGGAGCAGGTGCCGGGAGAGGTTTCCTTTCTCCTCAGCTGGAAAAGTCACGTTTATCTTCGCAGGACTCTGGAGTCTTCTAGGCTGTGATATTTTGTTACTTATATTTATTATGAACTTTATCATTAATATTTAAATTTTAGTAATTATTAACATTCTACATATTATTATATTTTTAAGTATATACTTTCAAGAAATAAACATTCCTAATTGTTTGCACTGATTCTTCCAGAGTTTTATTAACATTTGTTGACATCAGCAACTACATAGCTATAGGGACAAAAATTTATACCCATAGAAAGATGTATAAATACACAGACCAATGCATATATATGTAGGCATTTGTATTAAATATTACAATGAAATGATAAAAAAAGTTTGAAAAAATCAAACTTAATTAACTACATTATTAACTTTTAATTATTAAATTATTACAGTAATTCATAATTGATTTCCCAGATTTTCAATTGTTTACATAAATTGGTTTCTATTGGTTCATTTAAAATAGTACATTGGTCATTTTAAAGAGCTAAGAGTAAATGTTAAATGTTGTCACAATAAAAGATAAAAATTTGAAACAATGAATGATAATTATATCAGTTATTTCTTAATTATCTTAGTTATTTCATATTGTATTAACAAATCATAACATTGCCCTTTACCATGTACATATAAACAACCATAATTTGTAAATTTGCAATAAAATTTTTATTGTAATTTTTTATATTTATCCCAGATTATAATCTTTTTCTTCACTTCCAGATCTCACTGGATTGTCTCAAGGGCCCCATCCACACCACTGATCCCTGATGAAAGGCTCTAGGCTGTGGCCGGGAGAGGCAGTCTCTTCTTCCAGAGCACACTCTGTTTGATGGGAGATGTCATCTCTGCCCTCGAGGAGCCCCAGCTGATGGGGGAGCTTTTGCCCTTAGGAAGCTCTCAGTCTGATGGGGAAGACGCTGTCCCTGCCCTCAGGAGGCTCTTGGTCTGAGAGGGGAGACATAATTCATTCTCTCTGAGTGCCCTCAGTCTGATGGGGGAGACACCGTCCCTGCCCTCAGGAGGCTCCCAGTCTGATGGGGGAATATTGGCTCTGTCCTCAGGAGCCCAGTCTAAGGAGAGTGTCTCAGCCCCACTCCTGAGGGTAAGGATTCCATGGCCACAGTCTGGACAGTGGGCCAGTCACACTTGACAGTGGGCATGTTGCCAGCAGGACCCTTTGGGATGTGTCTGAGCCTGGAGGTGAGTGGCACGGGGGCTGGCAAGGCTAGGGTGGAGGCAAGCAGGTTCCGCTGTCTGCCGCCTTCACACCTTTCTCCTTCCACATGCATAGATGAGCCCACCAGCCCCAGCACTGACCTCCAAGCCAGGCATGTCCCTGCTTTTGCTGTGGTCTCCAGTGCCATGAACTCAGCCGCTGTCCTGGGCACCAGCCCATCTTCCCCGACCTTCACCTTCACCCTCGGACGGCATTACTCGCGGGACTGCAGTGAGCGCTCCCCACACCCCCAGCCCCACCCTTTCCCTCGCTGCCCAGTCCCAGGGGTCTCTGTTGGGTCTGCTGCTTGATGCCTGGCCTCTTCCTCTGGTTTCCGCTTCTCCTGGGGCACCTTGGAAGAGTCACCTCCTGCCCCTGCCTAGAAGGGAGGGCTCTGGGAAGCCCCTGACCTGCTGCCCCGCTGACCCTGAGGCCCGATGCGGGCGGCTTTGCAGGCAGCATCAAAGCTGGCCGCCGCTCCTCCTACCTGCTGGCCATCACCACGGAGCGCTCCAAGTCCTGCGATGATGGACTCAACACCTTCCGCGACGAGGGCCAGGTTCTGCGGTGAGGCCCTGTCTGGACATGGGGTGGGGTGGCCACAGCCACCCTGGCCAGCTGCTCTGGGGCAGGGCTTTTGGCCTTGGGGGTCCTCTATGCATGGGACAGTGTGCCTCCCCCGCTGGAAGGCTTCTGGGCTTGGGGTTTGGTGGGTGACGAGATAGTGAGGTCCCAGCTTTGCTGCCCACATCCCTCACCCTCCACCCTTGCTTCCCAGGCACCTGCCAAACCGCATACCCAGCCTGCCGTTGCTCCGGAGCTTCTTCACAGACGGGGTGAGTTGCAGGTCTGTGTGTGTGCGCAGGAGTGAGGGTGTGGGGAGAGAGGGTGTCAGGGAGGTGGGGCCACAGCCTCGGCATGGGGGTTCCTGCTCCAGCTCCTGCCTTCCCCCTCCTCCCTGCACCCCTCACCCTTGTGTCCACCGCGGGACCAGCCCTCTGCTGTGGGCCCCGACATCCCTGAATGACACCATGCAGCCCCACCCAGGGGCCCCCGTCTGGACTGCCTCTTTCCAGACCCATCCCCCATAGCCACACGACTCACTTCTCCACTGTCTTTGCAGCTTTTTAGGTCTTCCCTGAAATTCCAGCCTCCACTCCTGACATTTCATGCCTCCCTTCGCTACTCTGTTTTCCTCCTCAGCACGCCTCATGCACAATTGGTGTTTCTCTTCCTCCCTGCCTGGCTCCCCAGCTAGAATAGAAGCTCCCCGAGCTTATATTTGGGGCTTCATTTGTTTCCTTCACTACCCTGAGTCAGTATTTGCATCGCGTCTTGTCTTCATGGGATGGGGTCGGGGTGGACACTGGAAAGGTGTGGCCTGGACACAGGGTTGAGATTGGTGGACAGGTGGAGTTCCCAGCCTCAGGACCTGGGGAGGCAGGATCAGGCCTGTGATAGCCCTGGCTGTTTGTTTGTTTTGAGACAGAGTCTCACTCTATTGCCCAGTCTGGAGTGTAGTGGCATGATCTTGGCTCACTGCAACGTCCACCTCCTGGGTTCAAGCTATTGTCCTGCCTCAGCCTCCCGAGCAGCTGGGATTACAGGCGTGTGCCACCACACCTGGGTAATTTTTGAATTTTTAATAGAGACTGGGTTTCACTATGTTGGCCAGACTGGTCTTGAACTCCTGACCTCAGGTGATCCACCCACCTCGGCCTCCCAAAGTGCTGGGATTACAGGCGTGAGCCACTGTGCCCAGCCCACTTACTGCTATTTGAATTTTCTGCCCTGCCTTCTGGGGTCTTGAGGGTCCCTGGAAAGAACATAAGCTTTGAAGCAGACAGACTTCGAGTTCCTATCCAGCCACATATCAAGCACATGGCTTTGGGCACCCCACTTACCTTCCCCGAGCCTCACTTTCTGATCTGTACGATGGGAACAATGTTATCCTACCCCAAGGGCTGCTGTGGATTAAGTGAGGGTGAAGTCGAGGCGGGACTGATGCGCCTCCGTGGAGAATGACTAAGGCCTCCCTGCTCGGGAGCCTCTGTGGAGGTTCTGGGGAGTTAGTGGTGAGGGAGCCAGGGCAGCCCTGCCCTCCTGGGGCTCCTGTTGCTCCTGTTGAGCGGAGAGAACGCATGTGGCATCATGGTTCCAAGTGCACAGACTGCCGTGATGCCCGGGTGCAGGGGCAGGTGGGCATGGGTAGGGAGGTATCCAGAGGCTGAGACACGAAAGGATGAGAAGCCACAAAACTGGGAGACAGTGGAGGGGCCTGACAGGGAGGATGTCTCCTTAGAGGGTCCTGGGGAGAGGTGGGGAGAGGTGTGCTGGGAGCCAGGGCGAGAGGTGGAAGATGAGCTGGGGAATTGGGCGCCTGCCCAGAGTGTGGGGCCTTCATACCCAGAAAGAGCCTGTCCAGGGTTTTTTTATTTTATTTTATTTTATTTTATTTTATTTTATTTTATTTTATTTTATTTTATTTTATCTATTTTTGAGACGGAGTTTCACTCTGTTGCCCAGGCTGGAGTGCAGTGGTACGATCTCAGCTCACTGCAACCTCCGCCCCCCGGGTTCAAGCAATTCTCGAGCCTCAGCCTTCTGGGTAGCTAGGACTACAGGCGCCTGCTACCACACCCAGCTAATTTTTGTAGTTTTAGTAGAGACTGGGTTTCACTATGTTGGCCAGGCTGGTCTCGAACTCCTGACCTCAAGTGATCTGCCTGCCTTGGCCTCCCAAAGCGCTTGGATTACAGGCGTGAGCCACCGTGCCCGGCTCTGTCCAGGGTTTTAAATGTGGGCTGGGGCTGGCAGGAGACTGGGGTTATGTCTGTGACAGGAGGAGCCAATCCCATTGCCCTTGTCCAGGTGAGTGAGGGTGGGGGCCCCGACCCAAGGCAGTGGTGTGGGGCTGTGTGGAGCGGACACTTTAGAGAGAGATTCCATGGGAAGGATGGCCAGGGCTTGCCGGCTGCTGGGAGGTATGGAAGGAGGAGGAGGCGATAAGGTTCCTGGATTCCTGGCTTGGGCTGAGGGAGGGTGGTGGGTGGTGAGACCCTCCCTGGGCCATGGCACACTGGAGGAGCAGGTTTGGGGAGAGGAAGCCAGGTGGCTCCACTGGGGCTATGTGAGTCTGAGGGCCCTGGGACAGACCCCAGTGGAGATGTCCTGGGGACAGAGGCTCTGAGGGCGTGTTACTAGAGGGAGGCCCACCTGGGGACAGCCTTTGTCTGTCAGCACCCACGAGTTACATATGCCTCTGTGCAGGGGCTTGAAGGAAGAAGGCAAGAGACCTGGCTGAGCCTTGAGAGAAGTGGGGGGGTCGGGGAGGCCAACAGAGACCAAAAAGAGCCAGCAAGTTGGCAGCGACCCGTGGGGTGGGAGCCATGAGGCAAGGAGGGACCAGCCACGTGCACTGTGCGAGGAGAGCCGCAAGTGGGCCAGCCCTTCCAGTCTAACGTGTGAGCCACATGAAGGGTCCTTGTGAGGGTGGCTGGTTCCCCCTGCTGGGGGGCCTGACCCTCAGCTCCTGGGGGCCCTGAGCCCAGTTCAGGGACAGGAGCTGTCCCCTTCCTGCTCACTGGCCAGTTCTGGAGGACCAGGCCTCCACTCCCTTGCTGGCCAAAACCCGATGTCACTTGTTCCTTTGGTGCCGTGGCCTGGACGTTAGAGGACAGTCTTCAAGTCAGCCTCAGGCCCTTGGTCCACCCAGGCCGTGGGCACCCTCTCTGTGCTCCCTCCCAGCCCCAGCCTCTTTCAGAGACACGGACTGTCAGGCAGAGGAGGGAAAGGGACAGTGACTTGTCCCCGCAGCCTCAGCCCCAGCATGGGAGCTGCATGCAGCCTTGGTGACCAACTCCCTCACTCATTTACCAGCCGGAGACACTGAGGCCTGGGAGTGCGGTTGACTTGTCATAGGTCATGCCGCTGGTTTAGCCTCAGAGAGGTGCCCTTGTCACCACCTCACTGTCACATTAAAATTCTCCCTGGAGGGCTCTGCTGTCTCCTACTCTGAATGTCCCTGTCCCCCTCCAGCAGTTCTGTGATGAGCAGGGCTCACAGCTCAGGATCCACATGATGGGAGGCCAGATGTGGGCTGTGCCCATCTGCCAGCCACGGGATCTCTTTGTCTGGTTTGTTCGGAGAGCTGAGGCCTGTGCTGGATGTGGAGCCACCAGCCAGCAGAGAGGAGCTCTTGGTCTGATGGGAGATGGAGCTCCTGCCCTCAGGGTGCTCCAAGGATCATTAATTCATTTATTCAGCAAATATTGATGAGCGCTTGCATGCTGCTGTAGGCCCTGGGATATGGAAATGAGAGGACGGACAAGCTCCCTGTCCCCAGGACAGCCTGAGGCTGCAGTAAGTTCTTGGAAAGGATCAAGCTGATCAGAAGCGGGAGCTGCATTGAGGGAGAAATATGGCCAGTGAAGGCCTCGCTGAGGAGGTGACATTGGTGATGCTGGAGTTCAGATCTGAAGGGGAAGAAGGAAGCAGCCACATATAGAAGTGAGGGAGGGGGGCTTAGGCAGAAGGAACAGCAAGCGGAGAGGCCCTGAGAAAAGAAAGGCTTGGCTCGCTCACCTGCAAGGGCCCCCTGGCTTGACATAGTGAGAAAGGTGTGAAGATGAATTTGGAGAAAGGCAGGGACAGACCACAGGAGACTTTAGATTTGATTCTGAGGGCGATGGGATCTCTTGAGAGGATGCTGAGCAGGGGAGAGATGTGATCTCCTTTTCATTCTAACATGATCGCTGCAGCTGCTGCTGGAGAATGGATGCAGGAGCAAGAGTAGAGACTGGGAAGGTCTGTGCATTCTCCAAGCAAGAGGCGTTGATGGCATGGAAAGATGTCTTTCCTCTGGCAGGAAAGACAGAGACAGGGGATGTTTTGGAGGCAGAACAGTTGTGACTTCCTGATGGATGGGATGTCAAGGGCGAGGAAAAGGGAGGAGTCAAGGGCAGCTCCCAGGTTTCTGGACAACTGGATGGATTGACTGAGCTGGAAAAGATGGGGGTAGAGAGTGGAGAAGAGGTTTGATGGTAAGAAATCACATGGCCTGGCAAGTATTGTGCAGAGTGCCCATGGGACCTGCAAATGAAGACACTGAGCAGGGTGGGGGTGCCGGGCTGTGGCTGGGGGAGATGCTGGGCTCGGGAATGGCCATCAGCAGATGGACCTGGTTTAAAGGCACGGCACAGGTGACATCCTTGAGGGAGGTGTGCAGGGAGAGGAGAGGAGGGGAGAGTCAGGACAAAGTTCTGGAGCTCCGCCTCCTTTAGGGCGGGGTCTGTTACCCTCCGCTCTGCTGACATTTTGAGCCAGATAATTCCTTGTTGGGGGAGGCTGTCCTGTGCATTGCACAATGTTTAGCCGCATCCCTCAGATGCCATAGCACACCCTCCAGCTCCCTCCACACAAATGTCCCGTGGGGACGAGTCTCCTGGCTGTTTACAGGTGTAGAGGGTGGGGGAGGGGAAGTAGAGAAGACTAGGAAGGAGCCAGTGGCATTAGGAAGAAAGCCGGGAACGTGGGGTCTCAGGTGCCGAGATGGGGTCTGGAGAGGGAAGGAGGGGCTGGCTGTGTCAGATGCCGCCAAGGGGTTAAGGCAAGTTGGGGAGAAGCAGCCATTGGCTTTGGCCACATGGCGGTTCTGGGTGTCCCTGAGAGGAGCTTCTGGGCAAGTGGAGTCTTGGGTGGGCGGCAGGAAAGTGGGGAGAACAACCCTCTAAGAGTGCGGACAGCTTCTGAGCAGGTTTGCTGGGATGAGGGGCAGCCTGGGGAGGGGCGTGGGCTGGGAATGGCTTCCCGAGGATTTCATGTACGGAGGGCCATGCTGGGTGTCTGAGCATTGCCACCGCTCGGTGAGTGTTGATGCTGGTGTTTAGAGGGGGAGAGGGTTGGGGTCTGCTGGCGGGCTTTAGGGTGATGGGTAGGGGTGTCTAGGCAGGCGAGGGACTGAGAAAGCATTGGTGGGCTGTGGGCAGGAGGCTGCCCAGGTCTAGCCGGGTGGAGCAGGGGGCTCCTGGTAGGCAGCGTGGGGTCCATCCCCCGGCTGTCCTCTGTCTGCTACTGTGAGAGCAGTGGGCAGAACTGACCTCTCACCACTCCTGTTCCCCCCAACCCCGTGTCTCCCTGCAGAAAGTGGGCAGCGGCCTGCGCCAGTGGAAGCGGGTGTACGCCGCGCTGCTGGCGCGCTCGCTCTCGCTGAGCAAGGAGCGGCGGGAGCCCGGGCTGGCGGCGGCGGGGGCTGCGGCGGCCGGCGCAGGTGAGGACGAGGCGGCGCCCGTCTGCATCGGCTCCTGCCTCGTGGACATCTCCTACAGCGAGACCAAGAGGAGGCACGTGTTCCGGCTGACCACCGCTGACTTCTGTGAATATCCCTTTCAGGCTGAGGACCGGGATGACATGCTGGGCTGGATCAGAGCGATCCGGGAGAACAGCAGGGCCGAGGGCGAGGTGAGGGCCCGGCCAGCCCGGCGGCCACAGAGGGCGGGCGGGGTGGCCTCTCACCGGCTGTGGACCTGGGATGTCCGCTCTGAGCCTCACTTCCCTCTGCTAGAAAGGGGGGCTGACAGGAGTGCACCTCGTGATTGTGTCCCCCTAGGTTTCGGGGTGACGAGGGTGCAAGGGCAGGGCTCATGGAGGACCTGGCGTCCTCGGGTGCGGGGACCAGCAGTCACCATCCTGATCCTAATGATGACAGGGATTATTGTGACTGTGTTAGGATCGCCTTGAGCAGGCTCTGATGTGGAGTGGTCAGCTCCAGGCCAGTCTCAGCTTTTCTCAGCAGGCGAGGAAGGCAGGGGCCTCCTATGGAGTGTGTTAGGGCATGAGTGTCCCGGCACCAGAACTGCACTGGGCTGGCCTGTCTGCAGGAGGATGAACACATTGACCTTGTGAGGAGGCTGAGAGGCTTGGCCTTTGGCCACAGGTGGGCAGGGTTGGAGCCAAGGGCCTCGGCAGGGATTTTGGGAGAATTTTTTTTTTTTTTTTTTGAGACAGAGTCTCGCTCTGCTGCCCAGGCTGGAGTGCAGTGGCGCGATCTCAGCTCACTGCAACCTCCGCCTCCCAGGTTCAAGTGATTCTCCTGCCTTAGCCTCCTGAGTAGCTGAGACTATAGGCACATGCCACCATGCCTGGCTAATTTTTTTTTAATAGAGACGGGGTTTCACTGTGTTAGCCAGGATGGTCTTGATCTCCTGACCTCATGATCCTCCCACCTCAGCCTCCCAAAGTGCTGGGATTACAGGTGTGAGCCACTGCGCCCAGCCGAAGAATTTTTTTTTAATGGCGCCCATTGCGGTCAGCTGTAGCTACACTCCAGGGGCCTAGGTAGGGATTCCTCCCTGTTTACTTCTTTGGCCAGGAGCCTGCACAGAAGTGCCTTGAGACACCCACACAAAGTCATGTGGGCGTCCCGGGCCTGGGGTCTCTGCCAAGAGGGCAGTGGGCCTGGGCCTGCTCTGGCCGTGGGAGGGGGGGCTACTGCATGGCCTCTTGCTGAGGACACATCCTCTTGCTGACCAGGCTCTGCTCTCCCGGGAACAGCTTTCCCCACTGCAGGGAGGAAGGCACCTGGAATTTGGGCCTCCTCCTCTGGGGGCCTGGCTTGGCTGTCTCCAACAAGGCTTAGTCAGGGGGGTTCCAAGCCACATCACTATGGCAGTAGCAGTCCCTCCTGGGGCACCTCCTCCATGCCTGCTCAGCATCTGCCAGGAAAGTGGCGAGCGCTGCATGATTCTGCACCCAGCCCCGAGCCTTCCCTTTTAGCCCCCCATGTTTATTACCGAGGAGACTGAGGCTCAGAGAGGCTAAGAGGCTTCCCCAAGGCCTCAGCTGGTGAGAGGGTGCTGGGGAGTCCAGGCCTGGTCTTTCTCACTCCAGGGTCTGGGCTGTCCACCTGGCAGGTGGACAAGAGGGGAAGCAGGGCTAGGGATGAACCCAGGGGTGGGCTGGCTGTGGGCACTGACATGATCCGCTCTCTCCTCTCCTGCTTCAGGACCCCGGCTGTGCCAACCAAGCTCTGATCAGCAAGAAGCTTAATGATTATCGCAAAGTGAGGTGAGGCCTAGCCCTCATGGAGCAGTCTCCTTTGTGGGGGTGGTAGGGGGCTGAAGGCAGAGGATGTCTTCCTGGACCACCTCCAGGGCTGCCCTCTGCTGGGGGAAGGGGTATCCAGGGTATCCAGGGTCTCCAGGCTGCAGTTTGGCATGGAGGCATTGCCTCAGGGTGGAGGGGATGTCCCGAGGGGCAGGAGGCCAGGGTGGGTGGCCTGCTTGGCCACCCCAAGTGAAGACCTCTCCTCTCCCGCTTTTTCCTACACAGCCATAGCTCTGGGCCTAAAGCTGATTCCTCCCCCAAAGGCTCTCGCGGCCTGGGGGGCCTCAAGTCTGAGTTCCTCAAGCAGAGTGCGGCACGTGGCCTCAGGACTCAGGACCTGCCTGCAGGGAGCAAGGGTAGGAAGGTGGCCACTGAGACAGGGTGGTGTGTTGGGGAAGAGGGCATGGAGAGGGGAGAGCATGTGTGTGTGTGTTGGGCTGTGTCTGCTCGTGTGTGCCTGACTGTGTGCCAGGGTTACCGGTATGTCTGTCTGCATGTGCATGCCTGTGAGGGTCTGGGGGCTCTCAGGGTCTTGGGGTGGAAGGGCCTGGAGCCTGATTCCCGTCCCTGATATCCCTGCTGGGTGGTCCTCTAATCTTTGCTGGTGTCTCTGCAGGGATGAGAGGCCCACCCTTTCCAAGAGCAACCTTTCCCATTTCCCTCACCTTTGGCTATTAGAAAGTTCTTACCTGGCTGGGCAAGGTGGCTCACACCTGTAATCCCAGCACTTTGGGAGGCCAAGACAGGCAGATCACCTGAGGTCAGGAGTTCAAGACCAGCCTGACCAACATGGCGAAACCCCAACTCTACTAAAAATACAAAAGGCCGGGCACGGTGGCTCACGCCTGTAATCCCAGCACTTTGGGAGGCCGAGGCGGGTGGATCACAAGGTCAAGAGATCGAGACCATCCTGGCTAACACGGTGAAACCCCATCTCTACTAAAAAACACAAAAAATTAGCTGGGCATGGTGGCAGGCACCTGTAGTCCCAGCTACTCAGGAGGCTGAGGCAGGAGAATGGCATGAACCCGGGAGGCGGAGCTTGCATTGAGCCAAGATCGCGCCACTGCACTCTAGCCTGGGTGACAGAGCAAGACTCCGTCTCAAAAAAAAAATACAATAAAAGTACCCGGGCGTGGTGGTGTGCGCCTGTAATCCCAACTACTTGGGAGGCTGAGACACGAGAATCACTTGAGCCTGGGAGGTGGAGGTTGCAGTGAGCCGAGATCACACCACTGCACTCCAGCCTGGGTGACAGAGCGAGACCCTGTCTCAAAAAAAATAAATAAATAAATAAATAAATAAAAGAAAGTTGTTCCCTTGGGCCAGCAGGCATGGTGGCTGACACCTATAATCCCAGCATCATTTTGGGAGGCTGAGGCTGGAGGATTGCTTGAGGCCAGGAGTTTGAGACCAGCCTGGGTAACATAGCAAGGTCCTATCCCTACAAAATATTTTTTTATATATTATTTATTTATTTAGAGACAGAGTCTTGTTCTGTCACTCAGGCTGGAGTGCAGTGGCATGATCTCAGCTCATCGCAACCTCCACCTCTTGGGTTAAAGCGATTCTTGTGCCTCAGCCCCCCTAGTAACTGGGATTACAGGCATGCGCCACCCCGCCTGGCTAATTTTTTTTTTTTTTTTTTTTTGAGATGGAGTCTTGCTCTGTTGCGCAGGCTGGAGTGCAGTGGTGTGATCTCGGCTCACTGAAAGCTCCGCCTCCTGGGTTCGCGCCGTTCTCCTGCCTCAGCCTCCTGAGTAGCTGGGACTACAGGTGCCCGACACCACACCTGGCTAATTTTTTTGTATTTTTAGCGGAGACGGGGTTTCACCGTGTTAGCCAGGATGGTCTCGATCTCCTGACCTTGTGATCCGCCTGCCTCGGCCTCCCATAGTGCTGGGATTACAGGCGTAAGCCACCGCACCCGACCCACGCCCAGCTAATTTTTGTATGTTTAGTAGAGACAGGGTTTTGCCATGTTGGCCAGCTGGTCTCGAACTCCTGGCCTCATGTGGTCCTGCCGGCCTCAGCTTCCCAAAGTGCTGGGATTACAAGCATAAGCCACTGTGCCTGGCAAAAAAATTTTTTTTAATTAGCCAGGTGTGGTGGTATGAGCTTATAGTCCCAGCCACTCGGGAGGCTGGGGAGGGAAGATTGCTTGAGCCCAGGAATTTGAGGCTGCATTGAGCTATGATCATACCACTGCACTATAGCCTGAGCGACAGAGACCCTGTCTCTAAAGAAACAAAGTTCTATGGCTTCCGCCTTGTAGTTTTGGCCCACGAGCCACACAGAAGTCCTTGCATTGCTCTGGGCCTCTCCTTTGGGGTAAGCATCCTCCCCTTCAGGCCTTCTCTCTTGCCATACAATGTCCCATCAGCCCTGGGCATCTGGTTTCTTCTCTGATGGAATCCCCATACGTCCAAATGTGTGAATGTGGCAGTGAATGTGTGCGACCCTCCTGGATACTCCAGCTCACTCTGGCTCTGTCTCCCCCACTTCAGATGACAGTGCTGCAGCCCCCAAAACCCCCTGGGGCATCAACATCATCAAGAAAAATAAGAAGGCTGCCCCAAGGGCATTTGGGGTCAGGCTGGAGGAGTGCCAGCCAGCCACGGAGAACCAGGTGGGTCTCTGCCACACGCCAGAGCAGGCCCGGCAGGGGGAGACCAAGGCACAGAGGGTCAGAGCAGCAAGGGACATGGAACAAGCTCTCCACCTCATTGTACAAACACAGCTGGGAAAACAGCCCAGAGAGGGGAAGGTCCCTGCCTGCCCTGGGCCTCCCAGGGAGGGAGCAGCAGGGCTGAGGCTGAGCCCGGCTCCTTCTCAGACCATGGCGAGGCTTTGGTGTCATTTGTAGCTCCCAGACTGGAGGCAGCAAGGGCCTTTTGTTCCCCCCAAGGGTTCCTGGCAGCAGCTCTGGGCCTTGCATTGTCCCCTTCTTGGCCTCCCCAGCTCCTCTGGCCCCTGTCCCCCCTAACACCCCTCCCCTGTGTCCCCAGCATGTCCCCTTAATCGTGGCTGCACGCTGTCACATTGTGGAGGCACGAGGGCTGGAGTCCACAGGCTTTTACCGAGTGCCTGGCAACAATGCAGTGGTGTCCAGCCTACAGGAGCAGCTCAATCCTGGGCCTGGTGACATCAACCAGCAGGATGAGGTGGGTGAAGCTGGGGGGTCTGTGGAAGGGGGGCTGAGATGGTGTGTGGGTGGTGCTCCGCTTGGAGAGTTCTGTGGTCTATTGTGTTGCATGCATTGTGCCCTATGACATGCCCGGCATTGGTCCAGGACACCAAGATGGGCAAGATGGGACCTGCCCCCGCTGGCCAGCCTGGGGATGGGCATCACCCCAGGCTGAAGCTGACCAAGTAAATGCAGTCATGGCCTGGGGAGCTCTGAGGCAGAGGCTCACAAACGGCAGTTTTGTCCGAGTGTTTAGGATGAGTAGAGTTCACCAAAGGCCGGTGAAAGCCAGCTGAGGGCATTCCAGGCAGCAGAATGGCCTGCGCAATGGTGTAGACGCGAAAAGTGTGCCAGGAGTCAACCAGCTTTCTCTGTAGAAGGCAGAGAGTAAATATTTTCTGCTGTAGTTTGCTCTGTTGCATTCCCCCCTTCTCTTCCTCCTCCTTCTCTTCCTAATCCTTTAACAACGTAAAAACCATACTTAGCTCAAGGGCCATCCAAAAGAAGGCTGTGGCTAGATATTGCCTACAGATCATGTTTTACAAACTGCCGGCTTAGAAAAAGGGGAATATATGATGTTTTCTAGAATGGCCAGCCATTTGGGTGGCTGCAACATGGAAAGAGAAGTGGCTGATCAGGCGAGATGAGACCAGCCTGTGAAGGAATCTGCAATCACACTTAAGTGTTTCCAGTAGGGCCGGCGATTCTCAAAGGGTGTTCCCCAGAGTCCTAGGGTTCCCCAGAGGGGCCTTGGGAGGCCAGGGTCAGGTCAGGACCCCGTGTCCTTGCTAGAGCAACCCTGCTTTGCCCTGTCTGTTGTACTGGGTTTTCACGTACAATTTTATTTGCCCAAAGGGGCTCTGATAAAAAAGATATTTTGGAAAACCATGAACATGGGCAGTGATGTCCCATGAGTCACACACGTGAAGGCTCATGGAATACACAAGTCTTCCTGTCCTTGGAGAATGAGGAGCTGAGACAAGTGTGTGTGAAATTGTGGACAGGAGAAAAAGATGATCTCTCATCAGGGACCACACTGTGATGAGGAAGGACAGGGTGCTCAGGCTGGAGCAGGTGGTGGCTGGAGGATTTGAGTATTGGAGGAATGAATAGGAGGGGGTAGGTGGACAGGAAGCCTTTCGGGGTGTGAGACGGTGGCATTTTCCAAAACCCCAGCAAGGGCCAGGGAGGGCTTGAGGGTTAGGACAGAGAGTGGATCTACCTCCTGGGCATGAAGGTGGAGAGGGTGAGGCCCCAGGGGGACAGAGAGGGCATGTGATGGCTTCACTGAAGACTTCGACCTTGATCTGATGGACAGTAGGGAGCTTTTGATGCTTCTTAAGCTGGGGAGGCATCATGAGTACAAAGTTCAAGAAAGAGTAATGCTCCTGCTCATGTCCATTGGATACGAATGCGGAGGGCAGGGGTCTGGGGAGAAGTCACTGATCTATGGAAGCGCTAAGTGTCGGGAGGACTTGGTGGTCCCGGGGGAAGGGGGAGGATGGGAGCAACCCTAAGAGTTGGCTGCATGAGAGGGAGGAAGGACGGGCGAGGAAGAGCCGCATGTTTGAGCTGGGGCTGGTGGTATCTTCCCCTGGCAGAAACCAGGGAGTAGGGCAGCGTGAGGAGAGGTGGAAGGGAGGGGCCGTCTCAGGGAGTGGCTCCATTGGATTTGGGGTATGGAAAGTCCCTTGCATGGGGCGAGGGCATAAACAGGCGCTAGATTGAGCGTGGACTAGAGAGTGGCATGGGTCCTGCTGCAGCTGGGGCATGGGATGACCAAGGGTGGGCCGCAGAACAGCAGGGGCCACGTGCTGAGTGGGACAGAAGGAGAGGACCGCCGGTGAGGCTGGGGTGAGGGCAGACACTTCACTCTGGAGGAGCCAGGAAGCACTGGCCAGGGCATTGGGTTTGGCAGCTGGGAGATGAGAGGAGCTCACACCTGAGGGCCAGGAGGTAACGGAGTCGGGTGGGCAGGAGCCGCACTGGGTGTGTGTGAGATGAGGGGGCCGTGCTGGCAGGCAACTGGTCCAAGCCAGGGCCAGCTGGGGGCATACAAGGTATATTGGGTGTGTTGTTTTGTCTTGGATATCATTGTGTCATTTGTTGTGGGTCGTGCTGGGAGTAAGTGTAGTGGGGGATGAATCTAACCCCTGGTGAGCCTGTGCGGAGTGTATTGTTTATGGGATTGTCTGGCATTAAGCTGTGGATCCATTGTAATGAGTGTGTGTACTGCTGTGCTGTGTCTCTTTGTTGGGGGTATTAGGTCGCTTTCTGGGCCTGAGTTATTGTGAGCCATTCCCAGCGAGGCGGCTGTGCCCGACTTGGTTGCAATGTGGGGTGATGCTGCCCCCTGGAGGACAGAAGGGACAACGACCCGGCCGTTAGTTCTTGTACTCAACAACCATTTATTTTAGAGTAGGGTTTCTCAACCTCAGTGGACATTTTGGGAAGAACAATTATTTGTTGTGTGGGGTTGCCCTGTGCACTGGAGGAAATTTGGAATCATCCCTGGCCTCGATCCACTAGATGAAAGTGTCACCTCCCAGTTGGGAAAATCAAAATGGCTCCAGACATTGTCAAATGTCCTCTGGGGGTGGAGTGGGAGTTTGGGGGACAAAATTGCCTCCTTCTGTTAGAACTACTGATTTAGGGCCATGTAAGTATCAGGTTAACTGTCCTAGCTAGGTGATAGGAGCACAGTGGGAAATGAGACAGACGGGATCCTGGCTCCTCCTGGAGCTTACAGTCCTGCAGGGAGACAGGCATGAACATAGAAACAAAAGCAGAAAATAATGACAAATTGGGTTAAGCGCCATGAAGGAAACAAAGTCAGGGCTGGGGTGCAGGTGACAGGGCAGTGGTGAAGGTGGCTGCTTTAGCTATGAGGGTCAGAGAAGGCCTCTTTGAAGAGCGACTTTTAGGCGGGGATGAGGAGCCAGTTGTGTGGAGGCGGGGAGGAAAGTTCTGGTTGAGGGAACCAGCACATGCAGAGGACCTGAGACAGGAAGGAGCTGGCATGAATGACTGCTGTGTCACAGATGCTTAAACTGTGTCCAGTGGAGGCAGCAGCTGCCACTCACTGTGTCCCCACAGTGCCTGGGACTTTCTGTGAATGGGGAGGTGTTGGAGCCCACGCGCTGGCAGGAGCAGGGAGGGGCTGGGGCCAAGTGTGAGTGTGGGCACAGGACCTCTCTGGGGACTCAGTTCTGCTGCCACCATCCTGATGAGTAGAGAGCTTAGTCTAAGTGGGTCCCAGGGAGGGCCTGGTGGGCTTGATTGGGCTCTGGGGTGAATGATCATGGAGGCATGGGCATTGGGCTAGGCTTGCCTGTGGCCTGACATCTGACTCCTCCCCCAGCGCTGGCAAGACCTCAATGTGATCAACAGCCTGCTCAAGTCCTTCTTCCGAAAGCTGCCCGAGCCTCTTTTCACTGCTGGTGAGTAGGAGGTGGAAATGGGGGTGGGGAGGGGACACCAGTCTGTGCCGCACCCTGACCACTACTTTTGCATTTGGTTTGTTGGTTTTACTCTTTTATTTATTTATTTTTTTGGAGACAGTCTTGCTCTGTTGCCCAGGCTGGAGTGCAGTGGCGCAATCACGGCTCATTGCAGCCTCAAGCTACTGGGCTCAAGCGATCCTCCCACCTCAGCCTCCTGAGTAGCTGAGACAGCAGGTGAACACCACCACACCCAGCTAATTTAAAAGTTTTTTTCAGAGATGGGGGGAGTTTCTCACTATGTTGCTCAGACTGGTGTTGCACTCTTGGGCTCAAGCAATCCTCCTGCCTGCCCCAGCCCCACAAAATGCTGGGATTACAGGCATGAGCCACCACGCTGGCTTTTTTTTTTTTTTTTTTTTTTAACACAAAAGCTTATTAAAAAAACATAGATTGTACAGATGTGAATAAAAACAGCACAGGACCCTGTGAATCTCCTCCTCCCTTTCACGGGAGGTTGTGGCTAACACTTTCTGAGCATTAGTGTGTGCCAAGCACAACTCCCTACAGCAACTCCATGAGGAAGGTGCTATTGTCTTCCCTCTACAGATGAGGAAACCAAGGCTCAGAGAGGTTTAATGCCTTGCCCAAGGTCACACAGGTTGTAAATGGCAGAGCCAGGATTCCGCCCCAGGCGTCGGGCTCCGATGGACTTTGGCCGTTTGCTGAACTGCTTATTCACGATCTGTTGTGTTTCTCTCCTGGCCCTCTTATATGCATGGCAGAGATACAGACGTGCCTGCGTGGGGTTTGGAGTTGGGTGGGTTCAGGGGTGTGCTGGCAGATGTTTAACATCTGTTTCTGGGAGAAAAAAGCCCTAATGCCTAGCATTTTCCAGCTTCCATGGTGTAAATACTCCTACCATGGTTTATTTCAAGCCACCAACATGATGTCACCAACATGGAATTGGGAAGAGAGGCACACAGTTGCTCTCAGGAGCTGGTGTGAGCGGACTCCAGCACACCGCTGGTTGAGTTGTTTTTAACAAAAGCAGGGTTGTAATTCTGAGATTCATTCGTGTCAGTGCAGAGAGCTCTACCTCATTCTTCTTTTAAATCAGCCACATAGAATTTCATGGTTTGAATAGACTATAATTTCTTTAAGTACTCCTCTATTGATGGATATTTAGCTTGTCTTCAAATGTTTGCTATCACACAACCTGTTGCAATGGCTTTCCTTGAATAAGTCCTTGCACGCCTGGATCTGTGCTCTCTAAGGGGATTCTTAGATGTAGAATTGCTGGGTCAAAGTCCTGGTGAACCTTTCTGAGACCAGTGTCAATTGCACTCTGAGAAAGAGGCCCTGATTTAGACTCCCACTAACAATGTAGGAGTCTGTCTCTCCACATCCGCAACAGCATTGGATATTACAACTATTATTGTTATTTGAAGGCCAGGCATGGTGGCTTATGCCTGTGATCTCAGCACTTTGGAAGGCTGAGGCGGGTGGATCACCTGAGGTCAGGAGTTCAAGACCAGCCTGACTGTGGTGAAACCCCGTCTCTACTAAAAATACAAAAATTAGCTGGGTGTGGTGGCGGGTGCCTGTAGTCCCAGCTGCTAGGGAGGCTGAGACAGGAGAATTGCTTGATCCCAGGAGGCAGAGGTTGCAGTGAGCTGAGATCGCACCACTGCACTTCAGCCTGGGTGACAGAGCAAGACTCCATCTCAAAATAAATAAATAAATAAATAATACAATAAAATAAAAATAAAAATACTATTATTTGACACAGGATCTTGCTCTGTTGCCCAGACTGGAATGCAGTGGCGCAATCATGGCTCACTGCAGCCTCAACCTCCTGGGCTCAAGTGATCCTCCCATCTCAGCCTCCTGAGTAGCTGGGACTACAGGTTTGTGCCACCATACCCATCTAATTAAAAAAAAATTTTTTTTGGTAGAGGCAGGGTCTCACTACGTTGCTCAGGCTGGTCTTCAACTCCTGGTCTAAAGTGATCATCGCTCCTCGGCCTTTCAAAGTGCTGGGATTTTAGGCTTGAGCCACCTCACCCAGACAGCATTAAATATTATTAATATTTTAAACTTTTGCTAATCAGATAAGAGAAATGGTATCTCATTATTGTTTTTATTTTCATTGCCCTCATTACTAGGGAGATTAAATCTTTTTTCATTAGCATATTGGCTGTTTCTATTTTCTCTGTAATTGCTTGATCAGACCATGTGCCCATTTTTCTGTTGGGTTGTTTATCTTTTTCTTATGTTGATTTGTGGGAGAAAAGCTCTTTGTGTTTTACACATATTAACCCTTTGTTAGTCTTTGCAAATATTTGCTTTGGCCTGCCATTTGCCTTTTCACTTTGCAGTATAGAAACTGAAAACAAATTTTTTTTTGTTGTTGTTTTGTTTTGTTTTTTGAGACAGAGTTTCACTCTTGTCGCCCAGGCTGGAGTGCAATGGTGCGATCTCGGCTCACTGCAACTTCTGCCTCCTGGGTTCAAGCGATTCTTCTGCCTCAGTCTCCCGAACAGCTGGGATTACAGGTGCCCACCATCATGCCCAGCTAATTTTTGTATTTTTGGTAGAGACGGGGTTTCACCATGTTGGCCAGGCTGGTCTCAAATTCCTGACCTCAGATGATCCACCCTCCTTGGCCTCCCAAAGTGCTGGGATTACAGGCGTGAGCCACCGCGCCCTGCCTAACAATTTTTAATTTTATTTTTATTTAATTTTATTTATTTTTTTGAGACTGAGTCTCACTCTGTCACCCAGGCTGGAGTGCAGTGGTACGATCTCGGCTCATTGCAACCTCGGCCTCCCAGGTTCAAGCCATTCTCCTGTCTCAGACTCCCAAGTAGCTGGGATTACAGGCACCTGCCACCATGCCCAGTTAATTTTTATATTTTTAGTAAAGATGAGGTTTTGCCACATTGGCCAGGCTGGTCTTGAACTCCTGACCTCAAGTGATCAGCTGATGTGCCTCAGCCTTCCAACGTGTTGGGATGACAGACGTGAGCCACCGTGCCTGGCCGAAAACAATTGTTTAAAATGTGACCAAAGCTGTTCATCTTTTCTTCATGGATTCTGCATCTCATGTTTAGGATGGCCTTAGGATTATAAAAATATTTTCTTATTTTTCCCCAGAGCTTTTATAATTTTCACAATTGGCTCTGCCGTGTGATTGCATTTGTGTATTGTGAGCTAGAAATGATCCCCCCCGTCCCCGATGGTAGCCATTTGTCCCGGGGACATCTGTTGAGGCCCCCATCCCTCCCCCCGATTGGAAGTGCTGCCTTTATCATATAATAAATATCCACATGGCCCACTTCCCCCCTTTCTAGCCTTAACATTGCTCTGCCTTTTCTGCCATGCCAGCCGGCTTCAGCTGTGCCATCCATTCAGGATGTTTCAGTCCCTGGTAGGGCAGATCCTCCCGCGTTACTCTTTCTTTAAAAACTATTCCTGGCTGTCTTTGTGCGTTAGCTCATCCAGATGAATTTCAGAATAGGCTTATCATGTTCCATTCTTTAAAGGTCCCCATGGAATTGTTCTGAAGGGAGTTGGGGGAATCCTTGGTCGAGGCTGTCTGAAGCCCCTCCTCCTCTCCAGGTGCCCTTCTCTTCTGACCTGCTGAACCTTGGTGTCCATGTCCTGGAGACGGGGGCATGGACCCCTTTTCTGCGATCAGCATGCACCTCAGGTCGTATTGCCTCCCAAATGAACACAGCTGGGCTACCCCAGGTCAGGTGCACACCCGAGTGTAGCTGTGGTGAGTGCAGCTGTGGTGAGTGCAGCTGTGGTAAGTGCAGCTGTGGTGGGTGTGTTCACATACACAAGAGGCTATCGCCCACGCTGGAGCCCCCGAACTGGAGGAGTTCAAAACACAGCCCTCCCAGCAGGGCCCTCGGCCTGGAGAACAGGGTAAGGTGCTGCCCCTACCTCTCTAAAGAGTCTCTGCTGTGTTCTAGACAAATACAATGACTTCATCGAGGCCAACTGCATTGAGGACGTGCGGGAGCGGATGAGGACGCTGCGGAAGCTGGTAAGGAGAGAGAGGTGCTGCCAGGCACGAGGTGGGGCAGCTGCCTGAGCACCTCTGTCCCAGGAGGCAGGGAGTCCGGTGTTACCCACGACCCCTGTGGCCTTGCCCTGCTCCACTCAGGGCCTCAGTTTCCCCATCCACACAAGAGAACGGGGGGTTAGAGGATAGATTCCAGACTCCCTGAGGCATGGTAGTGGGAGATCTTTGGGGCATGGTGGTGACGGGGGACAGGGGCAGGCCCTTACAGCCTGTCCCCATGCCCCTCCTCTCTCCTGCTCAGATCCGGGATCTCCCAGGACACTACTTTGAAACGCTCAAATTCCTTGTGGGCCATCTCAAGACCATCACTGACCACTCTGAGAAAAACAAGGTGGGTAGGAGTCCCGCATGGAGTCTGGGGGAGGCAAGCACGGACTTACTGTGTGGGGGCCCTCAGCATGCACTGAGCTCCTGCAGGTCCAATAACTCAGGCCCCTCTAGGCACGCCCTCCTATATGACTGCTCCGTCCGCATCCCGCTCCTACATGCTGGTCAGTGCTTTCCCCCAGAGAGCCATCTCCTGAGTTTCTGAGGGCTTTCCAGAGGCAGGGAACCCCGGCTCCCCGTATCCGATGCATTGCCATCCTCCAACTTAGCTCAAGTCCCTCGCATTGCATTTTCCTCATCAAACCCCTTATGCCTTCTGGTTCTGCAGTGGGGAAAATGAAGGGAGTGATAGGATTTTTTGTGTTTTTTGTTTGTTTGTTTTTTTGAGACGAAGTCTCACTCTGCCACTCAGTCTGCAGTGCCTTGGCACGATCTCAGCTCACTGCAACCTTCACCTCCCGGGTTCAAGCAATTCTCCTGCCTCAGCCTCCCGAGTAGCTGGGATTACAGGCACCTGGAAGTGATCGGGTTTTTTCCCAGGCCTAAAATAACCTCTGGGACCTCCAACATGTTTCCTACTGCAGGGTCTCCCACTGCTGGCACTGACCACTCAGGGCTGCCCTGTATAGGTGTGCAGGTTGGGCACTGCTCATGGCTGCTGGGCCTGGGGATGAAAGGGGCTGAAATCTGGCCTGTGCTCTACTCATCAAGCATCTCCATGCCCATACAAGGGGGTGTCCACCCTCTAAGCTGGGGACTGGTGAGGATGTAGTTGGGGACAGAGGCCTTAGGGGCCAGAGTGAGGGAGGACTGAGTTCAGGATGTTGACAGTGACCTGCTTTCCCTGCTGCCCAGATGGAACCCCGGAACCTGGCCCTGGTCTTTGGGCGGACACTGGTGAGGACGTCTGAGGACAACATGACAGACATGGTGACCCACATGCCTGACCGCTACAAGATCGTGGAGACACTGATCCAGCACGTAAGCCCCTGTTCCGGGGGTCACCCGGCAGCCCCTGGGGCCCAGGCCATGTTCCTCTGAGCCCCTCACTCTTGCTCAGCCTGGCGGGGTGTGCCCCAGGAAGGGCTCGGCAGCTTTAGAGCATGCTGCTAGGGTGGTATATACTCCTCCAAAGCCATGGGCTGCATTTCAAGGCAAGGCAGGAATGGATCCTGGAATCCTTGCTGCCCTGGGATGTTGTGTCCCCAGCAGGAGAGTCAAGAGGCCCCCGAGCGTCCAAGATGCCTGGGAAAGGCAGAAGAGGAGGAAGGGCAGGGAAGGTGCTACAGGTGGAGGGCGGAAGGGGCAGCTTCAGAAGGTGGCCCCTGGAGAGGTGTCCTGGCAGACACGAGCAGACGGGGGCCAAGGTCTGGCCTGACATCAGGAGGCCCCGGCTCTAGTGACTTTCCCTGCTGGCCCCACTGAGGTTTTGGGGAGGTAGTGGTGATGTCCATGGTAACAAGGGGTGGATTGGGCAAGGCACAGGGCCTTGGCCTGAGGCAGGATCCTGCACCAGTGCTTGGCATGTACTGGGCTGGCCACCTCCCTTCTCATGGCTTCCTGGATGCCAACAGCCCTGGTCCTGTAGGTTCTTGTTACTGTGCATGGGCGGAGGAGAACCCAGAGTGGCCAGCAGAGGGCTCAGGAGGCCTTGGTCTTCCAGAGCCGGACCCTAAGGCAGCACTGCCGCCTTCTGGGGCACACACAGATGTCATTATGAATCATAGATTTTCCATTTCCAATTCTTGTTACAGCCCACAGAGGATGAGAACAGAGCCCCTCCTGCCAGGGGAAATAAGACTGGCAGCTGGTCAGAGGAAGGGAAGCCTCAGTCCCAAGCCCCCTAGACACTTTAGGGAAGGAAAGCTGGGCCCTATCACCCCCATTTTACAGAGGAGGAAACAGGCTCAGAGAGGCAAAGCAACTTGCTCATGGTCACACAGCTAATAAGTGGCAGCCCAAGATTTCAAGCCAGATCTGACTGACCAAAGCCTGTGTTTTCCTCCTGCTATCAACCCAAAGGCCAGACTCCTAGGTCCCTCCTTGAGCTGGCTTGGGACGGAGGGAGGGGGCCAGGGTAAGGACGCAAGGTGGTGGGCAGCTGAGCCATGTTAACAGCCTTGCTTGCCCATCTCCTCCTTCACTGCATGCTCAGGGCTCTGAGCCACAGGAGGGAGCATCACAGCCTGCTGCATCCGGACACTGGGAACACCACTCCAGAGCTGTCTGGGAGGCCAGGGCTGCCCTACAGCGTCGGGGATCCTGGTGAGGCCTTGGGAAAGCTTAGCTCTCCAGGGCACCAGGGAGCCCCGGAACCTCCCAGGAGGGTGTGTTTTGGGGGCAGCAGCAGGGAAGAGTGGGTGTCTGGCCCTGTGCTCCTGGAGAAGCCCCTGGAAGCCCAAGGTCTGAGGTCAGCTGAGGTGTCAGGAACTGCAGCCTTCAGGGAGGAAGGAGGCCAAAGCCCCAAGGGGGAGTCCCTGCTCTGGGCAGGGTGGAGAAGGTGGAGTTTGTCTCATTTAGCACTGACACTAGCGCCTGGCACACAGTGGATACTCAGTGTTTGTGGAGTATAAATGAATGAGTAAATTGCTAATTGAGGTTATATCAGGCTGGGCTTTTCTTTCTCTTTCTTTCTCTCTCTTTCTTTTCGCTTTCTGTTTTTTTTTTTTTTTTTTTTTTTGTTTTTTTTTGATAGAGTCAGTCTGTCGCCCACACTGGAGTGCAGTGGGCAAATATGGCCCACTTCCAGGCTCAGGCGATCCTGCCATCTCAGCCTCCTGAGTAGCTGGGACTAGAGATGCCACCACCACACCAACTGGCTAATTTTTGTATTCTTTTGTAGAGATGAGGTCTTACTATGTTGCCAGGGCTAGTCTTGAACTCCTGGACTCAAGCGATCCTCCATCTCGGCCTTCCAAAGTGCTGGGATTACAGGTGTGAGCCATCACGCCCGGCCAGGCTGGGCTTTTCTACTCAGAGATTCATTCCCGAGAGCTAACTGAGCTAGTGTCCTTCCCTTCTCTGCCTCCTTGGCATTTGAACGTAACCAGCCCTGGATGATTGTCAAGGGAATGAGCCACCCACTCTGCAAGCCCTGAAAGCCTGCCCACCCAAGCGTGCCAGCTCTGTCTAGCCCAGAGGCTCCATAGCCAGGGCAGTGCTGCTGTCACTTGGGGCACCCAGACCAGTCTTCAGGTCGGAAAGAGGGTGGCAACTGAGGGGTAAAGAGGAACAGCGACTTGCCCAGGGCCACGCAGCAAGATAATGGCAGAGCAGAGAGGAGAGCAAACCTGGATGTCTGATCTTGCAGCGGGCAAGTTGCCAGGAGCCTCTACCTATGTTTACGAAGTCAAGTGGAACCCAAACAAAGATCACCCAGGGCATTTGCTCAGGGACTCACTCAGCAAAGGCAGTGACACCTAATGTTTCTCAGCTTCAGCACTAGTGACCACTGAGGTCCAGATAAGTCTTTATTGTGGGAGGCTGTTCTGTGTGTTATAGGACATTTAGCAGCATCGCTGGCTTCTACCTGCTGGATGCTGGGAATATCACTCTAGTTGTCAATCAAAAATGTCTCCAGACATTGCCAAGTGCCCCCTGGGGTGGGGGATTGACGGCAGTGGCTCTAGGGCCAGCCTGCTCCTATGTGCTGTGTGGCCTTGGACAAGTTCCTTACCTGCTGTGCCTCAGTCTCCACACCTGTAAAGTAGAGATGACAATACTGTTTACCTCACATTGTTGTGAATGTCTGCTAAAGCACTCACGGTGGTGCCTGGCAGGTCCTAAGTGTTGTGTGAGAACTGACTGTCATCCTCTTCCTCATGGTCATTATTCCATGCCAGAGACAGATCCCCATGCTGGGAACATGGAGGTGAATGGGAGCCTGCTCAGAAGGAATATTGCCAGCGGGTGTGGTGGTGCGTGTCTGTGGTCTCAACTACTTGGGGGGCTGAGGTGGGAGGCTGCAGTGAGCCGAGATTGTGACACTGCACTCCAGCCTGGGTGACAGAGTGAGACCCTGCCACACACACACAAAAAAATCCATAAAATGATGTTTCTCATTCATTTATTCATTTAATAATGTTTATCAGAGTAAGAGCTGCATCTCTTTTTGCTCTGGGCTATGTCCAAGGAAGCCCCACAGAAGGACCCACCCTGGCCCTGGGTGCAGGGCTGGGGTCGTAGTCATGGAGTTCTTGAACTGCCTTAGAGGACCATGATGAGAACTTAGCCAGGCAGAGCAGGGAGAAAGGGCATCCCAGGCGGAAAGAACAGCATGTGCAGAAACAGGGTGGCAGGAACTAGTGTGGATTCCTCTTGAGAGCCGTGGCCACCCAGGCACTTCCTGTAGACGCTGTGGCTTGCAGAGTACTTCTGGGCACCTTCCAACCTGAGTTAACAGCTGGCTTCTTTGGGCCGATCCTCAGGCTCCCCCTGGTCAGCCTGTCTCTGGAAGCCGCACTTTTGAATAACGGTAGCTGACATCTATTATACATTAAAAACGTGCTGCACTCAACGTTTTCCATACAGTATTTCATCTCAATCCTCCTCAGGCCTAGAAGGGGGTACTCACATCATGCCCATTTTAGAGATAAGTAAATAGACTTACAGAGGGAAAGTAACTTAGCTAAGGTGAACTCGAACCAAGATAACTGACTCCAGAGCTTCCATTTTTCTTTTTCTTTTCTTTTTTTTTTTTTGAGACAGAGTCTCACTCTGTCGCCCAGGCTGGAGTGCAATGGCGCGGTCTCCACTCACTGCAGCCTCCGGCTCCTGGGCTCAAGTGATCCACCTCAGCACCCCCAAGTAGCTGGGATTATGGGCGCATGCCACCATGCCGGGCTAATTTTTGTATTTTTAGTAGAGCTGGGGTTTCACCCTGTTGACCAGGCTGGTATTGAACTCCTGACCTCAGCTGATGCACCTGCCTCAGCCTCCCAAAGTGCTGGGACTACAGGTGTGAGCCACTGTACCCGGCCAGAGCTTGCATTTTTCTTATCTTCCTTTGCTCTCTTCTCTTCTGTCTCTTTCTTGTTTCCCTTCTGGCCTTCCTGTGCTGTTTGATTTAATCACATGTCAGATCATGAGCAATAATAACTGAGGCTCATGGCGCATGCTCGGCAAGTCCCCTTGTTTCCCCTCTTTATTCCCCTAGGTGCCCACTCTTAGTAGGCTAATATGTGTCCTTCCAGGACACCTTCCACTTATTGTAAATGCATGGCTATCCTTAAATGTATATAATATTCTTTGTGTGTTTTAAGTCTACATAATGAGATTATAAATTGCCTGTTCCTGTTCTTTCATAGGTGTTGAGGGGGGTAAAGGGTAATTGCCTTAATTTTTATTCATTTTTTTTGAAATGGAGTTTCACTCTTGTTGTCCAGGCTGGAGTACAGTGGTGCGACCTCAGCTCACTGCAACCTCTGCCTCCCGGGTTCAAGTGATTCCCCCACCTCACCCTCCCGAGTAGCTGGGATTACAGGTGTGCACAACCATGCCCAGCTAATTTTTATATTTTTAGTAGAGATGGGGTTTCACCATGTTGGCCAGGTTGGTCTCAAACTCCTGACCTCAGGTGATCCACCCACCTCAGCCTCCCAAAGTGCTGGGATTACAGGTGTGAGTCACTGCACCCGGCCTGTCACTGTCAATTTCTAATGCTTATCAGTTTCTGTGTCTTCCTTCCACCACATCTAAAAGCCAAAAGTGGTGGGTGCAGTGGCTCATGCTTGTAATCCCAAAATCTACAATTTTTTTTAATTAGCTGTGCAAGGTGGCACATGCCTGTAGTCCCAGCTATTCAGGAGGCTGAGGTGGGAGAATCTCTTGAGCCCAGGAGTTCAAGGGTACAGTGAGCTAGGATCATGCCACAGCATTCCAACCTGGATAACAGCGAGAGACCCTATCTCAAAAATAAATTAATAAATACAATAAAAGCCAAAAGTGCCTTAGTTATTTCTTGGAGCTTGCCGAAGTCCATCTCTTTACTTGCTCAAGTATTCAATTAAGAGAGTCTTTGTGTAAAAAATTTTCTGCTGTCTCAGGATAGCTTTATTTCAAGGCCAGGTGTGGTGGCTCCAGAAAGCAGGAGGTTCACTTAAGGGGTGATTAAAACAATCTGTGGTATGCCTGTAATCCCAGCACTTTGGGAGGTGGAGGTGGGTGGATCACTTGAGGTCAGGAGTTGAGACCAGTCTGGCCAACATGACGAAACCCCATCTCTACTAAAAATACAAAAATTATCCAGGCGTGATGGCATGCACCTGTAATCCCAGCTACTTGGGAGGCTGAAGCCAGAGAATCACTTGAACACAGGAGGCAGAGGTTGCAGTGAGCCAAGATTGCACCACTGCACTCCAGCCTGGGTGACAGAGTGAGATTCTGTTGGAAAAAAAAAAAAAAGTATAGCTTTATTTTACATTCTCATTTTTTTAAATGAGAGTTTAGCAGGGTATAAAATTCTAGGTTCCTTCAACACATCAAAACTTACTTTCTTGTCTTGTCTTCTTGTGTCTTGCTGCTGAAGGTTCCAAGTACCTGTGATACGTGTTCATTTATAAGCAATCTGGATTTTTTTTTTCAGAAAACTTAGAATTTTATCTTCAAGATTCTCAAATTTTACAAAATATATTAAACTGTGGGGGGTCTTTATTTTGTCTCTTGTTTGGCCTTTATGAGAAAGCTCTCGCCTCCTGCCCCTCAGGAAACCTCCAACACCTTTCTCCTGTCATTTTCCTTTTCTTGGCTGAGTATGTGACATCCCTGTTGTCAGTGTGGCACCCATGGGTGGCAGGTGGCCTGGGGCATGCTCGGCTGTCACAGCCATGGACCTGGCCAACACTAACGGCACTGGTGCCTCCCTGCCCCTGGCTCGCTGTGGGGAGTATACCATAGGGGTGTGCCCAGGACAGTGTTTAGAGAAAAGCAAGTAAAAGCGAAGCTCTCCCTAAGCCTATCTCCTGTCTGAGGTGGCCGCTCCCACTCACTGCCGTGTCTCCTCCCACACTGGGGTCCCACCTTTTCTCTCCCCCAGGGTTTTTCATAGTCTGTGGAGTCAGGTTTTAGCGTCCGTCAAGCTCCCTCTGAGCCCTCTTTTGCAGCCCCGCCAGCCAGGGGTTTGTTGAGAGAGAGGCGCCCCTTGCCGCCTGAGTGGGTCCTCTGGAATGAGCAGGTGGAAGAGACTCTTCTTTCCCATGCTGATTTCATCCCTTCCTTTTGTCTTCTCTGCAGTCAGACTGGTTCTTCAGTGATGAAGAGGACAAGGGAGAGAGAGAGTAAGTGATGCCGCGGAGTGGGCTGGCATGGGGGCTGGTCTGGGGTGAGCCCCAGTCCTTGGGGGTGGGGCAGGCAGCGAGACTTAAGCTGGGGAAGGTGTCTGTCCTTGAGGCTTCCCTCAAGTCTGATGGAGGAAACACAGACCCTCTCCTCAGGAGCCCCTAGTCTGATAGAGAAGCACAAAGCTTGCCTTCAGGAATCCCCAGTCTAAATGGGGGAGATACAGGCCTTGCTCAGAGGGAACCCAATTCAGGAGTAAAGGCAGCTGCTGCCCTCCAGGCTACTGAGAAGGACTTAGGTTGGACGAGTTCCAGTCTAGTGCGGGAGACACAGCTCCTGCCCCTAGCTGAAGGGGCCGCTCTGGCCTTCGTGGTTCTGAGATGTTGAGGAAGGCACAAAGCTGTCTAACAGGGGACATGTAGGAATCATCCTCAAGAGCACCCGGCTGATGAGGGAGACGGTCCCTGCCCCAGTGAGCCCGGTCTGATGGAGGAGACACGGGCTCTGTCATCAGGGCACCCCCCTCTGGGGGGTCGGCAGCCCAGCATCCAAGGGCATGCCAGCTGACCCCTCCTCCTGTTCGCAGACCCCTGTGGGCAACAAGGAGCCTCAGGCAGTGCCCAACATTGAGTACCTCCTGCCCAACATTGGCAGGACAGTGCCCCTTGGTGACCCGGGGTCAGGTGAGCACAGGGGCCTGGGAGTGGGGAGGCAGGAGGGTGGACACTGCATTCCTGAGGGTCCCAGATGCCTGGCCAGATGCCCAGCTTCCCTGTGCCACCCCAGCGGGGCCCTCCCCTGCCAGCCACCATGGAGATGGGGCTGTTGGGGGCCTTCTCCCTCCCTGGGGAAGTCCAGCTTGCCCCGTGCCCACCTCCTGTCCATGCAGCTGCCCCGCCCCAGGCAGGGTCGGAGCTTTGTTCCCCCTCTTTCACTGGTTTCTTTCCTCAGCCTTTAATTTCTCATGGGCTGGCTGTGTCCCTCTGGGCATGTTCCTCTTTTTAATTTTTCTTCCTTTTCTCCTTGCACCCCCACCTCTCCCTCCTCTTCTCCCCGTGCTCTCCTCCCACCCCTTTCTCTTCTCCTCCTCCTCCCCTCCTCCAGCGGACCTGTTGGAGATTTAAAGGGTACAGTGCAGTGTCGTGGCCTCGGTCACTAACAGTGGCGGGTGATTATAAGAAGGCTGGGTGGGCACAGAGGCAGGCAGAATGTCCCGGACTGTGAGGACCCCACACTGACATGCCAGTTACCCCTGCTTGTTATCCACTTACCCCAGCAGTCCATGCCCCTCCCATCCTAGAGCCCCTTCTCAGGAGGAAGGAGGCACTCACTGGGCCCAGGGCCCTCCCCGTTGCCTGGACACCTGGGCATCGAATTGCTGCCCTTCTGCAGTGCCACAGACCTTGTGGCCTCTCTTTGCCGAGTCTCACCACTGCTAGTCATCCGGGCTGGGGACCGACACTCTCTGGAGACCAGCGATGCCACGCCCAGAAGCTTCTTTTTATCTCTGACTCCTGCCTCAGTCACCCCAATGGGCCGCCTCCTCCTGCTTAAGAAACCGGGGCCCTAAGTCCTGTTTGCAGGGCCTGTGGCCCTCTCATGGCAGAGGACAGATGATTTACATGCTCAGAGACAGATGAGGGCCACTCCCTTTGTGGCTGCAGCCACTGACTCCTCCCCCCGCCATTGTTGTCCCTCCCTTTAGTTTTAGCATTTCTGTTTGTCTCTGACAGAGGCACACAGGAGCTCCCTAGTCACCAGAGGCAGGCTCAGGAGGGGCCAGAAGACATGGGGGTGGGGCGGCAGAGAGGGACCCCATGTCTCTTCTAATCACCTGCCGCCCCCCGCGCCCTGTGTGTCATGTGTGGTTGCCCATCTTGCTTTTCTCACCTTGTGCAGGGGGAGGGGTCCGGAGAGGGGGGCATCTAACTTGCCTACCAGAGAGTGTGGATTAACCACACCTGCCCACTACCCTGTGGGACCCCAGGAAGCCCTTGGACCAACCTGCTCCCTCTCTAGCCTTGGAGAGGACCCACCAGGACGTGTTTCTGGTTCCTTCTCCACCCCAGTGATATTAAGGGAGTGGGACCCAAGTCCCATAGAAATCATGCTTTTAGTCTCCTTCATAACTGGGTGATAACTGGGGACCCTGCCCATGAGGCAGGGTGACCCCAGGTCTGGAGGTGGAACCTATCAAGGCTCTAATCACCAGCCCACTCCACCTCCTGAGTCCCACCCATTTTATTTCTGCCCTTTTATCCATTATTCATGTGGTCCCTCTTCTTTGTTGTGTGCTCGGGGGTGGATGTAGGGCACCCACCTCTCTGTGCACTGTGTGGTCTCCATTTCTCCAGAGCATCTGTGATTTGCTGTGTTTCACTGTGGTGGTTTCCATGGACTGCACCTGATATTTGGCATTTTCTCTCCAGTGCTTCAGAGTAACAGGGACGGGCGGGGAAGGGGAGAGGAACTAGGCTCAAAGACAATGCCCCCTTGCCCTTAGCCATCGGTAAATGAGGGGCCAGTGGATGGCAGCCTGATGTCACTTCCTGCCTCTAGAGGAAGTGGCAATTAACATCATTTTCGCTCCATCCCTTTCCCATAGATGGACATCAGAGGTCCATCATACTCCTAGGGCCTGGGGAGATCTCATGTTTCAGAATTCCCTGGTTTCTGAAGCCTTTGAGGAGAGGAATTGTGTGCATAAGACTCAACTTTCTTTTTCCCTGATGCAACTTTCATTTTTTTTTCTGTCTTTCACCAACAGATTCTACCACCTGTAGTTCAGTCAAGTCCAAGGTACGTATGAAGGCAATTCTGAAGGCTTGATCCCTGTACAAGCCAGCCCACTGTGGTTTTTGTTCAAGGGAATTGAGGGAATGGCAATTGGACCGTGGGGAAAGTTGATGGTCCCTGGGAGGGAAGGCAGGAGGTACCGAGTGCCCAAGGTAAGCTGAGAAGTTGCTTACCTTGGCAGTGTTTGGTGAGGCATCTGCTGTAGTAGGAGGACCTGGCCTGGGAGTTATGTGGCTAGGAGGCAATGTCACTCAGTAGTTAGAAGCACAGACTCTGGAGTCAGACAGTCCTGGGTTTGAGTTCTGGCTCCACCATTTAGTAGTTTGGGACATTGGGCAAGTTACTTAACCACTTTCTGATCCTTAGCTTCCTCATCTATAAAATGGGAATATCAGTAAATCTGTGGGGTGCTATAATAAATAAAACAGATATCCTTTAAGGTCTTTGGAGAGCCTAAAGCAAGCAGAAGGAAAGAGAGGAGCAGAAATCCATGAAATTGAAAACAGTTGAAGAAAAGCAATGAAACCAAAAGCTGGTTCTTTGAAAAAAAATCAATGAAATTGATAAACCTCTAGCCAGACTAACAGAATAAAAAGAAAGATGGCACAGATTATCAGTATCAGGGATGAAAGAGGGACATCACTACAGACCCCTAAGTTATTTTTTATTTTTTATTTATTTATTTTTTTGAGACGGAGTCTTGCTCCGTCACCCAGGCTGGAGTGCAGTGGCACCATCTCGGCTCACTGCAAGCTCCGCCTCCTGGGTTCACACCATTCTCCTGCCTCAGCCTCCCGAGTAGCTAGGACTACAGGTGCCCACCATCACGTCCAGCTAATTTTTTGTATTTTTAGTGGAGATGGGGTTTCTCCAGGTTAGCCAGGATGGTCTTGATCTCCTGACCTTGTGATCTGCCCCCCTTGGCCTCCCAAAGTGCTGGGATTACAGGCGTGAGTCACCACGCCTGGCTATAGACCCCTAAGTTATTGAATTTATGGGCATAAAGTTGCCCATAAATTCAATAACTTAGATGAAATAGACCAATTCTTTGAAAGATTCAGACTGCCAAAACTCACTTAAGAAAAAATAGATAACCTGAATAGTCCTATACCTCCTAAAGAAATTGAATATGTAATTTAAAACCCCCCAACAATGAAAACTTCAGGACCAGATGGTTTCACTGTTAAATTCTACCAAATATTTAAGGAATTTTTTAAATTTTTAAACAATTTACTTTAATAATTTTAAAATATTCTAAATAGAAAATAGTATAATTTTAAATATTGATATATTTAAATAGTTTTTTAAATATTTGAATTATTTAAATGTTATTTAAATAGTTATTTAAGAAATAATACCAATTCTCCACTATCTCTTTTGGAAGATAAAAGAGGATGGCTGGGCACCATGGCTCACACCTGTAATCCTAGCACTTTGGGAGGCTGAGGTCGGATCTTGAGATCAGGAGTTAAAGACCAGCCTGGCCAATGTGGTGAAACCCCATCTCTACTAAAAATACAAAAAAATTAGCTGGGTGTGGTGGCATGTACCTGTAATCCCAGCTACTCAGGAGGCTGAGGCAGGATAATTGCTTGAACCTGGGAAGAGGAGGTTGCAGTGAGCCGAGGTCGTGCCACTGCACTCCAGTCTGGGCAACAGAGCGAGACTCCGTCTCAAAAAAAAAGAAAGGAAAATAGAAGAGGAAGAAACACTTTCCAACTCATTTATGAGGCCAGCATTACCCTGATACCAAAACCTAACAATGCTTTTGAAAAAGATAGGGCTAATTCATATGATAATACCACAAATACTTGTTGAATGTCTACTTTATATCAGTACTGTTCTGGGTACTGAAAATATAAATAATGAGCCAAACAGATAGGTTCCTGCCCTCACAAAGCTTATCTTCTACTGAGAGACAGACACTAAGCTAATGAAGAAATAGACTATCTGTCTAGCAGGTTTGGAGGCACAGTGGAGGCAGAAACCAGATGGAATGAGCTAATAAAGTGAGGGAGGGAAGAGCGCATACATAGAGCACTCTTGTGAGAAGTCCGATTGTGAAGAGATATTTACAGAACAAAAATGGGAAAATATGTGGCTTGAGGGAAACTTTCATTAAAAGATGAAAGCAGCCAGGCATGTTGGCTCATGCCTGTAATCCCAACACATTTGGAGGCCGAGGCAGGAGGATCCCTTGAGCCCAGGAGTCCGAGACCAGCTTGGACAACATAGTGAGACCTCAACTCTACAAAAATGCAAAAATAACCAGGCATGGTGGGGCATGCCTGTAGTCCCAGCTACTTGGGAGGCTGAGGCAGGAAGATCATTTGAGCCTGGGAGGTTGAGGCTGCAGTGATGAGCCATGATCATGCCACTGCAGTCCAGCCTGGGCAACAGAGCAAGACCCTATCTCAAAAACAAACAAACAAACAAAAAAAGACGAAAGCACATATTTACTTGCCAATGGGAATGATCCAGGTGAGAGACAGAGAGAGAGGAAGAGCTGGGCCCAGAGCCCATGAAGCAGCAGTAGCCTGTGCTCCTAGCAGATGCATCCCCAGGTGTAGTAGGAAGAGAGGGAGGTGGCAGGGGCACACTAGCAGGCAGTGTTGGCAGCAGGTCATTGGGGTTGCTCCCAGCTGATGGCTGTTTCCTCAGCGAAGTGGAAGGTGAGGACCTCTGCTGGGCATGAAGGTGGCAGGGAAAGTCTGAGCAGAGTGAAGGAAGTCTGAAATAGGTCCCATAAAGCAAGGCAGATTTCCTGAAGGGGCCGAGGAGCACCATGGGCAGGCTGAGGCCTCTGAAGGCTGCGGCCCCTTCTCGAGAGCCAGCACCTTGCCCAGCAGCCGTGCCTTGCCCCTTTGGGCCTGGCTTCTCCACACTCCCCGGAGAGCCCCTTCTGAGTCCCTTCTGGCCAGAAGATGTCCTCATTTGCTTCCTGTGACCCCACCGTGTCTCCAGTGGACTCAAAACTGACCTCCCCAGAGCTCACAGGCCACTGCCTCCCTGAAGCCTCCTGGCTTGAAATTCCTTCCTCCTGAGACCCTAGCAGTTACCGCTTCCCAGTCTGGGCCTGCCTGACTCCTGCAGGAGGCCTTCTCAATTATAGGGCCTTGAACAATAGAACGTGCTTTTCAGAGAGTACGTCTTTACTGTAAACTGACTCAGAGACTTCACTGTGACCCAGTGAGTTCATCACAATCACTAGCATGAGATGAAAGAGGAGGGAATGCACATTTACTGAGCACCTACTAGGTGCCAGCCAGTATGTAGATAACTTTTCACAAACATCGGTTTCATTTCATTTTTACGGAAGACCTTGAATTTTGTACCATCCCCATTTTACAGATGGGGGAACCAAGGCTCAGAGAACTTAAGTAACTAGAAGGTTGGGCATATTCTTGGGCCTCAGGCAGGGGAGCTGGTTAGGTGGCCTCCTTCCTTGGTGGTGCTCTGGTATCTGAGTTCTGATCCTCTGTTCTCAGGCTCTGAGTGTTTCTTGATTTTTTGGCACACGGACTGGCTCTGTCCTGAGTCTGAGCTGAAACCAGCTGGCCAAGCCTTTAAGAAACGGAGGCATGGATGAGGCTGCCGGTCTATTAAGTACAGCGATAGGAATAACTGTTGCAGGGACAGGGACGTTGAGTTGTGTTTGCCGCAGTGGTCTCAGTCTCATCTACTGGGGAGACCAGGAATCAGAGTCAGGGAAGCAGGAGGCACCAGGTGTCTGAGAGCCTGTGGCCTCCTGTCCCGGCTGTAGGGAAGGGGCTGCCTTGGGCACCAGGGCCTGGCCTCCCACCAGGCTGTGAGCGCTGAGGGTGGGCACAAATCCTGCAAGTGCCGGACACTCACGACTGCCAGCCTCTGTCTCTCTTGCCCGACTCTAAAACCCAGGTCCGTGATGGTCAAACTGTGTTCCCTGGAGCCACCATGGGGTTGTGACCACCAACAGGTATATGAGAGGACCAAGCGTGCAGGCATCCAAGCTCCCACGGCCTCCATCTGAGCCACTCTTGGTTCTGTCTCACATTGCTGGGTTTCTAGGGAGGATTCAATTTGGACAGGGTGCTCCCAAGCTCATCAGAAACCATTGTTCTAGATGTGACAGCCCTGTCTCTAGACTTTCTCCAGGCTGTGTCCAGGACACCCAGGCGGCGTCGGTGCCCCAAGTTACAGCCACATTCTGATCCCGCCTCCCTGTGTGGATGGTTTAGGCTGTCCCGGGTAGGAGTGTGGGCAGGCACACACGGCGGTCTCTCAGCTCCACGGCAGGTGGAGTGGAGCTGTTCTTTACTCAGAAGGCTCCCTTATCATCTTTTTTTTTTTTTTTTTTTTTTTTTTTTTTTTGAGACTGGTCTCGCTCTGTCACCCAGGCTGGAGTGCAGTGGCCTGAACACAGCTCACTGCAGCCTCTAACTGCTGTGCTCAAGTGATCCTCCTGCTTCAGCCTCCTGAGTTAGCTGGACTACAGGCACACACCACCACTCCTGCCTAATGTTTTTGTATTTTTTTGTAGAAATGGGGTCTTGCTTCTTTGTGCAGGATGTTCTTGAATTCCTGGCTTCAATGGATCCTGCTGCCTCGGCCTCCCAAAGTGCTGAGATTACAGGCATGAGCCACGGCACCCCACTCTCCTTATCATCTTAATTCTAAGTTCTTGAGGAAGGAGACCACTTTTGTCTTCTCTGGTGGTCCCTCGCCTAATGCTTAGCTTTCTTTACGGCCTGCAATAATCCCCGAGCACCCCCACTGGTACAGGGAGAAGTCTAGCTCCTGACCAGGCTCTGATTTCCCCGGCCCTGCCCTATTCAAGTTCCTCAAATTCCTTGACCCCAACCCTTGCCCCATAAGAAACCTCCCCATGACCCTGACCCTGACAGAGAACTGGCCGTGAAAATTTTTGCATTGACAACAGATATTGGAATGCAGGGATTCCCTATCTACTTCAGGCCCCTTCAAGAATCAGAGAAGGCCAAGCATGGTGGCTCATGCCTGTAATCCCAGCACTTTGGGAGGCCAGGGTGGGGAGATCACTTGAGGCCAGGAATTTGAGACCAGCCTGGCCAATATGGTGAAACCCCGTCTCTACTAAATATACAAAATTAGCTGGGGGTGGTGGTGCATGCCTGTAATCCCAGCTACTCGGGTGGCTGAGGCAGGAGAATTGCTTGAACTGGGGAGGCGGAGGTTGCAGTGAGCCAAGATGGCACCACTGCACTCCAGCCTGGGCAACAGAGTGAAACTGTGTCTCCAAAAAAAAAAGAAAGAAAGAGAGAGAGAGAGAGAGTGGGAGAGAGGGAGGGAGGGAGGAAGGAAGGAAGGAAGGGAGGGAGGAAGGAAGGAAGGAAGGAAGGAAGGAAGAAGGAAGGAAAGAAAGAAGGCAGAATCAAGGAATAGAGGAACAAAAAAGGCAAGACATATGAAAACAGTTAGCAAAATGGCAGACATAAATCCTAGCTTATTAGTGATACATTGAATGTAAATGAATTTAACACCCCAATCAAAAGGCAGAAATTGGCAGAATGGATTATTATTTTTTTCTTTTTATAAGACTGGGTCTTGCTCAATTGCCCAGGCTGGAATGCAGTGGTGTGATCCTAGATCACTGCAGCCTTGACATCCTGGGCTCAAGCAATCCTCCCATCTCAGCCTCCCAAATAGCTGGGACTACGGGACCACGCCACCACGCTTGGCTAATTTTAAAAACAAAATTTTTGTAGAGACGAGGTCCTGCTATCTTAACCAGGTTGGTCTCAACCTCCTGGGCTCAAGTGATGCTCCCACCTGGGCCTCCCAAAGGGCTGGGATTACAGGTGTGAGCCACCGGGCCCAGCCCAGAATGGATAAAATAAAATAAAATGATCTGTGAGAGATTTACTTTAGAGTCAAAGACACAAGAGTTGAAAGTAGAAGGATGCAAAAAGAAACCATGTGAGGAGTTATTAAAAGAGAGCTAGGGTGGCTACACAAGCGTGAGACAAATTAGACTTTAAGACAAAAATTCTTACTGAAGCCTGGGCGAGGTGGCTCATGCCTGTAATCCCAGCACTTTGGGAGGCTAAGATGTGTGGATCACCTGACGTCAGGAGTTCAAGACTAGCCTGACCAACATGGTGAAACCCCATCTGTACTAAAACTACAAAAATTAGCTGGGCGTGGTGGCATGCACTATAGTCCCAGCTACTCGGGAGGCTGAGACAGGAGCTCCTAATTGCTTGAACCTGGGAGGCGGAGGTTGCAGTGAGCCGAGATAGCACCACTGCACTCCAGCCTAGGCGACAGAACAAGACTCTGTCTCCAAAAAAAAAAAAATTGTTACTAAAGATACAATATCTTTTATAATGATAAAAGAGGCAGTTTATGAGGAAGACAAAATGATTGTAAACATATATACTCCTAACAACAGAGCCCAAAATACATGAAGCAAAAACTAATAAAACTGAAGGGAACTGAACTGAATTAGACCATTCAATATAGTAGTTGGAGACTTCAATACCCCACTTTCTTTTCCTTTTTTTTTTTTTTTTTGAGGCAGAGTTTCACTCTGTTGCCCAGTCTGGAGTGCAGTGGCACGATCTCTGCTCACTGCAAGCTCCACCTCCCGGGTTCACGCCATTCTGCTGCCTCAGCCTCCCGAGTAGCTGGGACTACAGGTGCCCGCCACCATGCCCGGTTAATTTTTTGTATTTTTAGTAGAGACGAGGTTTCACCGTGTTAGCCAGGATGGTCTCGATCTCCTGACCTCGTGATCCACCCACCTCGTCCTCCCAAACTGCTGGGATTACAAGCATGAGCCACTGCTCCCGGCCCCCACTTTCAATAACGGATAAAACAACGAGGCAGAAGATCAACCAGGAAGTAGAAGCCTTGAACAACACTGTAAGCCAAGACCTGAAAGACATCGAAACACTCCACACAGCAGCAGAACACACATTGTTCTCAGCTACGCATGACACACTCTTCAGGATAGACTTATACTAGGCCTTAAAACAAGCCTCAATAAATGGAAAAGGATTGAAATTATATAAAGTCTGTTCCCCAGCTGCAATGGAATTAAATTAGAAAATGACAACCGAGGAAATTAACAAATATGTAGAATTTTTTTTTTTTTTTCGAGGCGGGTCTTGCTCTGTCCTCCAGGCTGGAGTGCAGTGGCGCTATCTCGGCTCACTGCAGCCTCCGCCTCCTGGGTTCAAGTGATTCTCCTGCCTCAGCCTCTCAAGTAGTTGGGACCACAGGAGTGTATCACCACACCCGGCTAATTTGTGTATTTTTAATAGAGACGGGGTTTCACCATGTTGGCCAGGCTGGTCTCGAACTCCTGACCTCCAGTGATCTGCCTGCCTTGGCCTCCTAAAGTGCTGGGATTACAGGCGTGAGGCACCATGCCCGGCTAGAAATATGTAGAAATTTAAAAACACTCCTAAATAATCAATGAGTGAAAGATGAAATCACAGGGAAATTAGAAAATATCTTGAGATGAATGGAAACTAACACACAACATAACATAACTTACTGAATGCAGCTAAAGCAGTGCTTAGAGAGACATTTGTAACTATGTCAATATTAGAAAAGAAGAAAGATTTCTAATTAATAACCTAAACTTCTGCCTTAAGAAACTAGAAAAAGAAGAGCAAACTCAACCAAAAGAAAGCCAAAGGAAGGAAATAATAAAGGTAGGAGTAAAAATAAATGAAATAGAAAATAGAAAAAATAGAGAAAGTCAGTAAAACCAAAAGTTTTTTCTTGGAAAAGAGCAACAAAATGACAACTGTTTAGCTAGACTGACCAAGCAAAAAAAAAAAAAAAAAAAAAAAAGAGAAGACTCAGATTAATACCTCAGGCATGAAAAGGGAGCTATCAATACTTATAAAAAGTAAAGGGGGGCTGGGTGCAGTGGTTCTCGCCTGTAATTCCAGCACTGTGGGAGGCCGAGGCGGGTGGATCATTTGAGGTCAAGAGTTCAAGACCAGCCTGGCCAACATGTGAAACCCTGTCTCTACTAAAAATACAAAAATTAGCCAGGCGTGGTGGCGGGCGCCTGTAATCCCACCTACTCAGGAGGCTGAGGCAAGAGAATCACTTGAACTTGGGAGGCAGAGGTTGCAGTGAGCTGGGATCGTGTAACTGCACTCCGCCTAGAAGACAGAACAAGAGTCCATCTCCACACACACACACACACACACACACACACACACACAAAAGTAAAGGAATAATAAGGGAACACTGTGAACAACTGCATGCCAGCAAGTTAGATAAATAGAAGAAATGAAAAAATTCCTAGAAAGACATAAATTACCAAAACTGACATAAGAAGGAGAACCCATAAATAATCTGAACAGACTTACAACATGGAAAAAGATTTAATTAGTCATTTAAAAATTTTCAACAAAGAAAATTCCAGACCCAGATGGCTTCACTGGTGATTTCTATCGAATATTTAAAGAAAAATTAGTACAAATCCCTCACAAACTCTTTCAAAAAAAGAAGAGGAAGGGACCGTGAGGCCAGTATTACCCTGATACCAAAGCTAGAAAAAGATATCACAAGAAAACTTCAGACTAATATCCCTTGTGACTATAGAAACAAAAGTCCTCCACAAGCTACAAGCAAACCGGTTGGGTATGATGACTCACACCTGTAATCCCAGCACTTTGGGAGGCTGAGGCAGGCGGATCACTTGTGGCCAGGAGTTGGAGACCAGCCTGGCCAACATAGCAAAACCCTATCTCTACTATTAATAAAAATACAAAAATTAGCTGGGTGTGGTGGCACACACCTGTAATCCCAGCTACTCTGGTGGCTAAGGCACAAGAATTGCCTGAACCCAGGAGGCGGAGGTTGCAGTGAGCTGAGATCACGCCACTGCGCTCCAGCATGGAAGAGAGAGCGAGACTCTGTCTCAAAACAACAACAACAAAAAGACACCAGCAAAACAAATCAAGAAACGTATACAAAGGATTATACACCATAACCAAGTGGGATTTATCCCAGGAATACAAGGTTGGTTTAATATTTGAAAATCAATCAATGAAACACACAAAATTGAGAGAATAAAGAATAAAAATTACATGATCATCTCAATAGATGCTGAAAAAGCAAGACAAAATTCAACACTCTTTTATGATTATAAAATTCAATAAACTAGGAATAGAAGGAAACTTCCTCAACCTGATAAACATACCTATGAAAAATCTGTAGCTAGGCCAGGCAGGGTGGCTCATGCCTATAATCCTGGCACTTTGGGAGGTTGAAGTGGGTGGCTTGCTTGAGCCCAGGAGTTTAAGACCAGCCTGGGCAACATGGTGAAAGCCCATCTCTACAAAAAATACAAAAACTAGCCAGGCATGGTGGTTCACACCTGTAGTCCCAGCTACTTGGGAGGCTGAAGTAGGAGGATTGCTTGAGCACAGGAGATCGAGGCTGCAGTGAGCCATGATTGAGCTACTGCACTCCAGCCAGGGTGACAGAGGGAGACACTGTCTAAAAAAAAAAAAAAAACTACAGCTAATATTGTATTTCATGCTATTAAATTAATAGACTGAGAGCTTTCCCTCTAAGATCAGGAAACAGAAAAGATGTCCACTCTTACCACTTCTAGTCAACATTCTACTGGGAGTTTTAGCCCAGGCAATTAGGCAAGAAAAAGAAATAAAAGCCATCCACAAATAGAGATGTAAAACTGTCTCTATTTGCAGATGACATGAGATTGTATGTAGAAAATTCTAAGGAATCCACTAAATAGGAAACTCCAAGGGGCCTCAAATAGTGAAAACAAAATTTAAAACAAAGTAGCAGTACTTACATTTCCCAATATCAAAACTTACTACAAAGCTGCAGTAATCTAAACAGTGTGGTAGTGGCATAAGGCTAGATAAATAGACCTATGGAAAAGAATTAAGAATCCAGAAATAAACCCAAACATTTATCGTCAACTGATACATATATTTTTTACATCCATGATACACACTGGATGTCAATTTGATATTTGACAATGTTACCAAGACCATTCGATGGGGAAAATGATAATCTTTTCTAAAAAAATGGTGCTGGAGGCCGGGTGCAGTGGCTCACGCCTGTAATCCCAACACGCTGGGAGGCCGAGGTGGGCGGATCACGAGGTCAGGAGATCGAGACCATCCTGGCTAACGTGGTGAAACCCCGTCTCTACTAAAAATATAAAAACTTAGCTGGGCGTGGTGGCAGGTGCCTGTAGTCCCAGATACTGGGGAGGCTGAGGCAGGAGAATGGTGTGAACCCGGGAGATGGAGGTTAGTGAGCCGAGATTGCACCACTGCCCTCCAGCCTGGGCGATAGAGCAAGACTCCATCTCAAAAAAAAAAAAAAAAAAATGGTGCTGGGACAACTGGATAAACACATGCACAGGAATGAAATTGGACCACTATCTCACTCTGTCTACAAAAATTAACTCAAAATAGATCATAGACTCTAAAATAAAATCTAAAACTCCTAGAAAAAAAAATAAGGTAAATCTTCATGGCCTTGAATATGACAATGGATTCTTAGATTTGGCACCAAAAGCTTGAACAATGGAAGAAAAAACAGAAAAATTTAAAACTTCTGTACGTCATGAGACATCATCAAGAATGTGAGAAGAGGCCAGGCCGGTGGCTCATGCCTGTAATCCCAGCACTTTGGGAGGCTGAGTTAGGCGGATCCCTTGAGCCCGGGGGGTTCGAGACCAGCCTGGCCAACGTGGTGAAACCCCATCTCTACTAAAAATACAAAAATTAGCCTGGTGTGGTGGCAGGTCCTGTAATCCCAGCACTTTTGGACACCGAGTTCAAGACCACCCTGGGCAATATAGCAGGACCCCCTCTCTACCAAAAAAATTTTTTTCTCTTTTTTTTTCTTTTTTGAGATGGAGTCTCACCCTGTTGCCTAGGCTGGAGTGCAGTGGCATGATCTCAGTTCCTTGCAACCTTCACCTCTTGGGCTAGAGTGATTCTCCTGCCCCAGCCTCCTGAGTAGCTGGGATTACAGGCTCCCACCACCACGCCTTGCTAATTTTTGTATTTTTAGTAGAGACGGGGTTTCACCATGTTGGCCAGGCTGGTCTCAAACTCCTGACCTCAAGTGGTCTGCACACCTCAGCCTCCCAAAGTGCTAGGATTATAGGCATGAGCCACCATGCGCAGGCAAAAAAAAAATTTTAATTAGTGAGGTATGGTGGTGTATGCCTGTAGTCCCAGCTACTTGGGAGGCTGAGGTGTGAGGATCTTCTAGCTGCGACACCAAAAGCACAAGCTATAAAAGATTGGACTTCATAAAAATTAAAAACTGTGTGTGTCAAAGGATACTATTAGGAAAGTGAAAAGACAACCAATCATTGGATGGAAGAAAAAAAGTGTGTGTGTGTGTGTGTGTGTGTGTGTGTGTGTGTGGTTTTTTTTTTTTTTTTCCTGAGACAGGGACTCACTCTGTGGCTCCAGTTGGAATGCAGTGATATGATCATGGCTCACTGTAACCTCGACCTCCTGGGCTCAAGTGATCCTCCTGAGCTGGGATTATAGGCATGCACCACCACACCTGGCGGGGGAAAACATTTTCAAATCATATATTTGACAAGGGACTCATATCTAGAATATATAAAGAACAATAAAATTTCAACAATAAAAAGACAACCCAATTTAAATAAAAATAAGCAAAGGATCTGAAGACATTTATCCAAGGAAGATATGCCAATAGCTATTATATACATGAAAATATTTTTTTTTTTTTTTTTTGAGATGGAGTCTCGCTCTGTCACCCAGGCTGGAGTGCAGTGGCATGATCTCGGTTCACTGCAAGCTCTGCCTCCCGGGTTAATGCCATTCTCCTGCCTCAGCCTCCCGAGTAGCTGGGACTACAGGTGCCCGCCAACATGCCCGGCTAATTTTTTTGTATTTTTTGTAGAGATGGGGTTTCACCATTAGCCAGGATGGTCTTGATCTCCTGACCTCATGATCCGCCCGCCTCAGGCTCCCAAAGTGCTAGGATTACAGACCTAAGCCACCGCTCCTGGCCAAGATGTTCAACATCAGTAGTCGTCAGGGGAATACAAATCAAAACCATGAGCTACGTCTTCATACATATTAGGGTGGCTGCAGTAAAAAGACAGACAATAACAAGTGTTGACAAGAATGTGGAGAAATTAGAATGCTTATTACATGGCTGGTGGGGCAGCCACTTTGGAAAACAGTTTGGCAGTTCCTCAAAATGTTAAACCTAGAGTTATTGTAAAACCCAGCAATTCTATTCCTTAGGATATACTCAAGAGAGCTGAAACATATGTCAACACACAAAAAAAACTTGTACACAAATGTTCATGTACTGACAACCTAAATATCCATCAACTGATGAATGGATAAATAAAATATGATATATCCATACAAGAAAAAATTATTCAGTCTGGGCGCAGTGACTCATGCCTGTAATCCCAGCACTTTGGAAGGCCAAAGTGGGTGGATCACTTGAGGTCAAAAGTTCAAGACCAGCCTGACCAACATGGTGAAACCCCTTCTCCACTAAAAATACAAAACTTAGCCGGGCATGCTGGCACACACTTGTAGTCCCAGCTACTCAGGAGGGTGAGATAGGAGACTCGCTTGAGCCTGGGAGGCAGAGGTTGCAGTGAGCCGAGATCACGCCATTGCACTCCAGCCTAGGCAACAGAGAGAGACTCTTGTCTCAAAAAAATAAATAAAGAAAGAAAGAAAGAAAGAAAAAAGAATGAAATACTGAGGTAGGAGGTGGGACTTGACTCCAGAGTCAGCTCTTGGACACTGGACCAAATTGAGAACTAGCTAAAACAAAGATGGAGTGGAAGCAGTTCTCCATAAGACATGCCTACCAGTGCAGCATTTCAGTTTACCATTGCCACGGCAATAGCCAGAAATTACCACCCCTTTCCATGGCAACGACCCAATGACCCAAAAGTTACCAAAATTTTCCTACAAATTTCTGCATAATCTACCCCTTAATTTGCATACAATTAAAAGTGGGTGTAACTATGAGTGCAGACCCACCTCTGAGCTGCTACTCTGAGCACACGGCCTGCGGGGTAGCCCCGCTCCACAAGGAACAGCACCTCTGCTGCTGTGCACTGTCGCTTCAATAAAAGCTGCTGTCTAACACCACCGGCTCACCCTTGAATTATTTCCCAGACAAAACCAAGAATCCTCCTCTGCTAAACCCCAATTTGGGGGCTTGCCTGCCCTGCATCAGTACTGATACATGCTACAACATAGATGAATTTTGGAAACATGTAGAAAGAAGATTATCACAAAAGATGACATGTTGCATAATTCCATTTGTGGGAAGTGTCTGCAATGGGAAATCCATACAGATAGAAAGTAAATTACTAATTCCCTAGGGCTGTGGGTCGGGGTGAGGAGGTAGGTGGCAGGGAGGAGGGTGCAGGAATGGGGAATGACTGTCAAGTGGTCAGGGTTCAGGGAGTTGAAATAATCTAAAGTTAGATTGTGGTGATGGTCACACATATCTGTGAATATGGTAAAAATCACGGAACTGTAGCCTTTAAAAGGGTGCATTTTGTGGTATGTGAAATAAATCTCAATAAAGCCATAACAGGCCAAGCATGGTGACTCACGTCTGTAATCCCAGCACTTTGGAAGGTGGAAGTGGAAGGATCACTTGAGCCCAGTAGTTTGAGACCAGCCTGGGCAATATACTGAGACCTTGGCTGTACAAAAAACTAAAATTGACCAGGCATGGTTGCACATACCTGTAGTCCTAGCTACTCTGGAGGCTGAAGTGGGAGGTCTGCTTGAATCCAGGAGGTTGAGGCTGCAGTGAGCCGAGATAGTACCACTGCATTCTAACCGTGGTGATAGAACAAGACCCTGTCTTGAAAAAATAAAATAAATAAATAAATAAATAAATAATTTAAAAAAGCCATAACAGGTCGGTCGTGGTAGCTCATGCCTGTAATCCCAGCACTTTGGGAGGCTGAGGTGGGCAGATCACTTGAGGTCAGGAGTTCAAGACCAGCCTGGCCGACATGGTGAAACCTCATCTCTACTAAAAATACAAAAATTAGCTGGGCATGGTGGTACGTGCCTCTAGTGCCAGCTACTCAGGAGGCTAAGGTGGGAAAATTGCTTGAATCCAGGAGGCGGAGGTTGCAGTGAGCTGAGATTGTGCCACTGCACTCCAGCCTGGGCAACAGAGTGAGACTCTGTTAAAAAAAAAAAAAAAAAAAGAAAGAAAGAAAGAAAAAAAAGCAGCCATACAAACAATAACAAACTGTACTCTAAAACTTGCTCTAGGCCAGGCTTGCTGGCTCACGCCTGTAATCCCAACACTCTGGGAGACCAAAGCAGGAGGATCACTTGAGTCTAGGAGTTCAAAATAAGCCTTGGTAACTCTGTCTCTGCAAAAATTGAAAAATTAGCCAGGGGTTGTGACTTGCACCTGTAGTCCCAGCTACTCAAAAGGCTGAGGCCAGAGGATCGCTTGTGCCCAGGAGTTTGAGGTTGCAGTGAGTTATGATGGCGCCACTGCACTCCAGTGTGGGTGACAAAGCAAGACCTTGTCTCAAACAAATAAAATAGGGTAAATAAAATACAGTAAAACTTGCTCTGCCTATCCAGTGGGTTTTTTTTTTTTTGAGATGGAGTTTCACTTTTGTTGCCCAGATTGGAGTGCAGTTGCGCGATCTCAGTTCACTGCAACCTCCGCCTTCCAGTTTCAAGCGATTCTCCTGCCTCAGCTTCCCGAGTAGCTGGTACTACAGGCATGCGCCACCACACCCAGCTAATTTTTTGTATTTGTAGTAGAGACAGGGTTTCACCATGTCGGCCAGGATAGTCTCGATCTCTTGACCTCGTGATCCACCTGCCTTGGCCTCCCAAAGTGCTGGGATTACAGGCATGAGGCACTGCGCCCGGCCTCCAGTGGGGTTTGATATATTTCATAGGAAACATTTCTTTTTTTTAGACAGAGTCTTGCTCTGTCACCCAGGCTGGAGTGCAGTGGCGCAATCTCGGCTCACTGCAACCACCGCCTCCCGGGTTCAAGCAATTCTCCTGCCTCAGCCTCCCCAGTAGCTGGGATTACAGACGACTGCCACCACGCCCGGCTAATTTTTGTATTATTAGTAGAGACGGGGTTTCACCATGTTGGTCAGGCTGGTCTCGAACCCCTGACCTCGTGATCCACCCGCCTCGGCCTCCCAAAGTGCTGGGATTACAGGCGTGAGCCACCGCGCCCGGCAGGAAACATTTCTTTGGGAAAACTCCAAATCTATGAGGGCTTAGGTGAAAGGAATAGAGATTTTTTTCCTGCCCTTCTAGTATGGACATGGAGAGGCAGCGTGATTGTCACCCTGAACTAAAGCACAGGCTGAGATTTTGAGTGAAGATTTCTGGAACAATGACAAAGGGGAGGGGATGGAGGGATCCCCCTGCCAGGTGTGCCATTATGAGTGGTATCAGCCAGTCAGCACCAGTGAGCTTCGAGGAAGCCTGTTCTCAGTTAAGAGGCACAGATGCCACTAGCTCCAGGCCCCCATCCTGTGGATGGTGCTCTGTCACTCTGAGCTCAGGGACCACTTAAGCCACTCAATGATCAAACAGTCAGAAAATGCCCAGGGGGGCCCAGAGAGGATGTGCAGACAGTGAAGGAGAGAAGCTGAGGGCTTCCCCGACCACTACACGTCAAGTAGCGCCTGCCTCCTCTCCATCAGGAACCTGAGCTCTGAAGGCAGTCAGATCGCACTCAAATCTTGGCCAGAGTCAGCCTTCCCCACTGATAGCACAGAGGTAATAATATCTATTGTCTGGGTTGTTAGATTAACGGACTCTTCATAAATTGTAGCAATTAGTATTATAAAACATTAATAAAGCATGGCTATTGGGAGGGATAAGTTCCGGTTTTTCTTTTTTTCTTTTTTTTTTTTTGAGACGGAGTCTCACTCTGTCACCCAGGCTGGAGTGCAGTGGCGCGATCTCGGCTCACTGCAAGCTCCGCCTCCCGGGTTCACGCCATTCTCCTGCCTCAGCCTCCCGAGTAGCTGGGACTACAGGCGCCCGCCACCGTGCCCAGATAATTTTTTTTGTATTTTCAGTAGAGACGGGGTTTCACTGTGATAGCCAGGATGGTCTCGATCTCCTGACCTCGTGATCCGCCCGCCTCTGCCTCCCAAAGTGCTGGGATTACAGGTGTGAGCCACCGCGCCAGGCCTATTTTTCATTTTTGAGACAGGGCTGGGGACTGGCTTTCTGTAAGTCTCAAGGGTTGCTAGGCTTTGGTGGGTGGGTGACTCATGGAGGGGCCTTCCCTGCAGACAGTAGGCAGTATTGTATTTGAGACAGGGTGTCCCTTGGTCACCCACACTGGAGTGCAGTGATGCCATCATAGCTCACTGAAACTTCGAACTCCTGGCCTCAAGCAATCCTCCCACCTCAGCCTCCCCAGTAGCTGGAACTGCAGGTGCATGCCACTCTGATTAACTTCTTTTTTTTTTTTTTTTTTTGAGACGGAGTCTCATTCTTGTCACCCAGGCTGGAGTGAAATGCCATGATCTTGGCTCACTGCAACCTCTGCCTCCGGGGTTCAAGTGATTCTCCTGCCTCAGCCTCCCCAGTAGCTGGGATTACAGGTGCCTGCCACCACGCCCAGCTAATTTTTGTACTTTTAGTAGAGACCGGGTTTCACCATGTTGGCCAGGCTGGTCTCGAACTCCTGACCTTGTGATCTGCCCACCTCGGCCTCCCTAAGTGCTGGGATTACAGGCGTGAGCCACCACGCCCAGCCCACTCTGAGACAACTTCTGAAACAACATGTCAGTTCATGACACTTTCTTACTTTAAACCCTCCTATTGTTTTCCATGGCACCTTCCTTACCTAAGCCCATAAGGCCTCACATGAGGTGTCTTCTGCCCACCACACTGCACTTTCCCCTCCTCACTCTTCTTGGATTTCCTTCATTTTCCAGAACCCACTGGTTACGTCCCACCCAGGGCCTTGTGCCTGGGACCCTCAGCCACCAGCACCCCCAAAGCCCACTCCTCACGCACCCACAAGGTCTCCTCTCAAATGTGACCAACCCTGCTACTCCCCGCCACACCTGTCACTGGCCTCTTTCCTGTGTGCTCCCAGCACCTGCCTTGGTTGAGCTCAGGTGTCTGTGTTCTGTCTGCTGGCTGTCCTGGCAGCTCCCCTGCCAGACAGAGCCCCAGCCCCAAGGAGTGGATGAGCAGTGCCTCACAGGGAGTGCATCCTGGATAGGCATCTGGCGGCTGAATGAGTGCCGGCCTCCTTCCAGGTGTGCAGCGGATAGTTCCGTTTGTTACTTGATCTTGAACTGTCATGAGTGCAGTGATTCTGGGAGAGGGTTTTTTTTGGCTCCTCTCCCAGTTTTTGGGGAATAGGATGGCAGAGAGAAGGCAAGATCTGCTGACATTCTAAAAAGGACATAGGGATGGGCCACGGGCAGGCTGGGGACTGGCTTTCTGTGAGTCTCAAGGGTTGTTGGGCTTTGGTGGGTGGGTGACTCATGGAGGGGCATTCCCTGCAGACAGTAGACAGGTTGCTGCCCTCTGTCTCCAAAGAGGTCTTTAGGAGAAGAAACTGCAACTGGGGCCCCTGTGATGACTGGAAGATTGTGGCTCCAGGACACGGTCACTACCTTCAGGGATGGAAGTGAAGTGATGCTGAGGGGGGAGAAGAGATTCGGTAACATGCCAGCCCTCAGTCATGCAGAACAGCTGGAAGGCAGCCTCGGGGACTCTTAGAACAGGCTGGAACAGTGGCACAGCCTTCAGAATTCCGGGAAAGCCTGTAAAAACCAATCAGGACCCGTGGCATACACCATGGTGCTCTGTGTAGCAGGTGCTGCTTTGCTGTGGCTGTTTGTGCACATGTCTGTACATACCTAAAGCACAGAGGTGTCAAATGCATTTTGTATTGTTACCACTTTACGGGTTTGAAAGCTGCTGCATCTAGAAAAATGGGTGTGGCCAGGCTCGGTGGTTCAGGCCTGTAATCCCAGCACTTTGGAAGGCCGAGGTGGGCAGATCACTTGAGCTCAGGAGTTCGAGACCAGCCTGGGCAACATGGCGAAACCTCGTCTCTACAAAAAATACAAAAAATGTAGCCAGGTGTGGTGGCAGGCACCTGTAGTCCCAGCTACTTGGGAGGCTGAGATGGGACGATTACCTGAGCCCAGGGAAGTTGAGGCTATAGTGAGCTGTAATCATGCACTCCAGCCTGGGTGACAGAGGGAGACCCCGTCTAAAAAAAAGAAAAAAAAGAAAAGAAAGAAAAGATTGGTGGACCCCCACCAAGGGTCATCTCACTCAAAGGGCAGGAGGCTGAGACCCAATTCAGGGGACTGCTGGAGGTCATCAGCCCTGCTTGGTTTTAGGGTAACCATGGGCTTTGGTGTCAGGCAGAGCTGGATTCAAACTTACTGGTTTGTCTACAACCTACCAATTGTATGACTCTGGGTAAGATGCCCAACATCTCTGAGCTTTGTCACTTGCCTGAGTAGGTAGTGCCGGTAGCTACCTCACCGATGGTTGTGAGGGTTAGGCAGGACACCTCCTGGAATGCCAAGCCGAGAACTGTTTTTTTTTGTTTGTTTGTTTTTGTTTTTTGAGACAGGGTCTCGCTCTGTCACCCAGGCTGGAGCTCAGTGGTGCAATCTCGGCTCACTGCAATCTCCACCTCCTGGGTTCAAGCGATTCTCATGCCTCAGCCACCCGAGTAGCTGGGATTACTGGTGTTACACCAGCCCACCTGGCTAATCCCAGGGGCCCTGTTCTGTCCTTCCCTTCATGCTCTGCCAGCTGAAGGCCAGTGGCTGCCAGGGATTCCCCACCTGCCACCCCACCCATCCCAGCACCTTCCAGATCCTCCAGAGTGAAGCAGAGAAATAATGAGACATCAGCCTATAGGAAGGAGATCCAGGAGAGGAAAAAGAAACAAGTTTTATTAAAGCCCCAAACACTTGGCTAGAAAAACTGAAAAGGAAAGAGAGCAGGGAGGTGGGGAGAAGAAAAAAGGACATTAAAAAAAGAGACAGAGAAAACGCAGCAACCCTTTTCCATTTAGAAATTGTCAAGTTACACCGACAGAGGTCACAGAATATCCACAGAAGCCATCACCGCTACACCAACATGGGCCCTACAGGGTGGATGGGGCAGGGTGTGGAGCCGGGGCTCACCCCAGGGGGCCCTCTGGGGACCCCACTCCGAGCCTCAGGCCTGAGGCTCCTGGGGGAAACAGCATATTGTGGAAGGGGCAGGAAATCCCCCATGCAAGTAACACAGCACAGTGGGCGGGGGCTGAGAGGACCAGGTACAGGGGCCCCCCGAGACGTCTTAGTTTTCTCTTGGTCAAGCACACACTGATGGACAGAGCAGCGAGGCGCATGCAGCTGGGGGCACTGATGTGTTGCAGGCTGTGAGAGGGCCAGTGGGGACGGGGGCTCAGGAAGAGATCTGGAGCCAGTGGTGCAGGGATGATGGAACACACGCACACAGAGGCACACCCACACACCTGGGTCTGCACCAGCACACATACGTGCACACACACACTCGGAGACACAGATTACATGCACCTCCATGTATGCGTCTCTGTCCACATGTACGTGGCCCACACACAAGTCTCTGGCGCTCGGCATGTCTGCACACACATTACACATGTTCTCACACACAAAGCTCCTCTCACGCTAACATGCAGGTAGGCACGTGCCAATGCGCAAACAGGTTACATGCACCTATGTGCCCACACCTTCCCCCACACATGTGCTCGGCCATGCCTGTGGGTGCAGGCGCCATGCGTCTGCACACACAGTGCATGGGCTTGTGCCAGCACACACACAGGCTGCACGCAATTCCACACGGATGCCTCCCGGCCCATAAATGTGCAGGAACCAAAGGGAAAGAAAGATGCAAATCCCACTGGGCTTCCCCCGAGCGGGTGGGGCAGGGCCCGTGGCTCCCTCCTTCTGCCCCTTCGTGGATGGACACTACCCCCTCACCTCCCCCACAAAGGGACATTCAACTCAGGACAATGACGGTGGGGCACACATTCCAGTCACAGGGCTGAGGGTGGGAGCTGGGGGCAAGTGAAGTAGCAAGCAGAGAGTAATGGAGTGGAGGGAGGAGGGGGCACCACTCCCCCCTCCCCTCCCAAGTCAGGGGATCTCTGTACAGCCAAATCAAACCAGACCATTTCACTGGGACCACAGAAGCCAGGCCGACTTGCCCGCCCCCCCAGTCCCCTCCCCCGCCAAAACAGTGGCCAGGAAGAGTGCCGTGGTTTTCTTTTTTCTTTTTTAAATATTTATATATATTTATATTACGTATATTATATATATAATATGTAAATACATTTTTAAAACCATATAAAATGTTAAGACACTTCACTTAAATGTAAAGAGTTGCCTGCAATTAAAAGTAATTGCATCATTTATGAGGTCCTTTTTTTTTTTTCTATTTTCCAGGGTTTTTTTTTTTTCCAGGAGGGATTTTTTTTTTCCTCTTTTGTTATTTTTCAAAAAGGCTTGCTCGCCTTGGTACAAAAATGATCCAAAGCTAGAAAACAGGGATGAACCAACAAAGTCAAAAACAAAAAAAGAAATGAAGAAACAACCCGTTTCCCCTCCCCCCAAACCTTCAACAGCTCCCAGCTCTCCCCAAGTGCGGACCTTCCCCAGCCAGGCCCCAGGGTCTGGGGGGCTCTGCCTTCTGCGCAGCTCCTCCTTTCTGTGCTTGCTGTGGGGGACTGATTCTAGTCCCCCTCCCCTGTGCTTGCTTCACTTTGTGCTCCAAGTGGGAATCCTGCTGCCGGGGACACGGCTCCTCCTCCTCCTCTTCTCCTATCCTCTCCCTACTGGCCCCTCACTGTGCCCTCTGGGGGGCCAGGAGTGAGAACCAAAATTGGCCTCTCTCTGCCTCCCCAGGACCCGGCCAAAAGCCAGGTGGCACTGCCAACCGCCTCTGCAGGGCAGGCAGGGCGTCCACAGGCCAGGGGCGCTGGCTGGATGGTCAGGCCTCAGGGACCTTCAGACATCTCACCAGGGTCACCAGAGCCCCATTGAAAAACTACGTCTCATCGTTTCCTGGGAAAACCCTCAAATCACCAAGAGGATGACTGAAGGTCAAGTCACCCCACCTGTGGGTCCCAGGTGTCTTCAGTGTGTTCATTAATTTTTTTATTTTCAGATGTTACATTTATCTTATTTCTGTGATTTTATTCTAGTAGATATAGCCGAATGCACATTAATAATTATTGTAACAATCACATTCTCATTTTGTATTTGAATTTTCATATTTAAGATTTTAATTTTAATATAAAATATTTTTCTACAATTGTCTATTTTCCATTTTTGTGAGATAAAATTAGCATATACAAAATGCACAGATTTTCCAGGTACGGTTAGAGGGTTTCAGGCAAATGTGCACATACTTGTCTACAGCAGCTAAGTGAGGGTGAGGAACAGGTCCATCTCCCCACAAAGTGTCCTCTTCAGTGCTTCCAGTTAGTTCTCACATAACGATTTTTTTTTATTTCAACTTTATAATTTAGAAACAGAGGGTTCATGTGTGGATTTGTTACATGGGATTATTGGGTGATGCTGAGGTTTGGAATACAGATTTCATCACCCTCTCCCTCCACTGTCTAGCAGTCCACAGTGTCTGTTGCTCCCATATTTATCCATGTGTGCTCAATGCTGAGGTGCCACTTAGGAGAATATGTGGTGTTCAGTTTTCTTTTCCTGAATTAATTTGTTGAGGATTAAGAACTCCAGCTCCATTTGTTTTGCTGCAAAGGACATGATTTCATTCTTTTTTATGGCTGTGTAGTATTATACATTTTACATATACCACATTTTATATATCCACTCTACCATTGATGTGCATCTGGGCTGATCTTTGTCTTTGCCACTGTGAATAACACAGCAATAAACATACACACACATGTGTCTCTTTGGTAGAATTATTTGTTTACCTTGTAGTGTATACCATGTAGAAGGATAGCTGGTTCATATAATATCTCCGTTTTAAGTTCTTTGAGAAATCTCCAGTCTGCTTTCCAAAGTGGGTGGACTAATTTATATTCCCATTAACAGTGTGTAAGTGTTTTCTTTTCACCACAGCCCCATCAGTATCCATTGGTTTTTGACTTTTTAGTGATAAAAATTTGAGTGGTGTGAGGCTGCACACCTACAACTGTATGATATTTGATAAGGCTGACAAAAAAACAAGAAATGAGAAAGGAATTCCCTGTTCCATAAATGTTACTGGGACAACTAGCTAGCCATATGACAAAGATTCAAACTGGATGTCTGCTTTCAACATATATAAAAATTAACTCAAAATTGATAACAGATTTAAATGTAAGACATCAAACTATAAAAATCCTTGAAGACAACATGAAAATACTCTTCTCGACACCAGCTTTGACGAATACTTTTTGGCTAAGTATCCAAAAGCAATTGCAACAAAAACAAAAATAGATAAGGAGAGACTAATTTGCTAAAGAGTTACTATGCAGCAAACCAACCAGCTAACCAACCAACCAACCAACCAAACAAACAAACAAAACTATCAGCATAGTAAGCAGACAACCTACAGATTGTGGGAAGTTATTCACAAATGTTGCATCCAACAATGCCCTAATATCCAGAATTGTATTAGTTGGTTTTCATGCTGCTAATAAAGACATACCCGATATTAGGCAATTTATCAAAAAATAAGAAGAAGAAGAGGTTTGATCCACAGTTCCACAAGGCTAGAGAGGCCTCACAGTCATGGTGGAATGTGAAAGGCATGTCTCATATGGCAGCAGACAAGAAAAGAGAACTTGTGCAGGAAAATCCCCCTTTATAAAACTATCAGATATTATGAGACATTCACTCTCAAGAGAATAGCATGGGAAAGACCCGCCCCCACGATTTAATTATCTCACAGGGGGTTTATTCCACAATATTAGGAAATTACTGAAGCTCCAATTAAGATGAGAATTGGGTGGGGACACAGTGAAATCATATCATTCTGCCCCTGGCTCCTCCTAAATCTCATGTACACACATTTCAAAATGGATCATGCCTTCCCAACAGTCCCAAATTCTTAACTTATTTCAGCATTAACTGAAATGTCCACATTCCAAGGCCTCATCTGAGACAAGGCAAGTCCCTTCTGCCTATGAGCCTGTAAAATCAAAAGTAAGTTAGTTACTTCCTAGACACAATGGGAGTACAGGTATTGGGTAAATAGAGCAATTCCAAATGGCAGAAATTGGCCAAAACAAAGGGGCTAAAGGCCCTGTACAAGTCCAAAATCCAGTGGGACAGTCAAATCTTAAAGCTCAAAAAAGATCTATTTTGACTCCATGTCTCACATCCAGGTCATGCTGATGTAAGTGTTGGGTTCCCATGGTCTTGGGCAGCCATATGCCTCTGGCTTTGCAGGGTATAGTCTTTCACCCAGCTGCTTTCACTGGCTTGCTCTGAGTGTCCATGGCTTTTCTAGGTGCATGGTGCAAGCTGTTGGTGGATCTACTATTCTGGGGTCTGAATAACTGTGGCCTTCTAATCATAGCTTCACTAGGCAATGCACCAGTGGGGACTCTGTGTGAAAGCACACACCCCACATTTTCTTTCCTCGCTGCCCCTAACAGAGGTTCCCATGTGGGCCCCTCCCTGCAGCCATCTTCTCTCTGGACATCCAGGCATTTACATACATCCTCCGAAATCTGGGCAGAGGTTATTAAACCTCAATTCTTGACTTGTGTGCACCTGCAGGCTCAACACCAAATGGAAGATGCTAAGGCTTGGGGCTTTCACCCCTTGAAGCCACAGCCTGAGTTGTATGTACCTTGGCCCCTTTTAATCATGGCTGGAGCAGCTCCGATGCAAGGAACCGGGTCCCTAGACTGCACATAGCAGAGGGACCCTGAGCCCAGCCCATGAAACCATTTTTTCCTCCTAGGTCTCTGGCTTACGATGGGAGAACCTTCCACAAAAGTCTCTGACATGCCCTGGAACATTTTCTGCATTGTCTTGGTGACCAACATTTGGGTCCTCATTACTTATGTAAATTTACGCAGCTGGCTTGAATTTATCCTAAGAAAATGGGATTTTATTTTCTATTGCATTGTCGGGCTGCAAATTTTCTGAACTTTTATGTTCTACCTCCTTTTTAAAACTGAGTGTGTTTAACAGCACCGAAGTCACACCTTGAATACTTTGTTGCTTAGAATTTTTTACTGCCAGATACCTGGTATCATCTCTCTCAAGCTCAAAGTTCCACAAATCTCTAAGGCAGAGGCAAAATGCCACCAGTATCTTTGCTAAAGCCTAACTAGAGTCAACTTTGCTCCAGTTCCCAACAAGTTCCTCGTCTCCATCTGAGGCCACCTCAGCCTGGATTTTATTGTTCACATCATTATCAGCATTTTGGCCAAAGCCATTCAACAAATCTCTAGAGAGTTTCAAACTTTCACACATTTTTTTCTGTCTTCTTCTGAGCCCTCCAAACTGTTTCATCCTCAGCGTGTTTTCCAGTTCCAAATTCGCTTTTATGTTTTTGAGTATCTTATCAGTAGCACTTCACTCAACTGATACCAATTTACTGTATTAGTTGCTTTTCATGCTGCTGATAAAGACGTACCTGAGACTGGGCATTTACAAGAGAAAGAGGTTTAATAGACTCACACTTCCACGTTGCTGGGGAAGCCTCGAAATCATGGCAGAATGTGAAAGGCACATATCACATGGTGGCATACAAGAGAAGAGAGGACATGCAGGGAAACTCCCCTTTATAAAATCATCAGCAAGAGAGGAGAACTCATGCAGGGAAACTCCCCTTTATCAAATCACCAGATCTCATGAGACTAATTCACTATCATGAGAATAGCATGGGAAAGACCCCCCCACCATGATTCAATTATCTCCCACGGGGTCCCTCCCACAACACATGGTAATTATGGGAGCAACAATTCATGATAAGGTTTGTGTGGGGACACAATCAAACCATATCAAGAATGTATAGGAAACTTAAACAAATCAAGAATCCAAAGACAAATAACCCCATTAATAAATGGGCAAATAACAAGAACAGACACTTCTGAAAAGAAGACTTACAGGTGGCCAGCAATATTTTAAAAGATTCTCATCATCACTAACCATCAGAAAAATGCAAATAGAAAAATGTTCTAATTTTTGTCACTATAGGTTAATTTTTTCTGTTTTGAACTTATTTTTGTTATTTTTAGGTTTATTTATGTAATTTCATGTCTCAAGGTTTTGTCATCATATATATACATATGTACGTACTAATACACATATGAATATTTCATATCTGAATCAATCCATAACATCAGTAAATGACAGTTTATTAAGTAAATAAATCAGTTTATTATGTGAAATAATGACAATATGTATATTTGTTTTCCTGTTGATGAAATTTAAATTTCTTTCCAACATAAATGTTATAAACAAACTGTTATAACTATTTTCGTACAAGTTTTTCTGTTTATATTCTCACATATTGATAAAATACGTAGAAATATAAGTATGCATTTTTTTATTATAAGACTGAGTTACATTTTCAGCTTTATGGAGCTAAAGTTGACAAATAAAATTGTATGTATTTAAGGTACACCACTTGATGTATTGATATACATGGGAAAATGCTGGATGATAAATAAGTAAACAATGCTAAACAGCACTAATTATCAGGGAGATGCAAATTAAAACTGCAATGATATTTCTTAAACCAGTCAGAATGGCTACTATTAAAGAGCCAAAAATAACAGGTATTGGTGAGGATTGAAGGCAAAAGGAACGCTCGGACACTTGTGGTGAGGATGTAGATTAGCACAGCCTCTATGGAAAACAGTATGGAGATTTTTCAAAGAAGTAAAAGTAGAACTACTTTGATTCGATAACCACAAATAACTACCTAAAGGAAAAATAAATCATTATATCAGAATGATAAGCCGACTTTTGTTTTCTTGCAGAACTATTCATAATAGCCCAGTCATCAAACTTAGGAATTAACCTATGCCTAACAACAGATAATTTTATAAAGAAAATGTTACATATATATACATTTAAATACTATCCAGCCATATGAAGGAATGCAATCATATCTTTTGCAGCTACATGGATGGAATTCATCATTATTTTAAGTATAATAATTGAGAAACAGAACATCACACACCACATGTTCTCACTTATAAATGAGAGCTAACTCATATGTGCACAGGGACATAGAGAAAGGAATGATGGACACTGGAGACTCAGAAAGATGGGAGAGCAGAAGGTGGGAGAATGGTGAGAAATTACTTAATGGGTACAATGTACATTATTTGGATCATGGATACATTAAAGCCAAGACTACTATGCAATATATATATGTAACAAAATTGCAGTCACTCCCCACAAATTTATACATATAAAATAAAAACAAATATAATTAAAACATGATTATTAACAGTTGATCAACAATACTGAAAATTAAAATTGTGACCAATAAATGAAAATAACGTTAGTTGAACTTCAAATTTTAAAACATTTTCTACTCAAGTGACTATCAAGAAAATTAAGGACAAGCTGCAAAGGAGAAAATATTTGCAAGTCATATATCTACCAATGTAATTATAATATGAACCGGCAAACCTCGAAGATGTACAGATGACACACCAGCATATGAATGTGATTTTCCACTAGAGAACTGCAAATCAAGACCAAAAGGAGACACTACCATAGACTTCCTAGAAAGACAAAAAATAAAGAAGAAATACTGACAATATCAGCGTCGGTGAAGAAGTCAGTCACCCTAGAGACTAATATATTGCTAGTGGGAATGCAAAATGAAACAGTTTCTGGGAAAATCATTTACAGTTTCCTATACAATTAAACATGTCCTTAATCCATGACCTAGAACTCTCACTCCTAAGTTTGTCCTACAAAGGATTAAAATCATATGTTCACACACATGTATTCAGATGTTTAACATTGTGTGTGTGTGTGTGTGTGTGTGGTGTGTGTATGTTAGAAACTAAAAACAACATGAATGTCTTTGAAAATTTGACATAAAGCATTACAGGTGAACTCCAGACTTTCTTCTGAGTGACAGAAGGCCTGCCTGAAAGATCCCCAGAGACACAGTTGTGGATTTCACTGTCACCCTCGCATGTCATTGGTTTGGGCTGGGCTCTCTCTGTCTCTTCCCTGACCAGGACCAGATGTTGAGCTCCACTACTTGCAGTTGGAAGTTTATATTTTCAACAATGCACTGAGGTCTAAGTTGCTCTACAGATGGAACCAAACAAACATGGGCGCCTTTGAACAAACAGTGCCTGACATTTGTACTGATCCCAGGAGAACTCTTCCCAGCTCTCTTTCTTCTTGGTTCTCTCCTGCAGGCCAGCAGCCCTGCAGTTTAGCCTGGATCTCCCATGCATTCACCCATCTCCGTCCAAGTGCATTTTACCACAGCCTCCACCGTTTTTGAAGCAACTCTTGGGCTTTGTAATTCTCCACACTCTGTTGTAAATGAAGTCAGGTCCTTCAAGACCAGATTCGGGACTCTATTTTATGACCAAATTTCAGCCTCACCCCCGCTCCTGAGACAGAGCTCCAAGATAAGATTCTGCAGGTGGAGATTAGGAGTGTTTTTCTTCTTCAAGGTAGGAGCTGAGTGCTCAGTGCAGGGTTGGGGAGAAACTTTCCACTTTATCAGCATGCAGCTCCTGCTGGGGTAGACCTTCTTCCATAGAAGCAGGGTTGGGAACCAGGGGGCCAACGTCTTCAGTGCTGCTGCACCCAGGGCAGAGCCTTCATCCATCAGTGAGGCTGTGTGGAAGAAGTGAGTCTCTGGTTCTCAGTAGCTCTTGTCCAGAACTGAGCCTCAGCAGCATGTTCTGTCGGCCCCAGTGTCCTGGCCCCTAGGGAGCAGCATCCTAAAATGGGAGCTAGCATATTTGAGAATAACAACATCTACGCATTCAGAAGCTCTTTGGTTTTCTTTCCAGCTAATATAATTTCCTCTTTTTTGTGTAGCAACCTGTACACATGCATACTGATGCATAGAGACCTATGACACTTTTTTCTCGATAAGTAAAAAATTATTGGTCACTGTGATCTTTTCTCCAAGTTCACCATTTCCCTGAAGGTGAGCACAGGTCCTTCTGCATGTGTTCAAACAAAAGGCCCAGAGACTACCTGGTAAGTGAGGTGCTCACCTGGTTCTGGATGTTTGGTCTGTCTCCTCCCCTCTGTTGCCCCACACAAGGTCAGCCCACTCTTTCCAGGTCCGAAGAAGAGAGCACAGTTTTGTCCTGATTATATGACTCACCCAGCTTCTGATGATTCTCCTGTTGCCAGCGTCCATGGAGGCAGATTATTTATTATGTAATTCACTAAACTAATATCAAATAACAAAGCTGTAATGCCCCACACCCAAAGGTATGTTCATGCAATTCAGTGGAGGAGAGGGCCTTTCAGAGATAGAAGGATTGAGCTAGATTGGTCAATATATGAATGAGGACACTAGACTTGATTGTCGTTGTCCTGCCCCGTGTCACAGGTGTGATCTGTCAGGGCAGAAGCAGAGTTCCTTGTGTGCTCAGATGAGAGGGGTCACGGAGGTTCTCTCTGGTTCCCAGGAAAGGTAATTGCAGTAATCTTGGTGATGAGACTATTCTCCAGTGCTGACCTATTATAGAGTTTGCATATGAAATTGTCACTGCAATCCCCAATCTACATCTTTTAACACGGAAGTGTACAGAGGTCAGGCCACATCCTCAGGATCACACATTAAGGAGAATGGAGATCTGCCCCATTGCTTTCTCCTGCGATCTCCAATAGATCTCAGGATTCAAAACGACTCAGAAGGAAAGGTCTCAGGTGCTTCTGTTAAAATCACCCACTTCCTGGGACCGGAAGTTTCCCTCTAACCACGATGGATAAAAATAAATCACACTCCTGATCTTTTCCACATCCAAAGATTCCTGAAGGCAGAGCTGATTGATATCCTCACAGATAGACTACTGCCTTTCAGAGGTGAACTTGGTATTCAAGTTCCAGCAATTCTGAGAATTCAAGGACACCTCCATCTCTCCACTACTTTGCACCTCACCTAAAAACAGCTCTCTTGTTAGAGTGTCTTGTTTCCTGATGTAAATACATCACAAAATTATTTTCAATAGAGTGAGAAATAAAACCCAAGCTTATTCAAAACACAGATTCCTTGGAAATTATTCTGAGAGCTGGGAGTTCATGAAGAACTCCTAATTGCTATGCCAACCCTTCATTGCTATTGTCAGTCTTATGAGAAAATCAGCGCCAATCACACATCACAGGCCAAATCAGTAAACTAAAAGTCTTCTGTTAAAGATCTTAGGATCTCAGGCAGATGCTGAAGACACTGTCTCAGGAGCACCCAGCTTGTCCATAGGCCCTGCTGGACACTCACATGGGACATCCAGCATTCTCTTTCTCAGAGTCACCAGTGGTCTGTGCGGGTGGCTGATGAGACCAGAATGAGGCAAAGGCATCTGCTCAGTGTCGTAGTGATGGTCCAAGAAATGATCCAGATTGTCTCCATGCTAATCAAATATGGGTTCACTGTGAGGAACGCGTCCTGTGGGTGCTGGTTCTTCAGTGAAAGGACCTCTGTCCACAAAGTGTTTGGAAATGGAGCAGGGCATGCATTTCCTCAAGTGGGATTAGGACTTGGACCATCACCATCTCACTTTTGTATGGCTGATGTGCCATTTATCCTCTCTTTCTTGTCCTGAATCAGGTCTTGAGTTATAAAATTCTCTGAATCATGAATATGCAAATATCATGAGATCCACTGAGATTAAATATGGTTATTCTTGTGCCCTGAGAGCATCACCCAACAACCACATCCCTCCTCTAGAGAAGTTGCTGAGAACACAGCTCCTCACCATGGACTGGACCTGAAGGATCATTTTTTTGGTGGCAGCAGCTACAGGTAAAGGACCACCTACTCCGAAGGATGAGAGGACTCTTTTCAGTCAAAAAGAATTTCATCCACTCCTGTATTCTCTCCACAGGTGCCCAATTCCAGGTGCAGCTGGTGCAGTCTGGGGCTGAAGGAGGAAGCTTAGGGCCTCAGTGAAGGTGTCCCGCAAAGCTCTGGATACACCTTCACCAGCTACGATATTCACTGTGTGCGACAGGCCCCTGGATAAGGGTTTGAAAGGATGGGAGGGATCTACTCTGGCAATGGTAAGACAGGCTATGCACAGAAGTTCCAGGGCAGAGTCACCATGACCAGGGACATGTCCACGAGCACAGCCTACATGGAGCTGAGCAGTCAGAGATCTGAGGACATAGATGTGTACTACTGTGCGAGACACACAATGTGAAAACCCACATCCTGAGACAGTCAGCAATCCTGAGGGAGGTGGCAGCAGTGCTGGGCTTGAGAGATGACAGGGATTTTATTTGCTTTAAAGACTTTTTTTAGAAAGCGAGTTTAAGTCATTGCTGAAAAAAGGAAAATAGAAATGCGTATGGACTCTAATTATGTGGGAAATTTTCCATACAACTTTTATTCTGTAAGCAAAATTCAGGGAGTGGAGAACAAATCAAATTAATAAAACCAATAATAGAATTCCTCTGAAAATATTAGTGCGAGCATAAGTTTTGGAACGGGTGTTGTAAATGTTTTGGAGCACAGCTGCTAAGATCACATTTTAACTCTACACTTATCTCCATTATATAAAATATCAAAATGTTTTAATGTTTTCCATTTTGTGCAATTATAATTTTGTGTTCATGCCAGCAATGCATGATAGATCTTGTTCTTCCGCATCCTCATTGCCATTTGGCACTATGAGTATTGCGTATTTTAACTATTCTAATAGATTAGTAGTGATATCTCATTGTTGTTTAAACGCACATATTTCTAATTAAAATTTTGTATTTAATTATTTCATATAATTGTGATGAAGTGTCTCGTATGGTATGTGGATTATTTTTTATTGCATTGTTTCTTTTTGATCAGTTGTAAGTTTCCTTATATACCCATTATATAAGTCACTCACGAAGTTAACAAAAAATTGATTAACAAATATGTGTTTTACAAGTGTATTCTCCAAATTGTAGTTGTTGTTTTACTCCCATATCAGTGTCTGTGGCAGAAAAATATTTATATACATATGTGTGTGTGTGCATATATATATAGTGTGTGTGTGTGTGTATGTGTAAACTTACATAAAATAATTATTTCATAGCTCATACTTTCGGCATGATATCTAAAAACTAATTATGAATTCCACTAACAGGATTTTTCTCTTGTCTCTAATCTCAGGCCACAATCACAGCATAATTATTTGAATTTCTCCTATTTAATGAGAAGATTATTAAGATGTTTAGAATTCTTCTGAATGGAAGGTGCCTTTTTTCTAATTTTCTTTATTCAATAATCTGTTAATGTTGGTGTTGGCTCATGAATGTTTATTTTTTACTATGGAGAAGATCTGGTGCTACATTATTTATTTTATCGCTCAAATCACCACAGCTTTTTTTTAGGTTCTGTGAGCTCATTTAGTTTGGATTCTGTATTTTTACAGCATGCCCCATCCTTTTGTTTTTGATCACTTCCCTATTTCCTGGTGTTACAAGAAATACTAAGCTCATTATCTCTATTATCTTTTCTACACATAGAATCAGTTATTTCTCCAAGGATTGCCGGTCCTTGATATTAAAGAATTATATTAACACACAAAATTATGATGTTGGGTGTGTGTGTTGTTAATGTACTGTCAGTGTTTCTAGAATCTCTAAGCTAACAGGCCTAGAAAATGTGTATGTATATATTAACCCATGTTAATGGACCCATCTAATCTATTTATGTATCCAATCTTCTGTATGTTTATTGCCTCAAACTTTAGAACACTGGTATCTACAATCTACTATGATGATACATGAATGTTTCAAGCTTTCCTTCCTTGCCTGTCCATAACCACCTACTGCAAAGTGAGGAACCCCTCCCATCATTGGCCATTCATTCAATTTGTTGTACAATTTAGAATATATGCATCGTGGTATTAGAATTGTTAACTTGTACCCCTGTTGGAAGTATGTTTATTGACTAGAAAAAAGTGTTTAAGTGCAGTTTCTTTATACTTTAGATTTACAGAACACCCTGATTTCTAAGTTATATAGGTGAGAAACTTTATGTGCCACCTTCTTCAGTGAGGTTATTTGAAATATGTTGTATACATTTTATTTGACATTCTGTAAAAGACAAAACTGTAGATGTCATAAATATATGAGGATTTTCTAGAAATTTAGAGAGAGGGTATGCATTAGGAGAAAAAGGTACTGTTTGCAAACAGTGAAACTTTTTTATGATCTGCAGTAGTGAACGCATGACACAATTTGTTAATTCTCATAATTCTATGATGTAAACTATGAATCTAAATATATACAACTTATAAAATGATGTAGCACATCATGAACCCCAGGATAAAATGCAGAGTGTACAAAAATAAAATATCAAATACATTTACACCGTGTGGGCAGGGAATTGCATGAGATGCAGGCAACAAAGAATGAAGTAACTTTCCCCATTTGCACATAAGATGTTTCCATTCACAAGAGACTTTTCTTTTATCAGGTTCATGTGCAACCAAGTTTCCCTGCTGACAAGCAATTAATCCAGATGATTCGCATCTTCCTTTGACTGAGAAAGATTTCCCTCAAACTTCAGCTCAGTCCAGGCACACACCGTCTCTGAATGGGCATTTACCATCAGACAATGCCCACACCTGTCCCCACGTGGACCTTTCCCTCAGACAAACGCATCCTCAGGTTGACTCTTCCCTCAGACAAGCACCCCTGTCTTCATGTGAACTCTTCCCTCAGATAAGCACACATGTCCCCACATTGACTTTTTCCTCAGACAAGCACATATAGCTGACAACGAACAGTTATGTGGCAAGATGAGCTTAGGATAGTGGTAATTATGGACTCCAGCTCTGATAGTTTGTAGAAATTGTCATTTTTAAAATTCTAACTGAAGACTTTCCTTTATTGTAGAAGACAGTCCTTTACAGCTCTAATTGCACAGCCTACAGGCAGGAGTCCATTTCCTCTGGGCAAGGTTTATTTTTATTTGTTTACTGTACTTATTTGTTGATAAATATTGATACTATAAAGATACCCTATAGGGGTCCACATACGAGAAAAAAAAGAGTAATGGGCAGATCAACCCTGAACATCCAGTCCCAGGAATCCTTTGACCCTGCCCTCCCTGGAATCCAGAGACAGAGATGGGAAGAGGCCTGCTGAGCAGTGCACTCATGTCCCCAGGGAGAAAGACATGGAAATGAAGCCCCTCCTCTGCAAATGAAAAGTAGCTCATCCCCTGTTCCTGTAGATCCTGGTGAGGAGCCACCCCACATCTGTGCCCTTCCTTAGTGTCCACACCATGGGGTCTGTGCTGATCTGGGCTTCTCTTGTCATCACTCTCAATATCCAGGTTCCCCGTGGATCAGGCCCTGCTGTGGCTGCTCAAAGGTGGGGCTGTTCTCAGTCTGTTGCCTCTGTGTTTGCAGAAGTCCCCTGTGAAGTTAACTAACGGAGTCAGACAGAGAAATACTACAGACCAGGAATTCTGCCTTTTCTGCAAAGCCTCTGGATTCACTTTCACTGAAAACAGCATAAGCTTGATCCAGCAGGCTTCATGACAGGGGTGGGTGTGGGTAATAACAATAATTCAAATGGAAGTTCTCAGTGGGACTCTCCTTGAGTAAAAAGATGATTAACAATCCTCAAATACACTCAGTTCAGGAGATTCTCTTTTAAGATGATTAACCTGAGAGCTCAGGAAAAGTCCGTGTATTACTTTGAGGGACACAGTGAGGGGACATCTGAGTGAGCTCAGACACCAACCTCCCTGCAGGGGGACAGGAGGGGACTGCCTGGTAGATGCTTCTCAGAACCACCAGGGGGTGCTCCGGACATCAGGGGGCGCTAAGAACCATCAGGGGATGCTCAGGACACCAGGGGGTGCTCAGGACACCATGGGTTACTCAAAACCACCAGGGGGCGCTCAGAACACAAGGGGGCACTCAAAACCACCAGAGGGTGCTCAGAACCACCATGGGGCACTGATGACAAGAAGGGATGTTCAGAACCACCTGGGGGTGCGGAGCCTCAGGAAAACAGCGGGTGCTCAGAACCACCAGGGGGCACTCAGGACACTGGGGTGGGGGTCACTCAGAACCACCAGGGGGCACTCCAGACACGGTGGTGAGGGGTAGCTCAGGATAGCAGGGGTGCTCAGAACCACCAGGGGGCGCTCAGGACACTGGGGGGGGGTGTGGCGGGGGGGGTCACAGAGAACCACAAGGGGGCACTCCAGACACAGTGGTGAGGGGTAGCTCAGGATAGCAGGGGTGCTCAGAACCACCAGGGAGCGCTCAGGACACTGGGGGGGGGGGGGGGGGTCACTCAGAACCACCAGGGGGCACTCCAGACACTGTGGTGAGGGGTAGCTCAGGATAGCAGGGGTGCTCAGAACCACCAGGGGGCACTCAGGACACTTGGTGGGGGTCACTCAGAACCACCAGGGGACACTGGAGACACCAGGGAGCCCTCAGGACACTAGGGGGAGCTCAGAAACACCAAAGGGCAATCAAGACACCAGGGGGATCTCAGAACCACCAGGAGGTGCTCAGGACACCAGGGGTCTCAGAACCACTAGGGTGTGCTCAGAACCACGAGGGGGCCCTCAGGACCCCAGGGGATGCTCAGATCCACTAGGGGGATCTTAGGACCCCAGGGGGCTCAGAACCACTAGGGGGTTTTGAGGACACCAGGGGGCGCTCAGGACACCAGGGGGTGCTCAGAACCACCAGGGGGTACTCAGGAAACCAGGGGACTCAGAACCACTAGGGAGCACTCAGGACATGAGGAGGCACTCAGAACCACCGGGGACGATCGGGACACCAGGTGGTTCAGAACCACTAGGGTGTGCTCAGAACCACCAGGGGTGCTCAGAACCCCAGGGGGGCGCTCAGGACACCAGGGGCATCTCAGAATCACCAGGCCGTGCTCAGGACACCGGGGGGTGCTCAGGACCTCCAGGGGCGCACAGGACGCAAAGGATAGCTCAGAACCTACAGGGGGCGATCAGAACACCAGGGTGCGTTGAGGACAAGGGGCTCACAGGACACAACGATGTGCTTAGTAAACCAGGGGTTGCTCACAACCACCAGGGGGTACTCAGGACACCAGGGGGTGCTCAGGAAACCAGGGAGCAGTGAGGACACCAAGGGGCACTGAGGACACCACTGCTCCCTTAGGAGGCAGCTCCAAATCAGGTCCCTGAGTGGGAGCAGGGAGGAGGGTTCCTCTTGTATCTTGCCACTAACATGGTGGGAGTTTTTCTGCTTCCTTTGTGGTTTCAATCATTGGCAGATTCTTCGGTATAAAGCAGAGCAAGTATAAAGCTCTGCTTTCTTGTATTGTGTCATGTTTTTGGCTTTGGATGCTACCAGAATTACGTTGTACTTTGAGAGGATTCATTCATGGTGTGTGCAATAGTGAATGAAAGCGGTAATTTTAGGGGTGGCTTTGAAAGCTATGTTAGGTGTGGCTGAGGGCAGTTTACAGGAAATGGTCATCACTATAGAAGGCTACTCATTTCTTTGCACATTTGCATAAGCAATTGTACTTTATGAATTAAAAACTGCATGTTTTCTTGGCCCTTTTTCTTAAATGGTCCCACTCTAAGGGCAGTAATGTAATCAAGCTGTGTTTCAAAGACCTCCAATCAAGTTAAGTCTGTTTAGTGAAATGCTTTGTAAAGAAAATGTACATCTATTTTTCAGAGTCACCTTTACATTTTACATTGCTTTACAAATATTAATTTGGTAAATTTAGACTCATAATTGTCTTCAGTAATTTAAAATCTTAAACTCATGTCATGTTAAATTAAGTAATCCTAGGCTTCTCACTGTGAATTAGGGTTACTAAAAATTAGAATAGTAAGAGAGTATAATCAATTTATGGTGAAGTTTATAAAGAAAGATGAGGATATGTTTTTGGCTTAAAAATATTTTGTTTTCCGGTTTACAGGGCCTTTCTACTGGTTTTAAGATGACAACCACTGTTTACATCTAACCCTTTTTTGTTGAACATCTGTTGAGTTTGTATTGATATTCCATAGCTAGAGTTTTAAAGTAAAAGCTCTAGTATCTTTGTATTAGTGTGAATGTGTGCTTGTATGTATTATGTACATATATATATATTTTTTTGTTATGTGTTATGGCTACAAGGTACAAAATTGACTTTAAAATAAATAACTATTTTAAATTAAGTCAATGAGCCCTAACGCATCTGAAGTACATGTAACTTAAATAAATATGTAATAAATAAGCTGGCTTCAAAATTATTGGTAAAATAAAATTAGAAATATTTTAACAATTATCAGAATACCTTATGGTTTATATCAATTGATCAAGTGATTTTATATTTAAAATTGCAGCTGGATGTTATATGGTGTGAAACATTTCTATGAAGATTATAAAATTATTAACCTAGTTAAAACCAGAATGATCTTTGTAATTTGACAAATAAGATGTTTAATATTATTGTTTTAATAAAAAACAGGTAAATAGTTATTGGAAATACAATCATTTATTTAATAAGAATTTTACTTAGGTAAACACCTGAAATTCATGGGTTATAATATGGATAACAGGGAAAAAGCTTTAAAGGATGAGTATTATAGTTTTCATAAATGATCTAGGTAAGCTATTTAAAAAATAAATTAAGTTAATGTAACACAATAAACCTTTTAAATAAACTTGTTCTACAATTTAAAAATCTAAAGTTTAATTAAATAATAGATATTGACTAAATGTTTAGGTCATTGCTAATCATTTTAAGAATGTATACTATAAGAAAATATTTTTGTAAAATATTTGTTCTTACAAAAAGATTTTATTTAATTCAGAGGTTACTTATAAAACATCCTAAACATAACCAGTAAATAAGAGAGATGCCACTGCACTCCAGCCTGGGTGAAAGAGCAAGATTCTGTCTCAAAAAAAAAAAAAAGAAATTTTTAGACATAGAGGAGTACTTTTGGTGTGAAAGGTTAAAATAAAAAAATAAAAATAATTTTATATGAGAAAGAATCTTGTATTGCAACTTTTTATCCTAAAATAAAAATGACTTTATTTAAGAAAGAGTGATGTTTAGAATAAAACTATATGTTCAAGTATGCCATAAGCGTTTTTTGTAAGTCAAACTAAGGTTTGTAAAAAGTTAATTTATTAAAATAACTTCATATTATGAAGTTGACTATAATTAAAAGGGAAGTATTTATAATAGTCCTTATAGATTTGTAGAGATCTGGCTTTCATATAAAAATATATAAATATACTAAAGATTGGTTAGAATGAAAAATTGTCTTAAAGTATTGATTTACTCAATAAAATTATAAGATATTTTAATTTTTTAACCCAAAAGTTTAACTCTTAAACTGCGTCTTGCCAGTTTTATTCTCTTTTGAGAAGGCTTGAGAGGATCTCAAATTTTTCATGAGCTCATCTAACAATTTTTTTCTTACAGCAGTTAGCCTCTAACAGAGTTAACTTCTAACGTTGTTAGCTTCTAACTGCTATGATTGCCTGATGCTAAAAATCTTTTATATTAAAGTTCTTAATAAAATGTTTTATTTCAATATAGTATTCTGCACTCTTGGGTTTTTTAAAATGTCTATATTTGTCTATGAAACCAAAATCTTCACTTGTAATCCAAGACACATTCTTCCTATGTCTAATTAATCAAATACTTCGTTTCATTAGAGTTGACTTGCAGGTTATCTACATGGATTTCCCCACAGGGAAACACAGTCACACTGCTGAAGGTGTTTTTTTTTCCCATTTGGTAAATGGCATAAAACAAATTTTATATTTTCTTGAAATACTTCCTCTGTAGTTGTTTTTAAGTTTTTCAACTACTTAGGAATACTGAGATTTTGAGAAAATATAAATTAATGTTATTACGTTAATGTAACTATCTGCGTAACTTTTAAAGGCCTTGTGCTGCTACATTACTGATCTTTGATTCCTAGGTCTAAAAAGGATACACAACACTTTGGGAGGCTTTGGAGGGTGGATCTCCTGAGGGCAGGAGTTAGAGACGAGCCTGGCCAAAACGGCACAATCCCATTTTAATAAAAAATACAAAAATTAGCTGGGCGTGGTGGCGGGCGCATGTAATCCCAACTGCTTGGAAGCCTGAGGCAGGGAGAATTGCTTGAACCTGGGAGGCAGAGGTTACAGTAAGCCGAGATTGCACCACTGCACTCCAGTCTGGGTGAGACTCTGTCTCAGGAAAAACAAATAAATACAATAAAAATAAAAAAGACACCGAGTCTTGCTAAATTTTAAACTCTGACAGCAATTGAAGCCCCATCTAGAGATGTGGAAGAAAATGACAATAAAAATTAATCACACACTTAAGACACAAGGCCAGAAATTGAATCTACTCAACCACTCCAGGCCCAGGGACTGTTACAGAAGAAGTGGTTTGTAAGATTGTAAAAGCTAATTTTGAAAGATGAAATTACTTGAAAGTTTCTTTATACAGTAAACATTAATTGACAAGGGTTTCTTGAAGAATTAATCCACTTTTTAATTTGAAAAACTTATAAAAGTTTATAAGAGATCATTTGAAATTAAATTTTATGGTAAAAGTAATTATAATGTAATAGATTTATTTTTCGGAATTGAGAGACAGTTTTAACTTCTCTCATGCTGTTCTTATAAGGGGTTATTGTTTAGAAAATTAATTCTTCTCTTTGAAAAATAAAAGTTTTTGCTTTCTTTCAAAATCACTGAGTTCTCACTGGACTAAATAAATAACTTACATTACAACAATCTGTAATCCTATTTTGTAATATCAAACATTGTAAACTTTTGATATTTGACAAACTTCACAAAATAAAATTCTAAATGCAGTCATTTGACCTCATTATTCTTTTCTGATATTAGGTCCCCAAAGCCAAAATTAAACTTATTCAGCTTATTTGGTATAATTAAAATATGCAGGGAGCTACGTCAAATTTGCAAAAGTGTTTTAACTTTGGACTATATTTAAATAAATGTGGACTATATAATTGGACCATATTTATATAAATTAAAGAGCATATTTTCCAAAATTGTATGAGATCCAAGTGATTTGATATGTCTTAGTATATTTTATCGGTAGTGTTTATGATTATTATGTAAAATTTCTGTTTATTGCAGAAGTAACCAAATTTTCCCCTCAATTCTGCCTTTAACCATGGCTATTCTAAAACTTCAGTCATCCACAGTTGGTGTTTTACTTTGATTCTTTATCAAGTGGCTTATAATAATCTATAGAATTTTGAGGAGTACTCTTAAATATACGATTGTGACAATTTTATAAATTGTGCCATTGGTATAGAGATTAAAACTTCCAAGACTCTCATTGATACCTGATTGATTTCTGATGATTGTTAATCTAATATTAAGCAGGACAGGACTTAATTGAATGAACTGAATTGACAGAAGACTGAAATTATTTTTATGGCTTATTCTTTAAAGCATTTGCTAATTACTTATGTTCTGTTTTTTCAGAATCAGGAAAAGTTTGTCTTTTAAGCTATTCACAGTTGTTAACAATTGAGTATGGTATACTTTATTAAGAAAAAAATAAAAACATAATATCTTCTTATATACATAATTTCTCCAAAATTTGGAAACTGTGAGTATTCTTATATCAAAATAGTTATTTGCATAGGTTCAATAAAAATCTGCTTTCTTCCATAACAGGGCACAATTGGAGACAATGGTCATTTTACTAAGTCTTTAACTTGAATTATATATTTTCATATTTACTTTATAAAATGAATCTAACCTGGAGAGCTGATAAAGCCCTTTGGGAAAACTGGCATGTACCTTTTTTTTTTTTTTTACAGGGCCCTGAAGTGTAGTAAGTAAACAATTTAATTTCTGACAGACCCAGGACTCCCAAGTTTTCTTGGAAACTTGAAAAAAGAGAAAGTAACCCAATTCACATAGCTATCTGGTGGCACAGATAAAATATTGACTGGGCTTGAAGATTTTAAAGATTCTACCCTTTGACTCCTTACAAAAAATTTCTAGCAAAGTCCATTTATGAATAAAATTGCCTATGTACAAACAAAAAATAGAAAACAAAAAAAGAGAGCTAATATGTTAAATGATTATTTTGCTGCCTCTTATACAAAAAAACCAGGCCAAGTCTCATAAGCCTAAAACTGATTTTACAAATAAATTGGTCCTACTATGATTTTGTCTCGAATAAAATTGGGGAATTATAGAGAGAAATATTATTTCAAAATAAACTATAGTGCATCAGTTAATAGATTTTAACCTTGTCCACTCGCTTTTCAATTTATATTATCTTCTACAATTTGGACTGAATTTTAAAGCGTATCTTTGCACAAGTCTCCAAAATAACGTTTTCAATTATTTCCCTTTTTAAATATTTTTCCTAACTTGAAACCAGCAGAAGTTAAGCTGTGCTTTCTTACAGCTAGACAATGTAAATTCTAAAGAAAATAAAATCAATGATATGGTTTGGCTCTGTGTCCCTACCCAAATCTCACCTTTTATTGTAATAATTCACACATTGCAAGGGTGGAATGAGGTGGAAATAATTGAATCATACGGGCTGTTTTCTTCCTGCTTTTCTCCTGTTAGTGAGTGAGTTATCACAAGATTTGATAATTTTATGAGGGGCTTCCCTCTTCACTTAACACTTCTCTCTCCTGCAGTCATGTGAAATAGCATGTGTTTGCTACCCTTTGCATCATGATTGTAAGTTTTTTGTGGCCTCCCCAACCATGAAGAACTGTGAGTTAATTAAACCTATTTTTCTTTATAAATTACCCAGCCTCATGTATGTCCTTATAGCAACCTGAACATGGACTAATACAAGCAACTTAATTACATATGAAGTCTCCTTTTGTACCTGCCTATTGTGAAGAGAAAATAAATCTTGAGACCCCAAAATCACTAAGCTAAAGAGAAGAGTCCAGCTGGTGTAATAGGAGATAGAAAGAAATTATTTAGGTAGATAGTTAGGATGAAAGAGTCTCTGGCAAAAACTTTTCTTCTAACAAGAATCAGCTCAAAAATAACTTCTTTTCTAATCAGACACAGTTCAAAGAGATCACTTCTAACAAAGAGCAGCCTGAAAGATCGGGCTGTAAAATATAGATAAACAACTCTGGCAGAGAGGGTATTTCTGTTTGTAATCACCAAAGTTCACATACATAGGATGGGTCCCAATAAAAACACTGGGCCTTAATGAGCACATTCCTTTCCTTTTCTGGGGTCACACTGAGCTAGGAAAGCTGTTAGCTTGTACGGGGTTTGGGATGCCCCCAGCTGCAAGGAGGTACCTGGGACCTGGCATGGAAACTCCTCCCTCCTTTTTCAGCACACGCATGGTGGAAGGAGATAAGGAACGTGGAGCAGACCAAGCTAAGTCCCCACCTGCATAATAAAAGCATGAGATGGGGCTGCCAGAGACTTCGCTCTATGCAGATGGCACACCTGGTCCTGTTTTTGCATCCTATGTTGATAAGATACCCTCTCCCCAGTAGCACATTTATAAAAATCCTTACATTTTACTGCAGCACAGCAACCCATTTGGGACCCCTTTCTGTGACAGAGAGCTTTTTTTTTTTCCTTTTACATATGAAATTTCTGCTCCAACCTCACCTTTTGTGTGTCTGTGTCCTTGATTTTCATAGCCACGACACAAAGAACCTTCGGTGATATTCCAGAAAACAAGGGTGTTTTACTGGAAAGGGCTTTGGGCAAACCTGCCTCCCTTTCTATTCAAAGTCATTCCTCTGAGGCCCACATGAGACAGATACATATCTGATTGCTTCCTCTTCAGTATCACTTATGAAAAAATGAAGATTCACTAAGTCTGACTAAATTGTGGATTCAGTGGTAGGCTGATAAAGGACTTAAAACAATGCAATCTACTGTGTCTTATCTACTTCTAAACTGCAAAACCCCCTCTCAATTTGTCCTGTCTTGAAGGAAAAAAAAAATGTACATTTTACATATATTGATTGATGTCTCATGTCTCTCTAAAATGTATAAAAGCAAGCTGTACTTCTATCACCTTGGGCACATGTCTCAGGACTTCCTGAGGCTTGCCATGGGTGGGTTCTTAACTTTGGCAAAATAAATGTATTAGTCTGTTCTCCTGCTACTAATAAAAACATAACCAAGCCTGGGTAATTTGTAAAGGAATGAGGTTTAATGGACTTATGGTTCCACATGGCTGGGGATGCTTCACAATCATGTCAGGAAAGCAAGGGACATCTTACATGGTGGCAGACAAGAGAGAGTTTGTGCAGGGGAACTCCCCTTGATAAAACTATCAGATCTAATGGGACTTATTCACTATCATGAGAACAGCATGGGAAAGTGCTGACTTACTGCAGGAGAACTACGTAATTTTATATTTCCCTATGTGCTTCTTTTTCATTACACATGTAAATTTTCTTACCATCCAAACTTCCCCTCTACCCAGCTTTTCCTCTGTGTATATTGAAAGCCCTAAAAATCGTCTTTAAGGAATGGCACTAACCACACACAGTTTCTGTGGTTACTTTTATTTTTCTTCCAGGCTGTCCTAACTTTGAGAAAATTAATTTTAATTTGATTGAGATCTGTCTCAGAAACCTTTGGTTTACACTAGGAAAGATCCCAAATTAGGAGCCAATTACTGTAAAAATCAGCCATACCACTCTGCGTGTGTGTGTGTGGGGGGGGTGGTTGGTGTATATGTGTGTGTACATGCATGTTTTCATTTCTGTGGGCTTTAAGCCATGTAGTTCTCTCTGTGAAGATACTTTTTGGCATGAACTTTGAATAGAGAATTGTAAGAGAAATAAGAGGCTCCTATGAATTATCTGAAAGTTTCTGGACTCACCATGGATCTTGACTGTGTCATTGCATCTGACAGTCCCAGGGAAGTGACTCTCTGGTGGTTTCATGAATCTGTGCTTGGGCTCTCCCTGCAGTTTACTGGGTATAGTAATGACAAATCACTGTTTCAAGAGACAATTTCAAAAGCATCAGATGCTGCTGAAAGAGGATTGTGAACCAGGGGACAGCCCTTTCATTCTGGGAGAGCAACATTGGGAGAATATGCTCTGTGAGCCCAAACAGCATCCTCCCCAGCAGGGTGAGGGCAGAGCTGCAGGGCAGGCCCAGAACCCACTCAACACAGACGTCAGCCCTGAGCTGGTGCAAAGGAGTCTGAGGAGAAAATTTTACCAGCATCTGAATTACACTTATTTCAAACAAAAATGCATGTCCTGTGAGTGTTTGTTTCACTATTAGAGGAGTTCTGTACTCATGAAGTTCTGGACATGCCAGCGGACAAATATCAGTAAACAAACATCAGAACTTGAACCTCAGCTTCCCACTGTTGCATTCTCCATGTGTCATCTCTATTATTTCTCATGCTAGATCAGGTATTTAGCTATGAAATATTCCAGTTAATTAACATGTAAGTAGCTTGAAGTCTACTGAGTTAAATACATATATTTTCTCCTGTTTTTCCCAGGTGTTCCCTCCCACACCTCCAATAGTCTCCACTATTATCATCGTCTTCTAGATCTTCTGCGATGCCCTGGAGATTAAGGATTTGATTCCATGACAGAGAGGAGGTACATTTCGATGGAACTTTGGTGAGAACCTTGGTTTTTATCCCATTTCCTCTGGGGCTCCACCAGTGCCTCTGGAATCATGGTTTCAGTGGCTTGCCCCTGTATGGTAGGTAATCCCTTTATTCTGTAGTGCTGATGAGGGAGGTGGGTCTGAACGCATTTCGGTAGTATGGGCTCTCCTTCTGTCTCAGACAGACACTTTGGGAAAGGAAGATTTTTCTGAGTGTCCTCATTCTAGAACAAAGGGATTCAATTGTATAGGAATGCGGATAATAGAAAACCTTCAGCCAAATTAAGGTTAATGAGATTAATTGAGCAATGGATGATTCATGAATTGGGCAGCCCCCAGAATCGCAGCAGATTCAAAGAGACTTCAGTGCAGTCACATGGTGGAAGAAGGTTTATAGATTAGAAAAATGATGTACAGAAATCAGAAGTGAGGTACAGAAACAGCTGGATTGGTTACAGGTTGTTTTTGTCTTATTTAAACAAAATGTGCACACTCAAGAGTGTATGAGTGGTTGAGGTATGGCTGCTGGAATTGGCCAAGACTCCGCTATTGTTACAGGCTCATGCTCTGAAGTTGGCTTTTCAATCTTGTCCACCTATTCAGGTAGGTTACAGTTTGTCCAGAAGGACTCAAACACAGAAGTACGGAGTCCTTCTCAGGCCATATTTAATTCACTTTATCAGTGCCCTTCAGTATGTGGTTCCTGAGAATTTTACACGACAACACGTTTACCTCACTGGAATTTAAGCAATCCAACACGTTTGTAGCTTTGTCTTGTTTTATTTATTTATTTTTTTATTTTTTGAGACGGAGTCTCGCTCTGTCGCCCAGGCCGGACTGCGGACTGCAGTGGCGCAATCTCGGCTCACTGCAAGCTCCGCTTCCCGGGTTCACGCCATTCTCCTGCCTCAGCCTCCCGAGTAGCTGGGACTACAGGCGCCCACCACCGCGCCCGGCTAATTTTTTGTATTTTTAGTAGAGACGGGGTTTCACCTTGTTAGCCAGGATGGTCTCGATCTCCTGACCTCATGATCCACCCGCCTCGGCCTCCCAAAGTGCTGGGATTACAGGCGTGAGCCACCGCGCCCGGCCTGTAGCTTTGTCTTGTAATAGGCTATATTTCATGTGGCAGCCTCGGCCTCAGTTTAGCTAACACTATGGCTTCATTTCTCTCTACAAGAACTCATTTCTTTCAAGATTTCCACGTTCCTGAAAGGAAAATAAACCTTTGGGACCACCAAATCACTAAGCCCAAGGGAAGTCAAGCTGAAAACTGTTTGGGGTAAATCCACCTCCATTATTTCACTAAAATGATAGCTACTACGGTTTTTAAAAGCTACAGACCTCCTTCAAAATTTGACCACAAGTAAAATCCTTGTGGGCCAAAGACAGACAGAGTCATTTCTCTGCTCATGTAAGTCAAATGCATATCTGATTGCTCCCTTTGCTCTATTATTTCACTAAGCCAGATTAAGGCCTACGTGACTATTCCTGTAAATTGTGCATTCAGTTAAAGGCTAATCAGAAACTCAAATAATGCAACCATTTCTCTCAAACCTACCTATGATCTAGAAGCCCTCTCCCCACTTCAAGTTGTCCTGCCTTTCTGAACTAAATCAATGTACATCTTATATACATATATTGATTAATGTCTCATGCCTCCCTAAATTGTATAAAACCAAGCTGTGCCCACAAGCTTGGGCACACATCATCAGGACTCCCTGAGGCGGTGTCACAGGCATGTCCTTAATCTTGGAAAATGAACTTCCTAAATCTATTGAGATTAGTCTCAGATACTCTTTGGTTTACAGGTTTGTTTTTTGTTTCATAACTTCAATTATTTGACATGCTAAAGAAAATTTGCCAAATAGCACATTCTCTTGTTTACGTGTTATTGTTGTTGCAAAAATAATATATTTTATATATAATTTATCATCTATGTACATTACCAAATTGAGTAGCAGATTTATTAGTAAGACCCAAAGTAATGAAAAGTTTGAATACCAATTAGCAACTTAGAAAAACAAATTATGCTACATTTGTTTGCTGAAATGCTACCTATTATTTATTAAAAAATAAACAATACAACATAAAAGGTTTAATTCTCGGTATTTCTACTGAGAAAAATAAGCCAAATAGATAAGAGTACATACTATATTGTTTCATTCTTATAAATTCTAGAGAATAAAAACTAGTCTAAAGAAATATGAAAACATCAGTACTTTTATAAAGAAATGGTAGAAGAAAAGAGGAGAAAAACAAAATTATGTCTGTAAAAGAGCAAGAGGAATTCTGAGGTGAGTTGACTTGTCACCTTCTTGAAAATAGAGATTTTCTTTATCAAAGTTTACTGTTATGCAGGTTAAATATGTGAATTTTATCATCTGTCAATTAAAACTCATAAAATGTATTACAAGTAAACAAGTGAAATTTTAGACAAAAAAGGGATGATAAGAAGGAACAAATGAATACATTAAATATCAGATACACCAAAAATTTATCTGCCTGATGCCTAGATGTTTCCGTATTTTTAGGTAAATGCAGCAAAATCACACAGGTTCTCGTGGCAGGAAGTGGATTCTGCAAACCACACTAGGCCCATTTAGCTCTGTCCAATAGTTGGTTAAGAGAGCAATTGAGGCCAGCTGTGAGGAGCATAGGCCCAGGTACTAGGACTCACTCATGCCAGATATAAGCCCTTAGACACATACATAGCCCCTCCATGTGTGGGTTCACTTTTACATCTGTAAACGAAGAAACCACTGAGTGCTAAATAACATCATTTATACACATAGGTAAAAATAATTAAAAATATGATAGTTGTTAAATGTTTATCGCACAACAATTTCACATTAAGACAGCATTTTCCCAAACACAATCATTGTCATCAAAATCCCCCAGGACGCTCTCATCTACTCTGGGCCCTGCCCTCTCCTCAGGAGTCCCACCCCATAGCTTGCTATATAGTAGGTGACATGCAAATAGAGCCCTCCCTCTCCTGATGAAAACCAGCCCAGCCCTGACCCTGCAGCTCTGGGAGTGGAGCCCCAGCCTTGGGATTCCCAGGTGTTTCCATTCAGTGATCAGGACTGAACACACAGGAATCACCATGGAGTTTGTGCTGAGCTGGGTTTTCCTTGTTGCTATATTAAAAGGTGATTCATGGAGAACTAGAGATATTGAGTGTGAATGGGCATGAATGAGAGAAACAGTGGGTATGTGATGTGTGGCAATTTCTGACCTTTGTGTCTCTCTGTTTGCAGGTGTCCAGTGTGAGGTTCAGCTGGTGCAGTCTGGGGGAGGCTTGGTACAGCCTGGGGGGTCCCTGAGACTCTCCTGTGCAGGCTCTGGATTCACCTTCAGTAGCTATGCTATGCACTGGGTTCGCCAGGCTCCAGGAAAAGGTCTGGAGTGGGTATCAGCTATTGGTACTGGTGGTGGCACATACTATGCAGACTCCGTGAAGGGCCGATTCACCATCTCCAGAGACAATGCCAAGAACTCCTTGTATCTTCAAATGAACAGCCTGAGAGCCGAGGACATGGCTGTGTATTACTGTGCAAGAGACACAGTGAGGGGAAGTCAGTGTGAGCCCAGACACAAACCTCTCTGCAGAATGCTTGGGGGAAATCAGCTGCGGGGGGCACACAGGACCCACTGATCAGAGTCATCCCCAGAGGCAAGTTGCAGATGGAGGCTGGTTTCCTGTCAGGATGTGGGACTTCATCTTTTTAGAGTTTCTCTAGGGAATCTCTCTAAGTTCAGAATTCTGTGCTTACCAATGTCATCTCTACATATTTTTAAAATGATTATTTTAATATGAAAACCTATTCTCCTATGCACAAAACACAGATTGATGCTTACAGAGATGAAAAGCCCTCAACCATTGTCACCAGGATCAGAGTATTGAGGAAACTCAGGGATACCTGGTGAGTCTTCTCCAGTCAGACTCAGGACAGAAACCTCAGTGAGATTCCCTGACTAGGACGGTCTTTAGGAATTGTGATCACAGCCAATAGAGTCTGGGCCAGGGTCAGTGTCGTGTAGAACCTCACAGTTTTCATTCCTGACCCTTCTCCTGACACTAAAGTATGCAACTTAGTATCAGCACTGATCTGGGGCCCCTTTTGCTCTTAGCCCACTCTATTTCTTTTTATTTGTTGTTGTTGTTCTTGCTCTTCCTTGTGCTGTTCGTGCTTCCTGTAAAGTGGGGATGTGGTTCTTGCTGCCAAAGCTCGAGGTCTCAAGCCCATTCCCTGCAGCTGAGGTGGGGCTCAGGCTGTGGCTCCTGCAGCCATGTGGGAGAGGCTGATAGGACTTTTCTCTCTCCCATTGCTCAGCACCCTCCAGTGTGTCATGTGGAGACTCACCTGGGAATGCAAGTGGCCAACAGTAGTGAAGAGGATGAGCTTGTGTGGTCAAAATGGGATGTGGATGTGAAATTTATCCTGTGCTGTGCAAAGTACCACAGAGTGAGTCACCTTCCTCACCAGTAGTGTTAGAAAGAGGGTGTGAAAGTTGTCAGAATCAAAATAGATCCACTTGTGTTAAAACCCTGACAAAAGGAACTAGGAATGACCATGAAGGAGGTTTCCCATGCACATACTCCTGATAACAAGAACGACCATGAATGGATTCTGCTTAACCACAACCTTTGATAGAAGCCACCATGACCTTATAAAAATCACATCTACAAGGACATCTTCCCAGCAAATCACTGTTTAACCCTATATTGATGCCAACCTTGGTATTGACTCTACAAGCAAGGAAAATACTCTCAAAACAATTTATGTAACCCACCTCATTTTCACTAATAAACCTATGGATTGACATCCTGGAGTCACTGCTGCATTTGTTGTTAATTGTAATTAGCCCCTTTTACAATGTTTGTGACTGTTTTTCTCCGATGTCTCTTGGAAAATAAATAATTTACAAGTTGATGGCAGTAAAGAAGCTATTTAGGACATTTTTAACATCCTGTTGAATATTTCTGCATAGCACATCGATCCCCTAAAATACTTCGCTGTATTGGCATGTGATAAATCAGAGTATAATGCTGAAGGTAAAATGGAAAATACATGGGCTTTTGATGAATCAAGTCATAGGGTGATATTGTCTTTGCCCTTGAGGAAGCAGACCATGGGCTGTTAAGTTCTAGTGGGAGTACCTTTGGCAAAAGGATTTCATGAGTTTCTGAATGTTATGCTACTTTCAATTTAAGAATGCAACTTGTCATTTATTTTTACTTAAATTTTTCCAGAAGATATTTGGCAGTAAGGACAGGGTAGCATTCGTGTGATACTGATGACTTAGAGAATTATTTTGTAATTTCTCCTGTAAGGTATGCACATTGCTCACTCGATACAGAAGGTCAAATGTCACAGGTGGGAAAATAGGAATAAAGCAAATTTTATTAAATGTCATGACTGTAGTTTTTGGCAAGGAAGTGCTTCATGTCAACCTGAAAACAGACAGACAACAATAAAACATATTCAAACCCACAGGGAGTCAGACCTATGTCCTTCTCTCGTATAAGTACAAGGCCTTGCCACATCCAAACTATCCTTTAAGCTCCAGGGTATAAAATGCTTTTGGACTGTGGAAGCTAACAGCTCTCCCCTCAGGCAGGGCTAAGGTATCTGGGGAATGCAGAGTTGTGTTCACGAAGAAGATGGCATTATGTCTGTCTTCTCCTGTGCCTGGTGACGGCTCCCCCAGGGTGAGTGTCTCAGATGTGGGTCTATGGGGTGAGTGTAGGTACATGTGACTGACAGGGACTGATTCCCCATGTACTCACATGCCCTGTCCCAGGAGCAGCTGCAGGAGTCAGCCCTGGACCTGAAGAGCCTGCACTGCCCCTCTGCATCACCTGCACTGTTTCTGGCCACTCCATCACAACCAGTCCTTACTACTGGGCCTGGATCTGCCGGCTCCCAGGGAGGGGCTGAAATGGGTAAAATGCATTGCTAGTGGTGGTGGGAATCCATTCATCTTGTGGAAAATGGCAGCATCTCTTTATTTTATAAGGCAGAATCATGTTATATTGTATACACATACCACATTGTCTTTATCCATTTGTCCATCGACAGACACTTAGTTTCCATATCTTGGCTGTTGTGAATAATGCTACAATAATCACAGGAGAGCAGGTATCTTCACAAGGTGGTAATTTCATCCCATTTGGGTATATTTCCATAAGCTGGATCGCTGGTCATATGGTATGTCTGTTTTAATTTATTTAGAAGCCACCACACTGTTTTGCATAATGGTAATGATGGGAATGTAGAATGTCATAGCCACTATGAAGAACAGTTTTAGATTTGAGGTATAATCCAAAAACACATAGTGTTTGATCATGGTTCTCATATGAGGCTCTAATAAACCTAGTGGAAGTCCAGAAAGTTTTCCCACCTTGGGCAAGGATGAGTTTGCCCCTAATTATCTTTAAGGCAGAATATTTGCAGAATGTGAGATGGAGTCTGTTGGCAGGATTCAGGATGATTCAGTAATAAATAGTAATGGCACAGAAAAATAGGGAGTTAGAGACATGCAGAGAAAGAAAGAGATAGAGAGAATATGAATCTTGTAAGAGGAAAATCTGCTGGATATCAGTGTTGGGTTTTCATTCACAGAGACATCAGTGTGAGTGAGAAACCATGAATTCAAGTGAGGAGTGGAGAACATGTTCAGTCTGAAAATCAGCATATTCTCAGAGGCACCCATTGCCCCATGACACAGGTGGAGAATTTTGGAAACCAGTGAAGTGTGAGTTCACAATAAGTGATGAAGTTATCATTTTTCCAAACTTTCATTAATATGCAAAGTATTTCTATAGATCACTCATGCATATACACACAAAATGTGTTTTTGCATTTATGGATGTCTAGAGAAAAATAAGTGAGAAAATTTTTCCAGGTTGCAGAGATCTGTTTAAGTTGCAGATTCCATAGGAATGGATACTGGTCTATTAATTAAATAGTTCAAAATTCTCTCTGTTGGAGCAGCCTTCCAATTATGTAGATTTCTTTATTGCTTCTTGAGTTGTGAAACATAAACCCAAGGATTGACTTACTGGAATTCGACTGGTGTGTTCATAAAATTTCTGATAAGTTTTCTCCCAATGATTTGAGAATAGCTTTCCTGTTTTTTTACTCAAGGAAATGAATTTTCACAAGGTTTCAGGACATCACATTTCAGGCGTTTTACTTAAAGAGACTCTGCCTGGGTGCAGTCAGCTTTCTTCTAACCATGAACTCACTTCTTCAGCAAACCATTCAGTTTGTGCCTCTATTAAGAATGATGAAGCTTTTAAACTTCAATGCACTGAAAATCATGCCCCTTGAATTAAATGTGGATTGGCACTGACATGAATTGGCCACTCTTGGATATGTATCCTATATTATGGGCTCAACTTATTAGCGGACTGAGAATCCTGCATTAGCTGCCTCTGACTGTGGCACTGACCAGATTGAGAATCCTCAGAGTCATCCATGGAAAAGAGAATCCTTAGGTTCATGGGGTTTTTGGAGACATTCAGGTGAGTGGAGGGGAGAAACAGGACTGGGGGTGGCCAGCCATTTCAACAATACTGGGAATGATTAGCATCTAAGTATAAAGGTCTGCATCACTCAAAACACCCTGCATGACAGGCTGACAGAAAGAAATCCAACCCCACAGTGGCTCCATAGCAACTCTTTAGTATACTTGGTAGTGAAGCTCTTTCAGGGAAGAAACGTCCACTCAAGGGACTCAGTGATGCTTCTCTGAGCTACAATAAACAGTGTATTGGACCCAGGTTTCTCTGAGTTCAATGTGATGATTACACTCAGCTGCTGCTCCAATGAGTTTAAATGAGCATGTGGCAATTTAGATGAGCCTGGCTGTGTGGTATGTTATATGTAAATCTGAACTATGTAAACATAAAGGGCATGTCTGAACTAGTGTGAGGGTGAGAGATCTTAGAGGCCCCACACCTCACACTCTTGTGCTTATTTGCTCCAGGAACCTCCAGGTTCTTCGAGTGAAAATCGACATAGATCCTTTCCTGGATAAATCATCCAAAGACCTAATCTCTGAGAAATACACACGTACATTTCTCCAGATAGACCATCCAGGGGAAAGACATATCTAGAACCTTATCTGTATTGGGTAAGGTAGTCCATCTCCATTACAGACCCTCCCAGCAGCCTTCCTTTATCATGAAAGTGGATAAAATTAGCCGATACTGAAATAATCCTATAATATTACAGCCAGAAAAGGGAAAGCATCAGTTTCATTTCTGGAGACTCTGCATATAGGTCACAGCCCAGAGAAAAAAAGGATGATTGAATTATTAAGAATCAATTGTAAGAACATATAATACTTCCAGGATGCACACTTTGTTTTCTCACCAGTATAATCTGGGTTAAAGATGAAAGTGTGGCAGTGCACAGACTCTATCTGAGGAGGAGAACATAGGGAAACTGAAAGACAATGGCAGAGAAAAAGACAAGGACAGTAGGAAAATCTGAAGCCTCTGACATAAATTTTTTGAAGAAAAGGTCTTGGCAAATCCATTGACCTCAGATTCTTTTATCATGGGGCATTTTCAGGGTTCCTAGCTGAGAAAAAATATTCATGCACTTCCCAAGTCTCCACTTGTATTCTGTTTGCCTTAGATCGCTAAGAGAAAAAAGCCATAAACCTAGGCCTAGTGTCTGTGTATGAGGCGCTTTTATAGGCTAGAAAATAGTAAGAAAGGAGAATATGTGTTATTGGAATAGCATATACAAAGGTGTCTTTATTCTGAATGTATCTGTACCTGCAGATATTCTCAGATGCAACATTCAACTGCAGGAGCCCAACGAAGAAACTAGGCATTCCCCAAATCCTACAAGTTTTTGTATTCATTATGTGTCCACTGATTCAGGAAATGTGAAGCTTCAGAAAAGGGACTCCCTTCTGAGTCATAGAATCTTTTCTGTGGGTATCCCTCAGTAGGTTTAGTGAGGCTAATCAATTGTTAAAAGACATGGTGTTGGCAGCATATGGTGTCACTGGCAGAGAATTCTAAACCAGGACACAGCCACTTCATGCTGGGCTAGAGACTCTGAAGGAAAATATCTGTGAGCTCCGACAGAAACCTCATTGCAAGGCAAGAGCCTGGGTGAAAGGGGGCACTTGGGAGCCACCAAGCACAGGTTCCAGCCCTGGAGCAGGTGCACAGCTGGGGAGGAAGTTTCCTCTCAGGGCCTGGGTTTTCCTTTGTCAGGAAAAAACAATCTAAAATAACTGTTCAAAAAGTCGCTGACGTGCTTTAGGTATTCTATCACATCAAAACCATTCATATAACTTAAGGCACTGAGAACTATTTTTTGAAGTGGGTTTCTAGAACTATAATATCTTAGTAGTGAGAATATGAAGGATGGGCATGTTTTTACTAATTCTATGGGTACAGATTAGTTGAAGAAACTTCATTCCTATGAATAAGAAATTCAGATTTCAGTGTTAAGTAATGTTGCTTACATTGTGTGAGTGACAGGGCAGTAGTGGATCTGAGAGTGTGGCAGGTGCACAGACCAAGTGAGTCAGAAATCAATATGGAAAGGTGAGGGTCTGTGGATATGAACTGAAAGTATGTAAATACTTGACAAAATACTAATAAATGGAGTTCAAAAATAACCCAAAATTGTTCTAAACACAAATTCCTTGACAATTACTTTGGGAGTAGAGAGTTCATAATGGACTCCAAACTCCTGCTTTATCTTCTTCTGATTCCCATTTCTGTGAGATGAGAAAATCAGCTCTAATTATGCATCACAGGGCAAATCTGTAAACCAACAGTGTTCAATAGAATTGAAGATCCTGGGGGATCAGGACATGAGTCAGGTGCTGGAGACAGTGTCTCAGGAGCACCCAGTAGATCTCAGAGGTCCCTCCTGGACACTCATGTGGGACATAAGCGTCACTTTCTCAGAGTCGCCAATGAGCTGTGCTGGTGCCTGATGAGTCCAGGAAAAGACCAAGGCACCTGCTCAGTGTGATGGAGAGTGATGGTTCCAAAAATGATCCAGGTGGTCTCTATGCTAATCAAATATAGGCTTACAGTGAGGAGCCTGTTCTATACGGGCTTATTCTTCAGTGAAAGGATGTCTGTCCACAAATGTTTGTAAATGGAGCAGGGCATGCATTTCCTCAAGCAGGATTAGGACTTCGACCATCTTCATCTCACTCTTGTAAGGCTGATGTGTCATTTATCTTCCCTTTCTTATCACGGATTGGGCTTTGAGTTAAGAAAGGCTTTGTCTTATGAATATGCAAATATACTGATATCCACTGAGGTAAATATGTTCTGTGCCCTGAGAGAATCCCCTGAGAGCACATCTCACCATGGGCTGGACCTGCAAGATCCTCTTCTTGGTGGCAGCAGCCACAGGTAAGGGGTTCCCAGGTCCCAGTAATGAGGAGGGGATTGAGTCCAGTCAAGGGGGCTTTCATCCATCCTGTGTCCTCCCCACAGGTGCCCACTTCCTGGTGCAGCTGGTGCAGTCTGGGGCTGAGGTGAAGAAGCCTGGGGCCTCAGTGAAGGTCTCCTGCAAGGCTTCTGGATACACCTTCACCTACTGCTACTTGCACTGGGTGCGATGGGTCCCTGGACAAGGGCTTGAGTGGACAGGATTTTAGTTATTTGAGATATTTTTCATACAACATTTATTCTGCAAGCAAATTTCAGGGATTGTAGAATGAATCACATTAACAAATCTGATACAGAACTTCCTCTGAATCAATCTTTGTAAACATCAATTTCTGAATCAACGTTGTAAATACTTCGGAACACAAGCACAAGTTCACATTTTAACTCTACTTTTATCTCTATTTAAAAAATGCCAAAAAATCTCATTTTGTGCATGTAACGTTTTGAATTCCCACCATCAATGCATGACATTTCTTGTTTTTCCACATTCATGTTACCATTTATCATCATGAGTATTGTGAGTTTTAGCCATGCTGATAGGTGAGTAATGGCATCTAATATTTATTTAAATGCACATGTCCCAAATAAAAAAATTTATATTAAACAATTTTTATATAATTTTTGCTGAGATGCCTTTCCTGATATTTGGTTCATTTTTATCTCCATTGTTTTCTTTTCATTAGTTGTAAGTTTACTTGCATATTGATTATAAAAGTCATTTAACAAATTGAAAGAATTGATTTAACAAATATATGACTTGGAAGTATTTTCTCCCAGTCTGTGGTTGCCTTTTTCTCTCTTATCAGTGGGTATTTCAAAAAATATGTGTGTGTGTGTGTGTGTGTGTGTGCACAAATTTAGACAAAAAACATAAAAAATTATTCATTCATAGATCATGTATTTGGCATTATATCTGAAGTCTCATTATAAAATACACTAATACTGATTATTTATTCCATGTCTCTAATCTCAGGACACAATCAACTCATGAGTGTTTAGCCTTCACCTATTGATTGGAGGAATATCTGCCTGAGATATTTGGAATACTTCTATAAGAAGACGTGTTCTTCTTCCCATCGTTTCTTTGTTTAATCATCTATTAAAATCCATATTGGTTTATGGATGTCTGTTTCATACTCTGAAGAAGATCCATGCTACATTATTCATTTTCTTGTTCAAATCTCCACAGCTTTATTAGGTGCTGGGAGCTCATTTAGTTTGGATCCTGCATCCTTACAGCAAAGCTGATCCTTTTGTTTTTGAACACTTCCCTGTTTCCTGATATTAAAATAGATTCTAAGCTTGTTTCTTTATCACCTTTTTCATACATAGAATTAGCCATTTATATAAAGATTGCTTGTTTCTGATTTTAAAGAATAGTGTTAAAATAAAATATTGTGATAATGGGTATGTGTGTTGTTAATGTGGTATAAGTACTTCTGGGACTTCTCAACCTTCTGTTCTAGTAAATGAGCATGTTTATATGAATCATGTTTATGGACCCATTGAAATTATGTATCTAATCTTCTGTAACTTGATTACATTAAAAATGAGCACACACTGGTCTCTCCACCCAACTATGCTGCCACATGGACCTTTCTAACCTTCCTTTCTTGACTGTCCATAACCATCCACTACAAAGTGAGGAATCCCATCCAACCATATGCCATTTGATTACTTAGTTGCACGATTTCAGGACACATGCATAGCGGTTTCAGAAATGTAATGCTGTACCCTTGTAGGAAACATGTTTATCTACTAGATAGAGTGCTTATGTGTGATTTCTTTACAATTTAAACTTAGAGAACCACCTCATTTTCAAAGTTGCTTACTTCAGGAACCTCATTTTCCACTTTCTTCAGTGAAGTCATTTCAATTGCAGTGTATAGTTTCATTTATTTGAAATTCTGTAAAAGTCAAAACTATACTCAGGTAAACAGAGAGGATATTCCAGGAATTTAGAGAGTGGGTGTGAAATAAGTAAAACAGGCCTTGTTTAAGAAGAGTTAAGACTAATTTAGTGATATGCAATGGTTGAGACAAGACACAATTAATTTGTCCCAGCTCATAATTTTGTGATGGACAATATAAACCTAAATATACACAATTAAAAATATATTTAGGAATTCATTAACCCCTGGATAAAATGCAGACTGTACAAAATTATCTAATAACATATTTGGGAGTGTGGGGATATTATGAGATGCATGCAACAAAGGAGGAAGTAATTTTCCTCATTTACATATAAGATGTTTCCATTTACTAAAGATATTTTTTTGAAAAAAATCAATTTTCTACTTGACCCAGGTTTTCTCTTCCTGATAAGCAAGTAACCCAGAGGATTCCTTTTCTTTCCTAGATTGAGAAAGATTTTTCCCAAACGTCAGCTGAGTTCAGGCATACCCTGTCCCTGAATGCTCATTTACCCTCAAATGGGTACACACACCTGTCAACATGTGGGCTCTTCTGTCAGACAAACACACCTTTACTCATGTGGATTCTTCCATCAGACAAACACACATGTCCCCACATGGACTCTTTCCTCAGACTACCACATATGTCCTTACATTTACTCTTTCCTCAGAAAACAGACATTTCCTCACATTTACTCTTGTCTCAGACAAGCAAACACGTCCCCATGTGAACTCTTCACTCAGATAAGTACACATATGTCCACATTGACTGTTTCCTGACACAAGTCCATGTATCTGATGTTGAAATATGTTGCGAAAAGTGATCTCAAGATAATGATAATTATAAACCCCCTCCCTAACAAGGTGTAGATCTGCATTATTTTCATTGTAACTCAACTTTGCCACATGGTCAGGAACAGTGGTTTCCAGCTCTAAGTGTACTGATTACGGAGAGATGTCTGTTTTCTCTGGAAATGTATTTTTATGTTCTTACTGGATGTATTTGATGATAATGTTTTCTACTATGAAGATACCTGAATAGTGTCCACACTGGAGAATAAGAAAGAGTAATTGGCAGATTAACCCTGTGTCTCCAGACCCGGGAATCCTTTGACCCTGCCCTCCCTGAAATGGAGACACAGAGGACAGATGAGCAATGCCGAGCGGCGCACCCATGACCACAAAAAGAAAGACATGGAAATATGTCCCCTCCCCTCCTCATGAAAGGCAGCTCATCCCCTGTTCCTTCAGGCCCTGGTGAGGAGCCATCCCATGTGTGTGCCCTTCCTCAGTGTCCACACTGTGGGATCTGCACTGATCTGGGCTTCCCTTCTCATCACCCTCAGTATTAGTGGCCCTTGTGAATCAGGTCCAGCTGGGGCTGCTCCACATGCGGCTGTTCTCAGTCCATTCTCTCTGTGTTTGCAGAAGTCCTATGTGAAGTTCACTGGTGGAGTCTGAGGGGGAAAAATTGTACAGCCCAGCGGTTCACTGAGCCCCTCCTGCAAAGACTCTGGATTCACCTTCACAGATTGCAGCATCAGCTTGGGCCAGCAGACTCCAGGCCTGGGGTTGGTGTGGGTGGCAACAGGGAGAAATTCAAGGGGAAGTTTTTACATGCACCGTTACGTGCACGGTCTCACTGACATCTTTACTTCTTTTATCATGTTTGTTTTGTAAATCACAAAGAATGGTGCATTCTTCATCTATTCTATACTTGTTAAGTATTTTTGGCATCTTTTAAAAAACTGGTAACTTTATCCTATGTAATATCCCTGTTAAGTCCTAAAAGTCTTTTTTGATGTCTATTTTTTCTTAACTTTACACAGCTACTATAGATTTATTTTGGTTAACATTTTCATAATCCATGTTTTCTCATCTTTAGTTTTTACATTTGTGAATATGTACTGTAATTTTCTAATACATAGCTTCTAGTTGGGGCTTGTTTTTTTTAAATCAACTATAGTAAGTTCTATTTTTAAACTAATATTATTTTTCTGTTATCTTGTTTAAATTAGCACTTCACAATGACGTTTATTTCTCTATTAACATATAATCTAATTCACTTTTATAAATATTATATTGTTTACCATAAGGTTTACAATAAGAATTGTATATAATTAGATTGTATAAGAAGTGTATATAATTAGATTCTATAAGAATTGTATATAATTAGATTCTAATGCAGATACTGTGATGGCCTTGATATGAAGAACAGAGACAGTGTAACTGTGTGCTTTGAATTCCTCCTTCTCACCACTCTTTCTTGTTTATTCCCAGTTTGCACTTACATATGCTATAAAATATGTAATTTTTTATTCCTTTTACAGTTATATAATATAGCAATTACAAAGATAAAAACTGCACTTCATCTTGATTTTCTCATTTTGTAGTCTTAATTTCTTCGTATAGATTTATGTTTTGAATGTATATCACATGGCTACTAGCAGAGAAAGTTTGTTAAAATGTGCACTGAAGCATGAATGTGCTGACAATAAATTGTCTCAAGATCTTTTTTTAATGACAGAATTTTATTTGCCTTTCACTTTTAATGAAAATGTAATGCATGTAGAATTCCAGTTTGCATTTCACTTGTAATTTATTTTCTTGTGTTTATTATTTTATTCATGGAGACGATCACACATTACATTCTGCTGGGCCTATATTAACCACATTTCTATGAATCTAGTCAGGGTTGGATTTCAAGTGTATGGTTGCCACGGCTATCAGAGTTGAAGTCAGCTTCTCCTGTTCACAAAAAGTTCAGGTTCCTCCAGTGATACCCACTTTTGTGTCCCGGTTTGGCTCTTCCCATTTCTCTCCCCAGAGAGAGCCTGTCTCTTTCATCTGTGGCAGGTGCATCCTGCTGACACTTTTACTTGGTGATTGTTTGTGGGGTGAAGGGGCTTGGACACAGGGGGATGTTCTCCAACCTTCGGACCGAGCCTCCTTCTTAGCTATGGGTGGTGAGAGTGGCTCTGAAGCATGGTCTTCCAAGTGTTCCTGTTCCTTCCCTTCTCCAAGTCAGAGTGTCTCTTCCCAGCCACAGTGGTTTTTCGTCAGTGTCCTCAGCTTCTGACCCACTGTCCTTACCCCACAGACTCAGGACTTCATTCCTCAGGAAAGAGATGGGAGGTGATTCTGGGTAGAGTTTCCTTGGTGTCCTCTGTTTCCTTGTGTTCTAGTTGATTCTACCAGTGCCTGAAGGACACAAGATTTAATAAATGTCTCCCACATATCGTGAAGGGGGATTCAGCATTGAACACAGCTGCTATTCTTCCTCCCCAGTCAACACCACAGGACAGCAGGTGGGTGACTTGTCTGGGGATTTCCCCAATTCTGTAGGAAAAGCCTGCAAGTGCCGGGAGTTTCACACTCTCACACCCTTAGCACATACATCCTCAACAACTCATGAAACATTTCCAGGTTAGCTTTTTCCTATCTTCAATACTATACAACGAGTGGCACCTGCTCCAGGTACTCTAATAAATGGACCCTAGTTCTCTCTGCAGGCCCCTATTTCTCAGATTTCAGGGTTTTTTTCTCTGTGACATCAACTCAGATATGTTGAAGCGTTCATTTTTCGTAGTTGTTCAAGTTTCTTATTAATGAGGTCAGAAGAAGATCATTTTCTCAATTTTTTTACATTCCCATGCTTAGTATTTGCTTTCTAAATAAAATTCAGAAACGAAGACAAAATATCAAATATCCACTATTTGGTGCATTGTTAAACAATTTGAGAAATATTCATATACTGAAATACAATGAACAATTGAAATCAAGGCATGCCTCAGTCACATAAGAATGTGAGGACATTATCAAATAATTGTGCTGAGTGTAGGAAGCTAAAGAATTCACAGTAAATCTCCTGTGATTTCATTTGTATAAATTGTAGAAAATGCAACTATTCTAAATTAACATGGAGAAGATCTGAATTTTTCTGAGAAAAGTGTGGTGAGAGTAACAAGATGGTGAAATAAAATTACAGGGAAGTGAGAGAAAAAATTAGAGGTTAATTTAATTGCTAATAGCATGATTGAAGTGCTGATTCAAAGGCTGCACACATATACCAACATTTTCCAAATTGTACACTATAAATTTGAATTCACTATGGATTGAATTTTTGAATAAAGCAGTAACAAAAAATGAGTATATTGGCTGAGGAAGAGGAAGAGATGAATATTGACACTTGAATAATCACGGACTCCTGAAAATACACACATGTGAACACTGATTGCATATTTCAGGTAAACACTAGAAAAAGCAAAGTCACATAAAGTTGTTATGACAGGTGGGACATCCTGAAAACCTCACTAGGCATGTCCCACATCGCCCTGGAGCTGTCTCAGGGGAGCAGTCTCCTCCAGTGTTTAGAGGCACAGACACAGGTAATAGGGCTAACTCTGGCCAGATGTGTGATATTGGACACATTGCACAACTGCTCTGTTATGTATGTAATTCATCTTCTCTACAAATGTAACATTGACACTTGCACTGAATATATTCTGCAAATGTGTAAACATTAAATAAGATGATGACTGCTAATTGATCATCAAGGCACAATCACATAATCTGAAGTTATATTTTCCTGAGAGATAGGATTACCTCCAGTGTTTTCTGGGATGCTCTCATCTTCTCTGGGCACTGCCCTCTCCTCAGCTGTCCCACCACAGAGCTTGCTATATAGTAGGAGACATGCAAATAGGGCCCTCCGTCTGCTGATAAAAACCAGCCCAGCCCTGACCCTGCAGCTCTGGGAGAAGAGCCCCAGCCCCAGAATTCCCAGGAATTTCCATCTGGTGATCAGCACTGAACACAGAGGACTCACCATGGAGTTTGGGCTGAACTGGGTTTTCCTTGTTGCTATTATAAAAGGTGATTTATGGCGAACTAGAGACATTGAGAGGACGTGAGTGAGATAAGCAGTGAATATATGTGGCAGTTTCTGACCAGGTTGTCTCTGTGTTTGCAAGTGCCCAGTGTGAGGTGCAGCTGGTGGAGTCTGGAGGAGGCTTGGTACAGCCTGGGGGGTCCCTGAGACTCTCCTGTGCAGCCTCTGGATTCACCTTCAGTAACCACTACACGAGCTGGGTCCGCCAGGCTCCAGGGAAGGGACTGGAGTGGGTTTCATACAGTAGTGGTAATAGTGGTTACACAAACTACGCAGACTCTGTGAAAGGCCGATTCACCATCTCCAGGGACAACGCCAAGAACTCACTGTATCTGCAAATGAACAGCCTGAGAGCCGAGGACACGGCTGTGTATTACTGTGTGAAACACAGAGTGAGGGGAAGTCAGTGAGAGCCCAGGCACAAACCTCCCTGAAGGGGTCCCAGAAACGACTAGGGGGCGCCAGGACACTGTGCACGGGGCTGTCTCCAGGGCAGGTGCAGGTGCTGCGGAGGGCTGGCTTTCTGCCATGGCCTGGGGCAGCCTCATCGTCAAATTTCCCCAAGGAACTTCTACAGATTTACAATTCTATACTAACATTTGATGTCTCTAAATGGAAAACGGTTATTTTTTTGTTCCTTTGTTTTTGTAACAAGAGGAAACACCCTCACCTCCACAGAAGCCAGGGTGTCACTTTGGGGGCAGAAATAATCCTTTCATGGTCAGGATGAGAGTCCTGAGGAATCTCAGGGAAACCTGGAGAGTGTTTTCCAATTAGACTCAGAGCAGAGACCTCCATGGGAATCTCTGATTAGAACAGGCCTTGAGCTCTGATGGGAGCCAAGAGAGAGGCTCACCCAGGGTCAGGGTCCTTAAAACCTGATGGTTTTCACAGCTATCCCCTCTCAACTTGTAAAACTGTGCCCATCTGACTCAGACTGATTCAGCTGACCCTCTTTCTGCTGATCCATTTTCCATCTCTGTAGACTTGATTCTCACAGTTCCCTTTCTTCTTCTCTTCCCTGAAAACAGAAGATGTGTTTTCTGTAGTCAAAATTCCAGGGCTTGGGTCTGCAGGACCTGGGTAGGCTGAGGGGACTTTCTCACTCACCATTGTCTGGACACTCCTGTTGTCTTCTGTGCATGGAGGCATTTGGAAAATGTAGTGGACATTAGCCATGAAGGGAATAATACTAGTTTTCTCCAATGGGATATTGATGTAGAGCTGATCTTGTGCTTCTCACACTATCTGAGTTTGGACTCTCACCTGTGACTTTGAGAAGAGCTGGGGATGGGCACTCCATTGTGCTGTGAGCTCTGGGTAAAAATAATTGTAGAATCTGGCTAGGCAGTTTAAGGTCAATACTACTGGCCTTCGGGAAAGACAGGCTGGAATTCCTGGGAAGATCTGCATCTGCCGTCCACCACGGAGCCCCATCGTCTTCTGTTATGCTGTCTTTGAATCAGTCCCAACTAGATTATCTAGAACACTCTTCGTGACTTAGGAAAAAATAATGGCAGGCTCCACTAACACCTGTATTATGCCATGGGAGCAACACCTAGGCTACTGTGTGATTGAATAGATGAGACTACGGTCTAGTCAAGGTGACAGGTAAAATTGATTGTTGCCATTATGATATTTTATTTTATATTTGTCAATATAATCATGCTCATATTATAAATATTTTTTGAGACGGAGTCTTGCTCTGTTGCCAGGCTGGAGAGTGCAGTGGCACGATCTCAGCTCACTGCAACGTCTTCCACCTCCCAGGTTCAAGCAATTCTCTTGCCTCAGCCTCCCGAGAAGCTGGGATTACAGGTGCGCGCCATCATGCCTGGCTAATTTTTGTATTTTTAGTATCGACGGGGTTTCACCATGTTGGCCAGTGTGGTCTCGATTTCCTGACTTCGTGATCTGCACACCTCGGCCTCCCAAAGTGCTGGGATTACAGGCATGAGCCACCACGCCCGGCCTAGTTTTATTAATGTCTGTCCATACCAGCAACTACATACCTATGGGGACATTAATTTACATCTGCAGACATATGTGTAAATACACAAGCCTATACATACATGTGTAGTCATTTATATTTAACATTATAACAAAATAATTCTAAAATATTTTCTAAAGAATTAAACTTAATGATGAGCTAAATATAAATTAGAGTAATCTATAATTGATTTCAACAGTTCTCTATAGTTTACATAAATGGATGTCTATTTCTAAGCTTTAACATAGTGTATTCGTCATTTTAAAATAGTCAAGAAAAAATTACAAATGTTCTTGTCACAAAAAAGATAAGGATTTGACGATTTGAGGTAATATATATGTGAATTAACTCGATTCAATTATTCCATATTGCATTCACAAACCATAACATAGCTTTGTGCCCCATAAATGTATACAACCAAAATTTCTCCATTTTCAATGAAATTTTAATTATATATTTTTAAATCTGATGCCTCTCCTTGGATTAAGCCACCTCCTCAGGGTTACAGGGCTCTTCCATTTTCTCAACATGCTGTTATACCAGATGAGCACAAAAACATTAATTTCATTATGCTTAGCTTTAATTTTTCAAAACAACATAAAGGTGATAATTTTAACGATAGACGTATTACAACCTACTATACATGAGACCCTTTCCGTGCTTCAAGGTTTCTTCTCAGGATTTTACATGTATTGCAAATTTTCATTTTTCTCTGATATGGAATGCTGATTTCTCTTTATTACAGATTATCAGTTTATTTTTTAAATTTATCTCTTAAAATTAATTTTTTCAAAGTCCCACTCAAACCAGGGTATTATTAGAACTTTGAAGTGTAATAGTTGGACCAACTTTGAGAATACATTCAATTTAGTTCACGTGCTCTCAAGCATCTTTTTTTTTCTTTAAAAGTTGTTATCAGTTGTAATATCACACAAAATATTAGTAATTTATACTAATGACACAGGTTAAAATATTGTATAAATAATTTAATTACATTTGATTGGAAAAAAGGAATATATGTTCCTCATGTCTTGACTTTTTTTCTTCTCTATGAAATGCATGCATATTAATTATTAAGTTTAAGATGTTACCTTTGTCTTTTTGATTTCTGGGATTTAATTTTAGTACATATACTTGAATGCATTTTATTAATTCATATAATAATGTTCATATTTTGGATAGGGTTTTAATATTAATTTTATTATTTACTGAATTGTAAACTATTCTACAGTTTATTTTTTGTTTTTATGAGATAAAATTTACATATAATAAAATATGCATAGATCTGAAATGTATCACTAGAGAGTTTCTGGCAAATGTGAATACCCTTGTTCTCAATACCTAAGGTAGCTGAAGAGCAAGTCCATCCCCACATCGCGGGTTTTCCCTGTTCTTGCGGTCAACTCCTGCAAGGGGAAACGTTTTGATTTCTGACACTACAGATCCATTTATTTTCTGTTTTGAACTTTATATAAATGGAATCAAACATTATAGACCTTTTTTTCAAAAGGGGCTTTGATATTTTTGAGATTAATTCATACTATTTAATGTATAAAATTAGATCAACATATTGTCATTTATTCGATTCGTAGACTGACTCTGATATGAAACCTCAAAGTTTTCATGTACTTATGGAGAGAGAGAGAGGAAGGAGAAAGATTTTATATCTGAGTCAGTCCATTAAGTAAATAAATGAGAATATTTTGATTTATTTTCCTGTTGATGTACTTTAAATTTGTTTCCATTTTATGAATATTATAGGCAAAGCTGTTTCAAATATATTAGTGTAGGTTTTCCTATATTGTTTCATTTTTGTTAAGAAAATATGAAGTATGTATTTCTTTTTTATTTTTGATTACTGTTTATTTCTATTTTAAATTTTACTTTAAGTTCTGGGATACATGTGCTGAACATGTAGGTTTCTTACATAAATACACATGTGCCATGGTGGTTTGCTGCACCTATCAATCTGTCATCTAGGTTTGAAGCACCTCGTGCATTAGGTATTTGTCCTAATGCTCTCCCTCCCCTTTCCTAATGCTTTTTCTCCCCGACACATCCCAGTGTGTCATGTTCCCCTCCTTGTGTCCATGTGTTCTCATTGTTCAACTCCCACTTATGAGTGAGAACATGTGGCGTTTGGTTTTCTGTTCCTGTGTTAGTTTGCTGAGGATGATGGCTTCCAGCTTCATCCATGTCCCTGCAAAGGACCTGAAATCATTCTTTTTTATGGCTGCATAGTAGTTCATGGTGTACATATGCCACATTTTTTCATCCAGTCTATCATTGATGGACATTTGAGTTGGTTCCACATCTTTGCTATTGTAAGTAGTGCTGCAATAAACATACATGTGCATGTGTCTTTATAGTAGAATGATTTATAACCCTTTGGGTATATACCCGGTAATAGGACTGCTGGGTCAAATGGTATTTCTCGTTCTAGATCCTTGAGGAATTTCCACACTGTCTTCCACAATGGTTGAACTGATTTACACTCCCCCCAACAGTGTAAAAGTGTTCCTATTTCTCCACATTCTCACCAGCATCTGTTGTTTCCAGACTTTTTAATGATCAACATTCTAACTGGCATGAGATGGTGTCTCATTGTGATTTTGATTTGCATTTCCCTAATGACCAGTGATAATGAGCTTTTTTTTTCATATGTTTGTTAGCTGCATAAATGTCTTTTTCTGAGAAGTGTCTGTTCATGTCCTTCACCCACTTTTTGATGGGGTTGTTTGGTTTTTTTTCTTGTAAATTTGTTCAAGTTCCTTGTAGATTCTGGATATTAGAACTTTGTCAGATAGATAGATTGCAAAAATTTTCTCCCATTCTGTAGGTTGCCTGTTCATTCTGATGATAGTTTCTTTTGCTGAGCAGAAGCTCTTTAGTTTAATTAGATCCTGCTTGTCAATTTTGGCTTTTGTTGTAATTGCTTTTGGTGTTTTAGTCATGAAGCCTTTGCCCATGCCTATGTCCTGAATGATACTGCCTATGTTTTCTTCTAGGGTTTTTGTGGTTTTAGGTTTTACATTTAAGTCTTTAATGCATCTAGAGTTAATTTTTGTATAAGGTGTAAGGAAAGGATCCAGTTTCAGTTTTCTCCATATGGCTACCCAGTTTTCCCAGCACCATTTATTAAATAGGGATCATTTCCCCATCGCTTGTTTTTGTCAGGTTTGTTGAAGATCAGATGGTTGTAGATGTGTGGTGTTATTTCTGAGGCCTCTGTTCTGTTCCATTGGTCTATATAACTGTTTTGGTACCAGTATCATGCTGTTTTTGTTACTGTAGCCTTATAGTATAATTTGAAGTCAGGTAGCATAATGCCTTCAGCTTTGTTCTTTTTGCTTAGGACTGTCTTGGCTATACGGGCTGTTTTTAGTTTCATATGAAGTTTAAGGTAGTTTTTTCTAGCTCTGTGAAGAAAGTCAATGGTAGCTTGATGGGAATAGCATTGACTGTATAAATTGCTTTGGGCAGTATGGCCATTTTAACAATATTGATTCTTCCTACCCATGAGCATGGTATTTATTTATTATAAAAGTAACTTTATTTTTTTCAGTTTTACTGAGGTACAACTGAAATATTTTTAAATGTATATGTTTAAGGTGCACCACTTCATGTTTTGATATTGTGTTAGTCCAGTCTCACACTGCTATAAAGAAATGCCTGAGACTGAGTAATTTGAAACAAAAAAAAGATGCTTAATTGGCTCATTTTTCTGCAGACTGTACAGGAAGTGTAGTGGCTTCTCCTTCTGGTGATACTCAGGAAAGTTAGAACCATAGCAGAAGACAAATAGTAGTAGACACGTCACATGGCCAGAGCAGGGGCCACAGGAAGAGAGGGAGGTCTACACAGTTAGACAAACAGATCTTATGATAACTCACACAATATTATGAGAACAGCACCAAGAGTCGGTGCTAAACCATTCATGAAAGACCCACCCCCTGACCCAAGCCTCTCCCACTGGGTCCCAGCTTCAGGATTGAGGATTATAATACAACACGAGATTCAGGCCAGGACAAGTTGCAAACCATATCAGATACACATTGTAAAATGCTCATCATGATCAAGGTAATTTGTGTATCTATCATCTCACATACATTTTTTTTAAATGGAGTGTGTGTGTGTGTGTGTGTGAGATGAGAATATCTAAGATCTACCCTTTCAGCAAAAATCACTTTTATAACACAGTATTAAATACTGGAACATTGCTGTACATTAGATCTCCAGAACTCATTCAACCTGCACACCTGAAATTCTGTACACTTTAAACATCACCCAATTTCCCTCTCCTCCCGCATCCTGGGACGCATTATTTTACTCTCTGCTTTCAAGAGCTTGGGTATTTTAGATCCCACATGTAAATGAGATCATGCAGCATTTGTCTTTCTACATCTGGCTTATTCCACTTAGCATCATGTCCTCCAGGCCCATCCATGTTGTTGCAAATGTCAGAATTTCCTTCTTTTCAAAGCTGAATAAAATTCAGTTTTATGTATACACATTTTCTTTATACATTCATCAATCTATGGTCATTAAATTCTTTTACAAATCTACACTATTATAAATAATCTTACAATCAGCATGTGTTTAACATAGTAATTTTACTTCTTTGAATAAATAACAAGAAGTGGGATCACCAGATGATATGATAGCTTTATTTTTCAATTTATTGAGTAACCAATCCTACCACACCCTAAAAGGATTCCCTTTTCAGCACATTCTTGCCAATATGTGTTATATGTCTTGCTGATAACAGCCATTTTAAATGGTGGGAGGTGATATCTCATCATGATTTTGATTTGAATTCCTCTGATAATTAGTAATGTTGAGAACCCTTTTAGGCTCTGTTTTCCATGTGTGTGTTTTCTGAAGAAAAACCTATCCAGTTTTTGCCCTTTTTATCAGATCATTTGTTATTTGCTATTGAGTTGCATGAGTTATTTATACTTTTGGATAGAACTTATGTCAGATATATAATTGCACATAGTTTTTTTCCTGTGTTTTTTTCTATTAAATTCAAAGAAATCATTTCTGAATCAATGACAGGAATTTTTTTTCCATGTGGTCTATGAGTTTGTGGCTTCAGGTTATGTTCATTTTTAGTTTATTTTTGAATATGGTGTTAGAGAAGGTCTAATTTTATTTCTTTTGCATATGGATGTCCAGTTTTTACATCATATATTGGGGAGACTGTCCATCCTTCACTGTGTGTTCTTGGGATACAAAATCAGGAAGATGCATAATTAAAAAAGAAAACATCAGATGAATATTCCTGGTGAATAGGGACCTAAAAGTTCTCAACAAAATACTAGCAAATAGAATCCAGAAGCACTTTAAAATGTAATACATCATGATCAAGTAGGCTTTACCCCTGGAAAGCGAGGTTCATTCAACATCGACAATTCAGTAACTGTGATTCACCATGTAAGCAGAATAATAGTAAAAACTGTATGATTATCTCAATAGATGCTGAGAAAGCTTTTGATAGGATCCAACATCCACTCATAATAAAAACCCTTAACAGACTAGGCATCAAAAAAATATACCTCAAAATAATAAGAGCCATCTATGACCAACCCACAGTCAACATTATACTGAGTGAGCAAAAGCTCAAAACCCTTTAGAAGTGAAAGAAGACCAAGATGCCCTCTCACCACTGCTATTGAACATAGTACTAGAAATCCTAGTCAGCGCAACCGAGCAATATCAAAATAAAAGGCAGCTGATATGGTTTGAATTTGTGTCCCCACTCAAATTAAATGTCAAATTGTAATTCCCAGTGTTGAGGGTGGGGCCTGGTGAAAGGCGATTAGATCATGGGGATGAGTCTCTCTCTCTCTTGTGCTGATCCCATGATAGAGCCCTCAGGAGATCTGGTTTCAAAGTATGTGGCACCTCCCTTGTCTCTCTTCCTCCTGCTCCAGCCATGTAGGACATGATGCTTCCCTTTCTGTACTGATTGTCAGGATCCTGAGGCCTCCTCAGCCATGCTTCCTGTACAGCCTGAAGAACCATGAAACAATTAAAAATCTTTATAAATTACACAGTCTCAGGTGTTTCTTTATAGTGTGCAAATGGACTAATACAGAATCCAAATAGGAAAAGAAGAAGTCAATGTATCTCTCCAAACTGATGATATAATTCTATACCTACAAAATTCTAAAGACCCTGCCAAAAATAATTCTAGAATAGATAAACAACTTTGGTAAAGTATTGGGATACAAAATCAATGTACAAAAATCTAGCATTTCTATACCCCAACTACGTCCAAGCTGAGACTGAAATCAAGAACACAATCCTATCACACTTACAATATTCACACACACAAAATATGAAATGCCTGGAAATACAGGTAACAAACAAGGTGAAAGATCTCTACAAGGAGAACTACAAAACACAGCAGAAAGAAATCACAAATGACACAAACAAATGGGAAAACATTTCATGCTCATGGTTGGAAGAATCAGTATTGTAAAAATTGTCATGCTGCCCAAAGCAATTTACAGATTCAATACAATTTACATAAAACTATCACCATCATTCTTCACAGAATTAGAAAAATTTTATATATTCTAAATTTGTATGGAACCAAAAACAGCCTGAATAGCCAAAGCAATCCTAAGCAGAAAGAGCAATGCCAGAGGCATCATGATACCCGACTTTAAACTACACCATAAAGTCACAGTAACAAAAACAGCTTGGTACTGGTACATGAGAAGACATGCAGGAAAAATGGGACAAAATAGAAAACAGAAATAAAGAAATAAAGCTGCACATATACAACCATCTTATATTTGATAAGGCTGACAAAAACAAGCAATGAGGAAAAATCTCTGTATTCAGTAAATGGTGTTGGGACAACTGGATTATGGCAGATATACAGAATGGAAGAGTGAAGGAGGCTGGGCAGCTTCTACCTAGATATCAGAAGATGTATATAGAGAACTATGTGCCCAGGAAGAAGCCTGATGCAGGAGTGGAGCCACCACGGACAGCCTCTACTAGGGCAGTGCCAAAGATGTGGAGAATCACTTGAACACAGGAGGCAGAGGTTGCAGTGAGCCGAGATCGTGCCATTACTCTGCAGGCTGGACAATGACAGAAAAATCCTATCTAAAAAAAAATTAATGTAAGAGAATAGAGAGCCCAGAAATAAAGCCAAATATCTACAACCAACTTTTCTTTGACAACACTGACAAAAATATTCACTGGAGAAACAACCCTCTATTCAATAAGTGGTGCTGGGAGAATTAGACAGCCTTACATAGAAGAATAAAACCAGACTCCTATCTCACCAGAGGCAAAAATTAACTGAATATAGATTCAATATTTATAAGTATAAACTGAAACTATAAAAGTACTTGAAGAAAATGTAAGGAAAATTCTCGGGACATTGCCCTAGGCAAATAAAATATGACTAAGACTGCAAAAGCAAATGCAATGAAAACAAAAATAGACAAATGGGATTTAGCTGAACTAAAGATCTTCTGCACAGAAAAAAGAAATAATCAACATGGTGCACAAACAGCCTACAGAATGGTAGAAGGTACCATCTCACCTCAGTTAAGATGACTTTTATCAAAAAAGAAAAAAAAAAAAAAGGCCGGGTGCAGTGGCTCACACCTGTAATCCCAGCACTTTGGGAGGCCGAGCTGGGTGGATCGCTTGAGGTTAGGAGTTCAAGACGGGCTTGGCCAACATGACGAAACCCTGTCTCTACTAAAAATACAAAAATTAGCCGGGCATGATGGCAGGTGGCTGTATTCCCAGCTACTCGCAAAGCTGAGGCAGGAGAATCGCTTGAACCCAGGAGGTGGAGGTTGCAGTGAGCTGAGATTGTGCCTCTGCACTCCAGCCTGGGTGACAAGACTGAAACTCTGTCAAAAAAGAAAGAAGGAAAGAAGGAAGGAAGGAAGGAAAAAAAGAAGGAAGGAAAGAAGGAAGGAAAGAAGGAAGGAAGGAAGTAAAAAAGGAGGGAAGGAAGGAAGGAAAGAAGGAAGAAAGGAAAGAAGGAAGGAAGGAAAGAACGACATGGAAACTGAACAACCTGCTCCTGAATGACTGACTACTGGGTACATAATGAAATGAAGCCAGAAATAAAGATGTTCTTTGAAACCAATGAGGACAAAGACACAACATACCAGAATCTCTGGGACACATTTAAGCAGTGTGTAGAGGGAAATTTATAGCACTAAATGCCCACAAGAGAAAGCAGGAAAGATCTAAAATTGACACCCTAACATCACAATTAAAAGAACTAGAGAAGCAAGAGCAAACATATTCAAAAGCTAGCAGAAGGCAAGAAATAACTAAGATCAGAGCAGAACTGAAAGAGATAGAGACACAAAAAACCCTTCAAAAAATCAATGAATCCAGGAGCTGGTTTTTTGAAAAGATCTACAAAATTGATAGACCACTAGCAAGACTAATAAAGAAGAAAAGAGAGAAAAATCAAATAGATGCAATAAAAAATGGTAAAGGGGATATCACCACCGATCCCACAGAAATACAAACTACCCTCAGACAATACTATAAACACCTCTATGCAAATAAACTAGAAAATCTAGAAGGAATGGATAAATTCCTGGACGCATACACCCTCCCAAGACTAAACCAGGAAGAAGTTGAATCCCTGAATAGACCAATAACAGGCCCTGAAATTGAGGCAATAATTAATAGACTCCAACCAAAAAAAGTCCAGGACCAGACAGATTCACAGCGGAATTCTACCAGAGGTATAAGGAGGAGCTGGTACCATTCCTTTTGAAACTATTCCAATCCATAGAAAAAGAGGGAATCCTCCCTAACTCATTTTATGAGGCCAGCATCATCCTGATACCAAAGCCTGACAGAGACAGAACAAAAAAAGAGAATTTTAGACCAATATCTCTGATGAACATAGATGCAACAATCCTCAATAAAATACTGGTAAACCGAATCCAGCAGCACATCAAAAAGCTTATCCACCATGATCAAGTGGGCTTCATCCCTGGGATGCAAGGCTGATTCAACATACACAAATCAATAAACGTAATCCAGCATATAAACAGAACCAAAGACAAAAACCACATGATTATCTCAACAGATGCAGAAAAGGCCATTGACAAAATTCAACAACCTTTCATGCTAAAAACTCTCAATCAATTAGGTATAGATGGTATGTATCTCAAAATGATAAAAGCTATTTAGGACAAACCCACAGCCAATATCATACTGAATGGGCAAAAACTGGAAGCATTCCCTTTGAAAACTGGCACAAGACAGGGATGACTTCTCTCACCACTCCTATTCAACATAGTGTCGGATGTTCTGGCCAGGGCAATCAGGCAGAAGAAAGAAATAAAGTGTATTCAATTAGGAAAAGAGGAAGTCAAATTGTCCCTCTTTGCAGATGACATGATTGTATATTTAGAAATCCCCATCATCTCAGCCCAAAATCTCCTTAAGCTAATAAGCAACTTCAGCAAAGTCTCAGGATACAAAATCAGTGTGCAAAAATCACAAGCATTCTTATACACCAATAACAGACAAACAGAGAGCCAAATCATGAGTGAACTCCCATTCACAATTGCTTCAAAGAGAATAAAATACCTAGGAATCCAACTTACAAAGGATGTGAAGGATCTCTTCAAGGATAACTGCAAACCACTGCTCAACGAAATAAAAGAGGATACAAACAAATGGAAGAACATTCCATGCTCATGAATAGGAAGAATCAATATCGTGAAAATGGCCATACTGCCCAAGGTAATTTACAGATTCAATGCCATCCCCATCAAGCTACCAATGACTTTCTTCACAGAATTGGAAAAAACTACTTTAAAGTTCATATGGAACCAAAAAAGGGCCCACATTGCCAAGTCAATCCTAAGCCAAAAGAACAAAGATGGAGGCATCACAATACCTGACTTCAAACTATACTACAAGGCTATAGTAACCAAAACAGGATGGTACTGGCACCAAAACAGAGGTATAGGCCAATGGAACAGAACAGAGCCCTCAGAAAATACCACACATCTACTACCATCTGATCTTTGACAAACCTGACAAAAACAAGAAATGGGGAAAGGATTACCTATTTATAAATGGTACTGGGAAGACTGGCTAGCCATTTGTGGAAAGCTGAAACTGGAGCCCTTCCTTACACCTTACACAAAACTTAATTCAAGATGGATTAAAGACTTAAATGTTAGATCTAAAACCATAAAAACCCTAGAAGAAAACCTAGGCAATACCATTCAGAACATAGGCATGGGCAGGGACTTCATGTCTAAAACACCAAAAGCAATGGCAACAAAAGCCAAAATTGACCAATGGGATCTAATTAAACTACAGAGCTTCTGCACAGCAAAAGAAACTACCATCAGAGTGAACAGGCAACCAACAGAATGGGAGAAAATTTTTGCAATCTACTCATCTGACAAAGGGCTAATACCCAGAATCTACAATGAACTCAAACAAATTTACAAGAAAAAAACAACCCCATCACAAATTGGGCGAAGGATATGAACAGACACTTCTCAAAAGAAGACATTTATGCAGCCAACAGACACATGAAAAAATGCTCATCATCACTGGCCATCAGAGAAATGCAAATCAAAACCACAATGAGATACCATCTCACACCAGTTGGAACGGCAATCATTAAAAAGTCAGGGAACAACAGGCGCTGGTGAGGATGTGGAGAAATAGGAACACTTTTACACTGTTGGTGGGACTGTAAACTAGTTCAACCATTGTGGAAGACAGTTTGGTGATCCTCAAGGATCTAGAACTAGAAATACCATTTGACCCAGCAATCCCATTACTTGGTATATACTCAAAGGATTATAAATCATGCTGCTATAAAGACACATGCACACTTATGTTTATTGTGTCACTATTGACAATAGCAAAGACTTGGAGCCAACCCAAATGTCCATCAGTGATAGACTGGATTAAGAAAATGTGGCACATATACACCATGGAATACTATGCAGCCATTAAAAAGGATGAGTTCATGTCCTTTGTAGGGACATGGATGAAAATGGAAACCATCATTCTGAGCAAACTATCACAAGGACAGAAAACCAAACACCGCATGTTCTCACTCATAGGTGGGAATTGAACAATGAGAACATTTGGACTAAGGGTGGGGAACATCACACACACACCGGGGCCTGTCATGGGGTCGTCGGAGCTGGGAGGGATAGCATTAGGTGATACACCTAATGTAATGTTAATGGGTGCAGCACACCAACATAGCACATGTATACATATGTAACAAACCTACACGTTGTGCACATGGACCCTAGAACTTAAATTATTATAAAAAAAGAAAAAAATAACTATTAATTTTTCTGAACCATGAACATGGAATATTTCAGATATATTTTCAATTTGTGTGTGTTTGCTTTATATTTTATTATCAATCATTTTTGGTTTTCTTTTAGAAATCTTTCACTTATTTGGTAATATGAAATATAATTTTTAGCTATTATAAACAAAATGCTTTATTGATTTTTTGCTGTTTGCATTTAGCAATGCCACCAATTTTTGTATGTAGGTGTTGTATTCTGCAAATTTACAGAATTTTTTGTCAATTATAATAGTTTTTCCAGAACCATTTATTAAATACGGAATCATTTCCCCATTTCTTGTATTTGTCAGATTTGTCAAAGATCAGATGGTTGTAGATATGCGGCATTATTTCTGAGGGCTCTGTTCTGTTCCATTGGTCTATATCTCTGTTTTGGTACCAGTACCATGCTGTTTTGGTTACTGTAGTCTTGTAGCATAGCTTGAAGTCAGGTAGCGTGATGCCTCCAGCTTTGTTCTTTTGGCTTAGGAGTGACTTGGCAATGCGGGCCCTTTTTTGTTCCATATGAACTTTAAAATAGTTTTTCCCAATTCTGTGAAGAAAGTCATTGGTAGCTTGATGGGGTTGGCATTGAATCTATAAATTACCTTGGGCAGTATGGCCATTTTCACGATATTGATTCTTCCTCCCCATGAGCATGGAATGTTCTTCCATTTGTTTGTGTCCTCTTTTATTTCATTGAGCAGTGGTTTGTAGTTCTCTTTGAAGAGGTCCTTCACGTCCCTTGTAAGTTGGATTCCTAGGTATTTTATTCTCTTTGAAGCAATTGTGAATGGGAGTTCACTCATGATTTGGCTCTCTGTTCGTCTGTTATTGGTGTATAAGAATGCTTGTGATTTTTGCACATTGATTTTGTTCCTTTCCTCCGTATTTTAAATTAAGGTATATTTTCAGGAGTTTAAATTTCCAAGTTATAAAATAAAATGTATTGACTATCTTTCATCTTTTAAAATTCATCTTATGAATTTTATTTATGTAAGTGTTTTGTCTTAGTCTTTGTGACTGGCTTGGAAGATTATATGAACAGATTTTCTTTTGACCTCTCTACATATGGGAAGAGCACAAATGTTGTTTCTATTATAGTATATACATGCAAAACTTGAGTTATAGTGAAATGGTTTAACCAAGATTACTCATTAGGGTTTTCAGGACCTTCCTCATGCATCCCTCTGATCATGTTTCTCTGCTGCTCAAAAGCTTTGTCCCTTTTCCTGCACAGAAAGTGTACACATCTTACCCAGTCACTAGTGGCCATCAGGCTCTCATAAATCCTTTTTGCTGTTTATCCTAGTCACAACTCTTGTCCAACCTGTTATTTCCAGCACACTAAACCACACACTACTTAATGCTCTGCACTTTTCACCTTTGTGCCTTTTGCTAAACTGTCATCTTTGAAGACCTATAGCTGCTTATTGCATGAAGCTTTATTTGATGGCCTCAGTCTAACACAGCTATTTATTTTTCAATTGGATTTAAAATTGTCTCTCTCTCTACATTGGATTAGAGTTGCTATGTTCCTGTTCTACATTCCTTGCTAGACTGAAAGCTCACTGGCCAGGTCCTATTCATGCTTATTCATTGTAAATTTCTCCACATTGGAGGCATCCTGTTCATCAATGAACACATGAATAAAACTTGGTGTTGAAACTCCAAGTTATCTTGACCTGCAACTTCACACACTCAACTATATAAAATTGGGATCAAATAAATATTCTCGCATAACTATTAGTAAGTCAATATTTACCTTATATTGTAAGTTTCATCTATAAATATGCATCTTCCATTGCCTGATCCCTAACAAAACATAAAAACTAAAAAATCTTAAGATTATTAAAAATATAGGCAATGTTAAGATCACCAGCTTTTCAAATGCAGCAAAATAAATGAAAAAAAAACTTTCAACAGGGATAACTAAAACCTTACTTTTCCCACTGAGTAGATCTTCTAGCCCAATATGTTTATTCGTCTATAAGAAAATATTAACGTTCATTAATTCCCCAAAGTTTGCTGTCAGTCAAGTCTCCACTCTTTCCCTTGGGGCATGAGAGATAGTGTAGATGAGGTCCAGACATGCTCTACTCAAGGTCTCTGCACATGGCTAAAAATGCAGGTGTGAAATTCATGTTCTCAATCCATGAAACAATACTCATGAAAAATGCAACTCTGTTCCAGGACATCGTGCAGAATGAAGAAATAATGCAATTGTGGTAAATCTGGAAATTACAATTGTTTGTGGACTGCCCATTTTTTCATATGCCTTCCAATAAATCAGTTGAAAACATGTATTATGTATAAAAATCCACAGTGTGTTAGCTCTGGGAATGCACCTTCCTCCCTCCACCTACAGGCAGAACCGTACACTTGGATCATGCACCCAGCTGCTGCTCTCTGTCTCTTTCTCTGCTCAAGGCTTAAGGCCGTGTCTCCCCAACTACATTCAGTGGAAGAAAAGATCCCCTGGACAAATAAGTTTGAGAATTGTTGTTGCAGGAATTCTCAGAACTTTCAAAACACAAATCCTCATCCGCAGGGATCTTCAGGAGGGAGATGGCTGATGCAGCACAACTTTCTTTCACAGGAGTATCTTGCAGAATACAGTATGAGATCCAGAAAGGCTGCATTGAGTCTTTTTAATGGCCCGGGCCTTGGTGGGGGTGGGGTAGGAGCTCTCCAGATAGCATCTAATGAGTAGGAACATTCAGGTTGCTTTTTTTTTCCTTACTGGCAAAACTGTGTGTGCACCATGAATGAAGCTGGTCTCCCTTATCCATATCAAAATTAAACCCAAATTAATTGGCTAAATTGGGACTCAACACCTCCAGGAGCCATGCAGAAGAAAGCACCACCACACTTTAAAATAGCTTACCTCATCATATTTGACGAAAGCAAAACGCTTATGACCAGTATGCTGCTAACACAAGTCTACAGATAATGCTGCAGGAAAAATTATTTTTCCCAGTCATAGCTAGCATGGTCCACATTTTGCATTACACTTTCCCCCCTTTTTTAAAATTTTAAACACAGGTCCTTTTCTCTTCTTTTTTAAAATTTTAATTTAATTACACAAGACGGAGTCTCAGTATTTTGCCCAGGCTGGTCTTCAACTCCTGAGCTCAAGGGATACATCCGTCTCCGCCTCCCAAAGTGCTGGGATTACAGGCCTGAGACACTGTGCCTGGCCTTACACACAAATCTTAATTCATTCTTACAATTATCCTGAGGTTAGAAAAATGGAAGGGGAAGAAAAATGGCAAGCAGGTAGGCTGACTTCGGCTTCATTATTTGGAAGGACAGTTTGCTCGGTTAAAACACACTACTGCCCACAAAGGCCAAGACAACAGAAAAATACAGACTTATATAAGTAGATTTTATATGTGACAGCAGTTTGAATGGAGACTTTTTCAATGCAAATGGCAAACAGCTGTCCTTGGGAATAAATGACAATGAATTTTTTTTATCTCAACAGCTGTCCTGGGAGCATGTCTCTACATCTCTACCTGCATTCTGGAGTCAGGGAGAAAGCCAAAACGGACGACAAGACACTAGATCAGCCGTGTCCAACCCTTTGACTACAAGGACTTTTCCGCCTATCTGTGGTGGTGGGTATCATGAAAATTATGCACAAACCTTTTTTTTTTAAGCTCATCAGCTATCATTAGCAGTAGTGTATTTTATCTGTGGCCCAGGAGCATTCTTCTTCCAATGTGGCCCTGAGAAGCCAAAAGACTGGATACCTGTGCACTAGATCAAAAGGCTACTCCTTCTGGAAGCAATTGTAAAGAATTTCTAACATTATCTTGACATGAAAACCAATGGATAGTGGGACAGAATGCAAAATCTTCAAGAATTTTTCTTGTTGGGTTTTTTGTTTTTTTTTTTTTTGAGTCAAGGTGTTGTTCTGTGGCCCAGGCTGGAATACACTGGTGAGATCACAGCTCAGTGCAGGCTCAAGTGCTCCTCCCGCCTCAGCCACAGTAGTAGCTAGGACTACAGATGTGCACAACCACTCCTGGCTAATATTTTATTTTTTGTAGAGATGGGGTCTCACTATATTGTCCAGATTGGTCTCTAACTCCTTGACTCAAGGGATCCAGGACAGGATAACAGGTGTGAGCCACCACACCTGGCTATGTGCATGAACTTTTAAGACAAATACAAGGCTCCACAAAAGTTAAGGTTTTCCCACCTAATTTCCAGGGGATCTTTTGGTGCAAGGATGAGAAACCCTTAAAACTACCCAGACATCTCCAAAGATTCAAGACAGTTCATTCGGGCTGAGCCAGCCCACTGGGCAGACTGACCTTCAAACAAGGCCCACCCATGACATACACCAGATGGCTCTCCAAGAATCTCTCCAGTTCTCAGGGTCCCTAAGGTACTGGACAGAGCTAGGAAAGCAAACCCATTTGCTTCTTCCTGCAGGAAACCACTTGAGGTCAAGACCCCACAATCAGACAAGGATGGAGTGCCTCACCCTCAGTCAACAGGCCAGACTCAAGGTGATATAATGTCTTAACCAAGGGTGTGGGACTCCAGGTTTGAATCTGAACTCAGTTCTCCTTTGATAACCACACTTTGTTAATTTTCCTTAACAGGGGTTCCTGGCAAGTCATTTCTCCCTCAGGCCTTCGGTTTCCTCACCTACAAGATGAGAAGGCTGCACCAGATGGAAATTCGAGGCGTAAGGGGATGTCCGCGTGCAGCCCACCCCGCCCACGGGCCCCTTGAGCCTCCATCACAGTTCCCAACACGCACCTACCCCACAAATCCTGCCCAAGGTGAGGGCTGGACCCGGGTCCTCCGGCTGCCGCATCAGCGAGTGCAGGAGGGAGGAGAAGCCTCCAAGGGGGTGACGCAGGCTCAAGGATGCAACTCGGCCAGGAGTGAACTGGGGCCCCGAGGGAGATGTCCAGTCTGGTGCTGGAGCCCAGCTCTGGTCCCTGATCCCCTTACCTGCACGGTCCGTATCTCCTGCTGGGTGAGGTCCTTGGACACAGTGCACTTGGTGCGCAGCCCGCGCAGGCTGCCAAGAGAGATGCCGATGAGCTTCTGAAGCTGCCCGCACTGCTGCAGCACCCGGCTGGCTGCGGCCCCTGCGCCTCCCTCCGCGATAGCCGCGTCACCCCCTCCACCGCTCTCCTTCTTCTCTCCCATCGGGGCCGAGCGCAGCGCAGCTCTATGCTGGCTGCAGCTGCCCAGGAACAGAGCCTGGGGCGCGGGTGTCTAGGCAAGGAACCCCCGAACCGGGAGAGCTGGACCAGGAGTGACCCTCGGCGCTGCCTTAGCCAGGACGCAGGTAGATCTGGCAGCTGAGTCTGCTGATCCCGCCCTCAGACCCGCGGCGGTGGGGGTAAAAAGTCACGGCGGTGGGGGCAAAAACACGCGACGGCAGGGTGAAAAAGCCGCAGGGGTAAAAACCTGTGGCGGCGGGAGTAAAAAGCCGCGTCGGCAAAAAGCCGCGGCGGCGGGGGCAAAAAGCCACAAAAAGCCGCGGCGGCGGGCGCAAAAAGCCACAACGGTGGGGTCCAAAAGCCGGGGCGGTGGGGGAAAAAGCCGGGGCGACGGGGGCAACAAGCCACAGCGGCGGGGGCAACAAGCCAGGGCGGCCGAGGCAAACAGCCGCGGCGACAAAAAGCTGTGGTGACGGGGGCAAAAAGCCGTAAAAAGCCACAGCATCGGGGTCAGAAAGCCGCGACGGCCGGGATAAAAACCGCGGTGGCGGGGTAAGAAGCCGCGGCGGCAAAAAGATGCGGCGGCGGTGGAAAAAGGCGCGGCGGGGGCAAAACGGTGCAGCGGCAGCAAAAAGCCGCGGCGTCGGGGGCAAAAAGCCTCAAAAAGCCACGGCGGAGGGGGTAAAAAGCCGCAAAAAGCCGCGACAGAGGGGGCAAAAAGCAGGGGCGGCAAAAAGCCACGACGGCGGGGACATGAAGGCGCAAAAACCCTCCGCGGCAGGAGCAAAAACCCGTGGCGGCGGGGGCAAAAAGCGGCTGGGGTGATAAAAAGCCGCGGCGGTGGGGGCAGGAAGCCGCGTAGGGGGCAAGGAGCCGCGGCAGCGGAGGCAAAAAGCTGCGGTGGCAGGGGCAAATAGCAGCAAAAAGCCGCGGCGGCGGGGGGCAAAACGACACAAAAAGCCCTGACAGTGGGGGCAAGAAGCCGCGGCTGGAAAAACCTGTGGCGGAGGGGGAAAAAAGCCGCGGCGGCGGGGGCGGAAAGGCGTAAAAAGCCGCGGTGGCCTCGGCCAAAAGCCATGACGGCAAAATGCCGGGGCGGCAGGGCAAGAAGCCACGGCGGGAAAAACCTGCGGCGGCGGGGGCGAAAAGCAGTAAAAAGCACCGGCGCCGGGGGCCAAAAGCCGTAAAAAGCCGCGGCGGCGGTGACAAAAAGCCGCGGCGGAAAAATTCACGGTGGCGGGGGCAAAAAGCTGCGGCAGCAGGGGGAAAAAGCCGCAAAAAGCCGCAAAGGCTAGGGCAAAAAGCCGCGGCGGTGGGGGGAGAAAGACCCAAAAAGCTGCGGCGGCAAAAAGCCACGGCGGCGAGGGCAAAGAGCCCCAAAAGCCGCGGCGGCAGGGGCTAAATTCCGCGAGGCCGGGGGCAGAAAGCAATGGCGGCGGGGGCAGAAAGCCGCAAAAACCCGCAGCGGCGGGGTCAAAAATCCACGATGGCAAAAAGCCGCGTCGGCGGGGGCAAAATAGTGGAAATGGGGTAGACAGCCAGCACAGCTTGGCATTCCTGGAGTGTGATGTGGAAGGAAAAGTGCAGAGGAAGACAAACAAAGATGTAAGTAGGCTTGACTCAGTGCAGCTAAGAACCCACATGTTATCTTGATGTTATGTAGCAGCTAATTTTTTGTATTTTAGTAAAGGGGTTTTACCACGTTGGCCAGGATGGTCTCGATCTCCTGACCTCATGATCCCCGCACCTCAGCCTCCCAAAGTGGTGGGATTAGAGGCATGAGCCACAAAGTGCTCAAAAAATCTATTAATTAAAAAATGTGTATGTAGCCGTCTTTAATCTACCATGTCCATTAGCAGATAAATACTATAAGCAAAATAACAACAATGAAAGAAACATAGACTTAGAGTAGATACTCTGATTTATTTAATAAAAATTTGAAAATAGACCAAATTATGATAAAAAAAAATCTGTTACTATTGAGGATGAGGGTTAGTGTTTGGAAAGGGGCAGGAGAAGTATCTCTATTTTTAGTAATGTTCTATTTTCATACATGGTTATAAGCAAATACATGTGTTTCATTAATGAAGCTATCCATATTTAATCATTGTACTTTTCTGCATGTATATGTCAATAAATAAATTATATACAGCAAAAATAGACAAAAACACAAGAAGACATACACAAATGTTAAACCTAGAGAGAAATTTGCATATAAGTAAGTCTCTGAATGACTGGTAGAACAAACCGAAAAATAGGATGGAGAGGTTTGGAACAGCATGATTAGCAAAATTGACATATCTGTCTTTTAATATAGGTAGAAACAGAGTTAGATAAAAAAAGGACTTGTCTCGGAGCATGATTTCTGAAAATAGTGGAATCGAGTTTGAATCTAGTAAGTACATATAAATAAATGTCTTAAAACTCCTCTTATGTTAGCTAATTAAGAAATATTATTGTAATAGACATTAGAAAATATTTTAATAAATTGAGTGCATTTCACACGCTAAGGAAATGATCTTACTTGATAGTTGAATTAGATACATATATACCTATAGGTAGTTTAAAATATTTCTAATAACCTTATATACTTTTAAAAAGCATTGATATATGTTTGCACTATCTGGTCTATAGAGTACACATACCAAACATGATTATAGCTCTTCTGCTATAAACTTCAAATGTCTAATTAATACAAAAATCTAGAATGAGAAGAGTTCTTTGCAATTTTTTTTTTTTACCAAATAGAATATAGGAAAGATAGCTGCAAATATACCTGACACACTTATCTGTGAGTATGGTGGTAGCCTTTTTATTTTATTTTATTTTGAGAGTGGGTCTCACTTTGTCACCCAAGATGGAGTGCAGTCATGTGATCAGAGCTCACTGAAGCCTTCACATACTGTGCTCAAGCGATTCTCCCACCTCAGTCTCCTGAGTAGCAGGGACTGCAAGTGCATGACACCATACTAGCTAATTTTGTAAAGATGGGGTTTCACCATCTTGCCCTGGCTGATCTCCATCTCCTGGACTCAAGAGATCTGGCCACCTTGGCCTCCCAAAGTGCTGGGATTATAGTTTTGGGGCACCGCGATCAGCTCAGCCTTAAAAAAGGCAGACTAGAGATCTTTATCTATGTATATCTATCTATAAAATAAACATGTGTTCCTTATATAAAAATATGTTATTATATAAAATTTTTTTTCAAGGTAGAAATATATAAAGAGGGTGCATGTAGAGCCTGGGGCATTGTGTAGTGAAGCTCAAGGTCTCTGAAGAAATGCCCCTTGCCTCTTTTGTCTGGGCTAGAATCCGAGAAGGGAAAGCAGCAGATGCACTGGTTCCCAGGTTCTTCGCATCCTACAGAGAGAAACTTGTTTGAGCTAGGGTAGTGTTTAACACCCTTGTTCTTACTCTTCTGTTTTATGTAGTAAGCAGAGACTAGCTTCATGAGAACAGACAGTGACAGTCAAGGCTGTCTGTTATTTTGTGCAGCATTCATTGAGAAATTCTAGCACCTGAAGACCTCTGGGCCATTTGAGGGTAGGTGCAGGGGAGGAAAGGGAAGTTTGCATCCCTCCTGATGTGGAGAGAACCCGTGGGAAGCACAGACCTTGTCCTAACTGAAGGCAGACCCCCTTGCTAACCAGCTTCTCATCAACCAACCCTGGATGAGTTTCCATGTCTATTTACTAAATAATCCTTATTGCTCTTCTTCATATGGGCAAAGTATGGTTTACAGGGAATATTGTTCCTTTGAGCACCCATCGTGGAAACCCCTTCCTGTTGTGGGAAAACAGGCTTCCATATGTGTCTTATTGGGAAACACATAGGCAATTTCTGTGTTTTTACTGCATCTATTTCAGGGATTTGGGAACTGAATAGTGCCCATCAAAGTCTCACCTGATGTTGGAAATTGATCTGAGAGCGCGGAAGGACAGAATTCTTTCTTTGTTCCTGGGCAGCGGTGGTTGAGGGATCATTTTGTGGCAGCTACAGTGGGATCATTTGTGGCAATGATGGAGGCAGAATGGAGGGCTCAGTACCAAGACAAGGAGAGACTTGGCCTCACAATGGCAGCATTGCAGGGGTGCGCTCCACAGAGCATTTGCTCACATGGTTTTGGGCATTGTCTCTAACTACATTGCTTCCCCGATAGTTTGACCCATTCTAACTAATTCCTTTTCTCTTTAAAAAAGCAAACTTCATTTGTATGACTTGCAATTGTAAACGACACCAATTGGCCAGTTATCATTCAAATTCTCTGTTACTTAATCCTGCCTTTTCCTGACATATGCAACTTTCGCCTAAAAAATTGGACACTTTGTTGCTTACTCATTGTCTTTACACATTTTAAAATGTTGCTTTTTGCCCCCAATCCCTAACTACATTTTCAATGTTTTGCAAGTGGAGTCCATGTGTTCTTGATTTACATGAAGCTCAAAATAATGGTTATAGTAACTAGTACTTCATAATTAAGCAAAAAGCTCTTATTGAAAAATGACAGAACTATACATAGGGATGAGAACATGGAGAGATATTTCGTGAGATCACAAAGTTATGGTATGGCAGAAGTAGAACGCTGAGTAGAGACTCTGTGTTCCCAATCATTATTTCTACCACCAGCTTTCTATTTTGATGTTAATAATGTTCTTATGTGGGAAACCCTACATATTTGCCAATGTTTAGTTCATTGACAAAGAAATAGAAAGAGCTTCAAGAACACTCTAATCTTTAAAAAATAAAATACCTATAATTGGCCATACGAAACAATTGGTACTTGACATATACTGAGATCGTTTTATTTTGTGCTAGACAAATGAAGTCATAGAACAGAATGTGCTTTAAATATTATGAATAGTGCTTGCATGTGTGTGTGTCTATAGATGCATATTAGGCCGCTGAAAAGTTTTATTATTCTTTCCAGGAGAGAGACTGCCAACTTTTGAACCTAACTAGAACAAGTATATTGCTTCTTCATATTTTTATTAAGGCAAAGAGAGTCTAGTTAAAAATAATTCAAATTGTGTTGGAAATGCTATAAATTGCTGTGAAGAGAGTTGCTGGCTGTGGCTTGTCAGAGCAAACATATTGTACAAATCTTAGGGGAGAATTAGTGCTTGTGCATTAAAATCAAATCATCTTGCAGTACACCGAGAAAAAGGTTAGATTTTTAAAATAATTTCAAAGTCATGAAAAGAGCAAATATGCTCCACAAAGAGCCTAGCAACCCTCAATGACCAATGCCCCTTTTATGTAGTTTGGTATCTGAATTAGAATCCTAGAATCTACAAATTCCTCTGGGTGTGGGTGCTGCATCTTGAGGATTTTATAACACTGCCATCACCAAGCTCTCTTTTGATATTCACTTTAAGGAGATAATTTATGGGCAACCAGAGAGCATAAACCAAAGTAGATATCTATCTGGATAGCTAGATACATCTCCATATCATTGACAGGATACATTCTGGCTGAGTGTGAGTACAACCTATGGATGTGGTTGGAGAGAACAAGTGTTCCACCTGAATAGCAGATCAGGATTATTCCTTCTCATCTGCTGCAATGGCTCAATGTGTTAAGGAGAGGAGCGAGACAGCAAGAACCGCATTCATTCAGTCATACAGACCAAAAGGAGGAATGTCGCCCAGCCCTCTAAACTGACCCAGAACCCAGCTCATGTCTCAACTGCTACCTCTCCTACTTAGAAAGAAGTAACTCAACCAAAGCAGGGCTCTGGACAAATATATTTTTATTGATCATATACAAATAGATGAAGATGGACTTGGATGTTAAGAAAAATAATACTATACAAAATCGAGAGTAGACAGTCGCCCCTAGACTTAAATTAAGGGTGTGTACATTAGATAGTTTAATCCAATATATCAGGTAAAAACTTGAACAAAACTTTTGGCCTCTTCCTTAAAATTCCAGGATGCATGTCCTCCAAGAAGCAGAATCAAAATATAAATAAAAGACTGGCTTAAGATGAAAGGAAACCTTACAAACGAAAAGAAGCCAGATGAGAGGCACTTAACTGAGAATGAAAAGAAACTGAGTGGACAAAATAATTATGAGAAGATGAACCTTCAAATCGGAAAGAGGGCAAAAAGCTTATTTGATACTATGGGAACTCAAAAGAGAGTGAACACAAATGTGAAAATTCCAGGAGTAAAGAAAAGTAGCATAGCTAAATTAAGAGCATGAGAAAATGTATACAATTTTGAGTAATAACAGAAATCAAAAGTAACTGTTGTATGTTATATTTTAGTAGAGCAACACTGAAGAAGAATGAAAACAAGAAATAATATTAAATATGAACATATGGAGAACAGAATAATATTTTTAAAATTTTTAGTTTCTAAGCTAATCTGAAATTTTAATTTTGTTTTCTTATGTAATACCAGAGTTATTAGGAAGGTATTATCTAATAACACTATTTTCAGTGATATTTTAAGGAGTTGTCCTAGAAAAATTTTATTTTTTAAAAATGTACATTTAAAAATACATTAAATGTGTATATACATCAATCATATGTATCGATTTCTGTTTTTCTTGAATTGCAAATGAAATTTGTATTTTTGTGTTCCTGGAATAAAATAAACTTGAATGGATTGTAATATGTTATTCATGCTGCAATTCAATGTATTTGAATACTTTAAAAATGTTACATTTATAGTTAACAGATACTGACCTATAAATTTTCTGTCATGTAATGATGCTGTGAGACAATCTAAGAAGAATTAAAATTTAAATTCATATATTCCTACTTTTTTCTCTGTTCTCTAACTGTAATATATTTTAATTACAGATGGAGGAACAGATAGATGTTAGATAGATACATAAATAATAGATAGATCATCCAAAATTCTTATTCTGATGGTTTTATGTAGTCAGTATTTACCTCTATTTTTCTACATGTTTATCCTTCCAATTTAGTTCATTACTTTCTGCACCTTTGATGTCATATATATAAACAGGAAATAACACATGGTGGCTGGGATGTAGAGAGAGCCACAGGACTTGTGAATAAAATCCACAGGCAAGGATGTGGAGATTCCTTTTGCAATATTGGAGGGAATGCCAAACCCTATGTTTGCTGTGGAAAAGAGTAGGTATTTCCTCAAAACATCAAAATGGTATTGCCTTATGATTCGGCAGCCCCACATCTCAAGATAGCAAAAGAATTGAAAGCAGAGTCTTGAAAAAATATTTGCACATCCATGTTTGCAGCAGCATTATTGGCAATAGCTAAAACGTAGAAGCAATTGAAGTGTTCAACCACAGATGAATGGATAAGCAAAACATGATATATACATACAATGGAAAATTATTCAGCCTTAAACATGAGGGAAATATTCTGACATATGTTGCAACTTGGATGAAACTTGAGGATATTATGCCAAGTGAAATAAGCTAGTCAGTGAGGGACAAATACAGTATAATTCCATTTGTATAAGAGACTTAAAGTGGACAGAATCATAGAGATAGTACAATGATGATTGCCAGAAGCTGGGGGGAGGAAGACATGGGGAAGTACTGTTTAACGGGTACAGAGTTTCAGTTTCACAAGATGAAACGAGTTATGGAGATGGATGGTAGGGATGGCTGCACAATGTTATGACTCTATTTAGTACCACTGAACTGTACACTTAAAATGGTTAACAGAGTACATTTTATGTTATGTGTATTTTACCACAATAAAAAAATAAAATACCTTAGGAACATTTTCCTGAAAGAGTCCACATAAAATTCATTTTAATGCATGTGTTTATGCATAGCTTTTTATTTTTCTCTTTTCTATTTATATTCCAAATTAGAATATAATGCTAATCAAGCATAGTGGCTGTGTTTCTTGCTTCCTCTAGTCTGCAGGTAGCATACAAATGTAATAAACTACTCATTAATGTCACATCTATTTATTTTCTGCCTTATACCAAGCTTGTGGGATTCTCTTAAATACAACATTTTAATACTTACACCTATGCAATACCCATTAGCATCGCCTTCCTAAATCAGGGGAAATTGAGTCTCTGTAAGCTGCAGTAACTTACTAAGATACAAAACTCAGCATTAAAGTCTGTATACTTCAATATCCTGCCCTCTTCTCATGTGTCTTTACTGCCTTTTATGTATGTGTTAGATGTTCAATAAATTCTCTTTTTTAAACTGAATTTAAGCAGTGGAGCAGTGTTTTGTTGAACAATAAATATGATATTGGACACTCTTCCTCCCTTTCATTTATGATGCAGTTCATGAAAAAGAGAAATTCTTTCATTGTGCTAGAAGCTTAAAATAATGAAAATGCCACTTTCTACATTAAACAGAAGCTGAAGGGAATCAAGGTGAATTGCATGAGACATAGAAAACAAGTGGGAAATAAATCTAGTATAATTTCCCCTTTGTGTACCTTTGTTATTTTGCATTTGAGAAAATGTTTCCCCCAAATATCTTCCCATCTTAATTCATGTCTATAACGTAGACATTTATGTCTCACCTTGTCAAGAAGGGCAAACTCTAACATAAACATTTCCCAAAAATGCTTCCTGCTAAAACGTAAGCTCAGTCTGGCTAGAAATTAAGCTCACTTCATAAAAATTACTTGGTAGCTAATCTTTGCATGCTGCTCTCTGAACTTCAGTGAAAGCTGTCCATCAGGCATACAGGGAATGACGGAAAAGGTGACAACAGAAGATGAATGCTATGTCACTAACATTCAAAATGACCTGCCTTTTCTTTCAAATTCTTGATATCTTAAGACTTCATTAATTCATCTCTCTTTGCCCTTGGTTCAACATTGTGCTATACCAAAACTCATGTAAAACAATGATCTATTGTAATAAAAATGGCATTTTTCTTTCATGTAGATGCAAGCTATCTGGCATTTTTACAATCAACATACTTCCGTTGTCAATTTTTCATTCTGTATTGGAAGTAATTGATAGGTATTTCTGAAGGGATGAAGGTGATTCTGTGTTCATTGTGATCCAAACTGTTTTTAGACCTAGTGGTGTTGTAAAACAATTTGTGCCAGCTGACCAAGAACCACTGTGGCAGAAAGCAGCAAACTTGCATAAGATGTCGCTGCCTCATCAGTTGGCTTTGAAAACTAGGGGCTTAGTCTATAGTCCTATGAATCAAAGACATTGATAGATGTAGTATAAGATTACAATCATATTTTCCTTTTGACAGTCACATTATAAAGCATGATGTATTGCAATTAATCTCAATTAGCTGATGACAATTAAAATTAATAGTTTATTATTGCTGATAAAGAATCATGACTCTCCTGTTCTCAAACGTGAAAGGAATTCTGGTAATTTTAATACAAATTTGCATATTATTACTAATTGATTTAATCTCATTGGATTTGGTTCATGGATCCAATTTATTAAAATATTGATAATGGGATAATGATTTGTCTCCCCATTTCATTTACACTAAAAGACACAATTCTTACAATGGTCTGCAAGCCCATCATGATCTGCCGCATGTTAACCGCCAAAATTCTTTTATGTCTTCAACCTTGAACTTACCAGTGGTCCTGGCCACCTCACTGTCCTCTGGACATGCCAACATGCTACTGCCTTATGACCAAGACTCTAGTTAATTTCTTAGCTTGGAAAGATAGCCCTCCATATATCCATTGATGAGCTCATTCAACTTCCTCAGGTCTTTACTGAAACCTCACATTCTCGATGAGACCTATTCAGTATTTCAAACTGCCTCCCAGCTGCAACAGTCCAAAACCCCTTAGTCTTCTGTGTATTTTTGACAGGATTTATTGAGATATAATTTACATACTGTAGAGTGCACATAGTAATGTCTACAAGTCAATGGCTTTTAGTATATACACAGATAAGTGGAGCCATCATCACAATGAATTTTAGAGCATTTTCATCACTTCAAAAAGAAACCCCACCTTCTCTAGCTGTTAACCTCCTATGCACTCATCCCCTACTCAATCCTAAGCAACAACAAATCTGTTTTTTGTCTCTGTAGATCTTCCTATTCTATTTTCATCTAAATAGAATCATACAATAGGTGGCCTTTTGTGCCTGGCTTCTTTCAGTTGGCATAATGCTATCAAGGTTCATATGCGTATTGGTACGTTATTTCTTTTTATAACTGTATAAGATTCAATTTCATGGATATAACATTTTGTTTATCCAATAATATTTTGTTGACATTTGATTTGTGTTCAGCCTTTGGCTATTTTAAATACTGCTGTTAAAATACTTGTGTATAATTTGTGTTTGAACACCTCTTTCCAATACTCTGGGGGTATACCTGGGAATAAATTTCTGGGTCATATGACAATTCTATGTTTCATATATTTAGAAGCCATCAACCTATTTTCCAAAGTGGCCAGTTCTAGCCATAGAGTATCTAACTGTCGTTTTGATTTGTAGTTGCCTGATGAGTGATGCTGTTGAGTATCTTTTTATGGGATTATTGACCATTCGTGTATCTTCTTGGGATACACAACTATTTCTATCGTTTATCAGTTTTGAGTTGGGATTTTTGTTACTGAGTTAAAACAATTTTTCTATATTCAAGATACATATATAAGCAGACATATAGATATGTGTTTCTCAAATATCTTCTCACAATTTTTGAGCTGCCTTTTGACTTGCTTGGTTGTCCTTTGAAACACCAATGTCTTTAATTTTTAAGAAATTTTAAATATCTAATTTTTATTTTGTTGCTCATGTTTTTGGTGTTACAGCTATTTCTTTGCTAGATCCAAAATCCTGAAGATTTTCGCATATGCTTTATTCTAGCTCTTGCATGTATGTCTTTAATTCATTTGAGTTAATATTTTTGTATGCTTTGGGGTAAGAGTTCCAATTTACTATTTTGCAAGTGGCGATCCACGTGTACGTTGTTGACCCGGTGTGTTCAAAGACTGTCTCTTCCTCATTGAATTGCACATGGCACCAGTTTAAGAATCCATTGACTATAGATACATAGTTTTATATATGGACTCTCAATTCTCTTCCATCAATCTATATAATTTTCCTTCATCAGTATTGTGTTGTCTTGATTACTGATGCTTTGCCGTAAGGTTTGGAGCACGGGGGTGTGAATTATCCTAATATGTTTTCTTTTATCAAGACTATTTTGGCTATTTTGAGTCCCTTACCATCCCATGTGTATTTTAGAATCAGCTTGTCAGTTTCTAGACAGAAGTCTGTTGGGATACTTGCAGGGATTACGTCAAATCTGTAGTTCACCTTGTAAAGTACTACAATATTAAATCTTCCAATTCATGGGTGGAAGATGTTTGCTAATTATTTAGACATTCTTTAAACAATAATTTTTAATTTTCAGAGTAAAATCTTGTATCACATTTTCCAAATTAATTATTATTTCTTTTTTTGATGCTATTTTAAATTGAAGTGTTTTCTTAATTTCATTTTTGGGTTTTCATTGTAGATATGTGTAATTGATTTTTGTACATTTATCTTGTATGCTGTAATATTGCTGAAATAATTTACGAGTTCTATCGTTCAATGGATTCCTTAAAATTTTCTATATACAAGAATGTTATTTTCAAATAAAGTTTTATTTCTTCCTGTTCAATATGGGTGACTCTTTTTTTTTGTTGCCGATTTGCCCTGCATAAAATCTTTAGTACAGTGTTGACTAGAAGAGGTCAAACTATATATCCTATTCTTATCTCTGACCATAGCGGGAAAGCATCCTTTACCATTAAGTTGCATGCTCGCTGTTGGCTTTTCACAGGTGCCATGTATCTGGTGTAGAAAGTTCTCTATTCCTAGTTCATTGAGTTTTTATTTTTAATCATTAAAGCATTTGGATTTTGTTAAATGTCTTTTCCGAATCTATCGACATGATCATGCAATTCTTGTTTCTTATTCTATGGATAAGATGTATTACCGTAATGGATTTTGGGCTGTTAAACCAACCTGACATTACTAGTATAAATTTCACTTTGTCATAGTGTGTAATTCTTTTATATGTTGCTAGATCTGATTTGTTACTATTTTTTAAGGAATTTTGCATTTATACTTATAGTAGTTTTATTTTTCTACGCTATTTGGACTAATTTTTGTATCAAGGTAATACTGGCCCCACAGAATAAATTGGGAAGTGAATATTTCTCTTTTTAAAAAAAGTCAGTCAAGAATTAATATCAACTAGTAAACACTAACAAATATGATTAATATTATAAATTATTAATTTCTCTAATTTTTATTTTCTTCCTTCTGCTTGCTTTAGGTTTAGTTTGCTATTCTTTCCAGTGCCTTAATGTGGAAGGTCATCTTATCTCCTCCTTTCCTTTGTCTTTTCCTTTTCTAAATAGTGTCTTTTTAGCATCAGGTGAGCTCCCCAGGTTGGTAGTACTCCATGTTTATTGCTGTACAACAATGACAGGTAATATGTCCTGAAGACAATGGAAACTTAACATTCAAATTCCTCCTTGATTCCACCTTATGTGATATGTCTCTTCCTTGGATTGGTCCTAATTTCTACCCTTTCTCTATTATAAACCATGAGTACGATGGCATTCAATGAGTTCTGTGAGTCTTTTTAGTAAATTCTTGAAACTGAGGGTGTTCTGGGGAAACCCCAGAACTGGCAGTTGGTGACAAAAGTGCGAATCATCTTATATGGCCTCTTCCTTTGAACTTTGCAGCTGGACCCAAACTCTGCACAATTTGGGCCAGAAGTATCGTGTTGACTTTGCAGCCTAAATTATCTTGTAGTTTGTCTAACCCTCAATAAATTTGCTTTCATCAAATATTGTATTTGTTACCCCAAAATTACTATCATGTTTCTTTCTCCAAATAACTAACGTTCGGAGAAATAGCCAGCTGAATCTGTAACTCAACAGAAACAAGTGATCCATATACCATCTAAGTGGCCATTTCATTTTGCCTTCTTCCACCAAATCTTAGCAACCTCAACCACTGCCATGAGCCACTGTAGGCCTACCGTCTACAAACAAACAAGTATCTTTTAAAAACACTTCATACTCCCGTTTGATAAAATTCCCAGCAAAGAGATGCTTACTTTAACTCTATGCAAGTGGCTCATATTCGCAAAGTCTGGAGATATTATTCATGTAGTGTGAGAAAATCATCCCAGCGATGCCAGCACATTCTCCTTCCCATGATCTGCTTAGTTGGCAAACACATTCAGACCATAGGTGAGAGATTTTTATTTCACAGTACAACAATTTTATGGAGGTCATTGAAACTTAGATTTAGCATTTTAGCCAGTCACGCATCACTGAATGACAGCGATACGTTCTAACAGATGCATCCATAGGCAATTTCATCATTTTGCAAACGTCAGAGAGAATATTACAAACACCTAGATTGTACAGCCTACCACGTTTAGGTTATATGGTATAACCTCTCTCTCCTAGGCTACAAACCTGTGTACTACATTACTATACTGAATACTGCAGGCAATAAGAACACAGTGATAAGAGTTTATGTATGTAAACATACTTAAACATAGAAAAGTATGTAAAAATATGTATTCTCATGGGACCAATTTTGTATATGTAATCCATCTCTGACAGAAATATTATTATGCATGACATGACTCTATGACAAAAATAATACATTTTTAAAAATGGACACATGTATCAAACATATTATTATAAAAATAAAAATATTTATTCAGTGTAAGAATTTGTAATGATCACAGCTTATATTTAAGTACAGTTTCAAATGCCTAGTGCAATTACTATTTATTTCTTTGTGTATTTTAAACATGTATATAATAAATATTTTTCAGGTTCAACAATATATATCAATCCTACAGGCTCTTATAAATATTAGTTAAAATCAATTGGTAGGCAGGGCGCGGTAGCTCACGCCTGTAATCCCAGCACGTTGGGAGGCCGAGGCGGGCGGATCACGAGGTCAGGAGATCGAGACCATCCCGGCTAAAACGGTGAAAACCCGTCTCTACTAAAAATACAAAAAAATTAGCCGGGCATAGTGGCGGGCGCCTGTAGTCCCAGCTACTTGGGAGGCTGAGGCAGGAGAATGGCGTGAACCCGGGAGGCGGAGCTTGCAGTGAGCCGAGATCCCGCCACTGCACTCCAGCCTGGGCGACAGAGCGAGACTCCGTCTCAAAAAAAAAAAAAAAAAAATCAATTGGTAAATTCATGTATATATATGCATACCTGTATCAGTGAGCGTGTGTGCATGTATGTTTGTGTAAATGTAATTGTATGTGTGTGTAAATGTAATTGGATGCATCCTTATATTTACCCTTACCTACAAGATTTCCAAGATTCATTTATGATCTTTAGATTATGGGCATTTAAAGATTTACCAAATACAACTGTAATAGTGGAAAAAATCAAGATGTTATTAAATTCAACTTGTGCACATAACTGTTTCTATAAATTTATGTTTCTTGCAAAACTGGCAGTAATGCTCATGCACAAAATAATTTTCTAAATAAAAAATAAAAACGTTTTCTCAGTCATTAATTCTTAAAATTATTTCTCCCCAATAATTAATGTGAATTAATTCTTAATTCTTAATTATAGAATAATGTTGCCCTTCAGAGTTCGGAAATTGTTGCAAGTTGTACACATTTCACTAACCAGAACAACTTCTGAAATATTGGCGTTAATTAATGTCACTCAGCAATTATTGATTTCAAGGGCATTAAGTACCATTCATATTCTGAATCACAAGGGTACTTTGGCATCTTATTTAATCAAGCTCTTTTTATCATCATCTACACTTTAATTACTTAACAAACATTTCTCTGTGTGGGAAAGTTTGACCAGGTTATCTTCTACCCTTGTCTTTTGTCTGATGGTGCAAAAAATTTTCATAAGCATGTATTTCTGAATGCCTGATGGATTGACATATATAATAAGCTGCTAGTATTAAAATATGTGACATAAAACGCATCCAATCTTCTCACTGTTTACATAAATTCTAGGTTTCTCCTATTTACCTCAAGCACGTATGGAGCGAATTCTTACCTTTTAATATTGCCATGGCATTCACATTGAACATAAGTTGAACTCTCTCATATGGTAGCTGGGTTCGGATTCCCTTGACAATTTCCAGTTCTAACCCTCACAGTTCCTCAGTGTGGCTGGCCCAGATATTGACCCTACACAGTTGCCTCCTCCTGGTGACTACCAGCTATGGAACCGTTGGATACAACCTACCTGACTCACCCCACAGACCTCACAGTGCACATGGACAGCCCCCACACGCCAGAGTGACCTGCTCGATTGCAGCAGGAGTCAAGAAGTGTGCCTGCTGGCACTCACCCCACCGACTAGTGCCCCGTGGAAAACTTATTTGGATAATGTTCTGGGCCCAATAAAGGCTGGAGTCCCACAGACCCCTTTTCTGTCTCCTGCTCCCCACTCATCTTCCCCATTTTGTTCAGCCCTATGAGGTGTGCTACTCTATTAGTCCATTTTCACACCGCCGGTAAAGACATGCCCAAGACTGGGTAATTTCCAGAAGAAAGAGGTTTAATAGATGCACAGTTCCACATGGCTGGGTAGGCCTCACAATCATGGCACAAGCCGAAAGGCACATCTCACCTGGCAGCAGACAAGACAAGAGAGCTTGTGCAGGAAACTCCCCTTTATAAAACCATCAGATCTTGTGAGACTTATTCACTATCAGAAGAACAGCATGGGAAAGACCTGCCCTCGTGATTCAATTACCTCCCAGCTGTTCCCTCCCACAACATGTGGGAATTCAAGATGAGATTTGGCTGGGGACACAGCTAAACCCTCTTCTCAGCTACCCTCTTCTCTCTGGATCTGTGAGTAATAAACCTACTTCTGTGATTTCCCATGTTTGGTTCTGTGGCCTCCATGTGTCTGAGCTGACCTACACTGGAACCTAACTCTCCTCCTGGCCAGGGTCTCTGAGAGTGGCTCTTGTCAGAAATACACAGGACACAGGTCAGGCAACAGTCACCAGGCATCTCCTATTCTCAACAGATGTTCTGTGAGAGGGAGGCCTGGCCGTGGGATGCACACCTGGCCACTGCTGGGGTAAGGAAGTGTCCTGTGAAAGGCACATGTTAAGCATCCACAACCCCCTGACCAGAACCCCAGAAAGGCAGGGCTGCAATTGTCAGTCACTCTCCAGAGACAAACCTCAAGCCCTAACTGGAGGAAAAGAAAACAATGTAAAAAGTTCAATTTACCTTACTATTTCAATGATCCAGTAAAGACATTCTATGCCTGTACACCACATATTTTCTTCGATTGTGGATTTATTTTAGATAGAATTTTAGGTCTGGCTTTCACTTTAGCCTGGTCCCTACCTCAAGCATAAGGTAAAGATTTTCCATGCGTTCTTTTCTGGTACTACTACCTGCCAGTGTGGGATCATGTCCTATTGTATCTTGAGGGAATACCCCTGTTCGTTATTGTCAGAATGAGACTGTTAAGTCTTGATTTCCCTGGACAACTTCACTGCATGACTTTTAATATGATTTTTTAATATACCCTTTACTGGACAATAAATTCTATAGTTATCTGAGTAAGAGATATGGTCAGGAAGAAGCATTGCCTCATTCAGCTTTTCTCTTTGGTGAACTCGCATATGTTCTCCTCACCCGCCAGTCACCTCTAAACCGTATTGTTCCAAGACAACAAACAGAACTCGAGTGTGTATCTTTCACCACCGGATTTCTATTTTCTCCATAAAGCTCCATGCTTAACAGGGTTTCTGTTAGCATTTTCTCTATTCATTTTCCCATAAAATATCACAGGCCTTTTTCATATGGAATTCTGGGTGATTTCCTTCAATCTGCATCATATCAAGTTGAGGTTCATGTTGAAGAAAAGTAAAGCATACATTGAAAATATCAGTAAGGATGTTTTCCTCTCCTTTTTAGCACCTGTGCTTGTGATACAAGCACATTTTAATACAATTGTGGTCTCATGCTTTGATCATTCCTATGATGAAAATAACATTTTTAGATAAAATATCTGAGTTTTATGAGGCCTTTAGTATGTGATGTGATAGAATATCAGAAGACCATACTTTTTTCTAGGTTTCGGTGCAATTCTGTCATTATTTCATCTTTACTCCTACCAGAGTAATTTTGCAAAATAGATATCTTGTCATTCTTCCTGTTGTTATCAGTAAATAAGTGAAATGAAAAGCTAGATTATATAATCTATCTAGAACAAGAAAGTGGAATTGAATCTATATTCATTAATGAGACTAACCAGTCAATTACACAGATAGGCATTTTAAATTTTGAAGATCATATGGACCCATTGTCAGAAATATTATTATTTATGTCTATATGGACATTACCTGGGCATATTTACATAGAAATCAATGAGAGCTGATTTTTATTTTTATAATATATATTTTTTGAGATAGGGTCTTGCTTTGTTGCCCAGGCTGGAGTGCAGTGGTGCAATCACTGCTCACTGCAGCCTCAGCCTCCCAAGCTCTAGCAATCCTTCCACCTTGGCCTCCCAAATAGCTAGGACAACAGGTGCACATCACCATGCCCACTTTTTTTTTATTATACTTTAAGTTTTAGGGTACATGTGCACATTGTGCAGGTTAGTTACATATGTATACATGTGCCATGCTGGTGCGCTGCACCCACTAACTCGTCGTCTAGCATTAGTTATATCTCCCAATGCTCTCAATCCACCCTCTCCCACCCCACAACAGTCCCCAGAGTGTGATATTCCCCTTCCTGTGTCCATGTGATCTCATTGTTCAATTCCCACCTATGAGTGAGAATATGCGGTGTTTGTTTTTTTGTTCTTGTGATAGTTTACTGAGAATGATGATTTTCAATTTCATCCATGTCCCTACAAAGGACATGGACTCATCATTTTTTATGGATGCACAGTAATCCATGGTGTATATGTGCCACATTTTCTTAATCCAGTCTATCATTGTTGGACATTTGGGTTGGTTCCAAGTCTTTGCTATTGTGAATAATGCCGCAATAAACATACGTGTGCATGTGTCTTCATAGCAGCATGATTTATAGTCCTTTGGGTATATACCCAGTAATGGGATGGCTGGGTCAAATGGTATTTCCAGTTCTAGATCCCTGAGGAATCGCCACACTGACTTCCACAATGCTTGAACTAGTTTACAGTCCCACCAACAGTGAGAAAAACAAGCAATGGGGAAAGGATTCCCTATTTAATAAATGGTGCTGGGAAAACTGGCTATCCATATGTATAAAGCTGAAACTGGATCCCTTCCTTACACCTTATACAAAAATCAATTCAAGATGGATGAAAGACTTAAACGTTAGACCTAAAACCATAAAAACCCTAGAAGAAAACCTAGGCATTACCATTCAGGACATAGGCATGTGCAAGGACTTCATGTCTAAGACACCAAAAGCAATGGCAACAAAAGACAAAATTGACAAATGGGATCTAATTAAACTAAAGAGCTTCTGCACAGCAAAAGAAACTACCATCAGAGTGAACAGGCAACCTACAAAATGGGAGAAAATTTTCGCAACCTACTCATGTGACAAAGGGCTAATATCCAGAATCTACAATGAACTCAAACAAATGTACAAGAAAAAAACAAACAACCTCATCAAAAAGTGGGTGAAGGACATGAACAGACACTTCTCAAAAGAAGACATTTATGCAGCCAAAAAACACATGAAAAAATGCTCATCATCACTGGCCATCAGAGAAATGCAAATCAAAACCAATGAGATACCATCTCACACCAGTTAGAATGGCAATCATTAAAACGTCATGAAACAACAGGTGCTGGAGAGGATGTGGAGAAATAGGAACACTTTTTTTTTTTTAATTTTGATAGAGACTGGGTCTTGCTATGTTGCCCAGGTTGCTTGTGAACTCCTGGGCTCAAGGAATCCTCTCATTTCAGCCTCTTCAACAGCTGATATTACAAGCATGAACCACCATATGGGCTGGAAGCTGATGTTTAAAATACTGAGATCATATAGATGACAGCACCTGAAAAATAGACAACACCAAGCTTTATGTTAAAAGGTGTGAGGGTATCAATATTGTTGTGGCTATTGGGGAGGAAACCATTAGTAAAACCAGTAAGTTAAAGCTCTTGCTTTAAACTTTGGCTTTAATTTAACAAATGTTCTATGGAGTGACAGTATGTATGTAACCATGCTATGCCCATTCACAGATGCAGTAGAGGGAAGAATTTCTCAAAGACAACTGTTCTAAGACTGAAATTAAACCGTACTGGGTTTGAAAAGAGAAAGTCCAGGAATTACCAAATCTTTTAGATATCAGATACAAGAGAATGCCAGGTATGCGATGATAATCAGCAATGGTTGTTCACACAATACATCAAATCAGTATTTGAATTAGCTTTTGAATTACAAGGACAAATGGATCAAGTCTAGACTCTTTAGTAGATAAATCTTATTAGGCTGAGATGTGTTTTCCCCTGTTTTTCCACAAGGAGATTACAAATTGGCAAACCTCAGCTGCTCTCATTTTATCTCACCAGGCCAAAAGCTGAAGTTCATCAATCAGTGTGTCTAAGGGTTCACTGGTTATTACCATTTTGTAGTTTCAGCTATCTTTCCAACTTCCTACATCATCACTTTCATTTGATCTTGTTTTTTTCCACTATCACTTCTTTATTGACCATATAAAGAATATAAGTAAGTTCTTATTTTGTTATTGTTCATTTTAGTCTAATTTCATCAAAAGATCACAATCTTTTAATTTCATTTTAATTTCAAAGATTAAATGAAACCTACATAGAAATGAGTGTAAGATTTGCATTTGCATTATTTTGGCATCAATTTGCTATCCTCCCTCATGCACATAGAGATCATTTCCATGTACGTGATTTCAAACATCCAAGTGCAGTATTAAAAGCAGTTGTAAATTATGGTTCTCATTTTCATGATACAATTACAATATAAACTTCCTCTTGCTGCTGTAACCAATTACCATAAACTTCATATCTTACAATAAAGTGACCGTTTATCCTACAGTTCTGTATTTCAGAAGCCTTAAATTAAACTCACAGGGCTAACATCAAGTTTTCGGCAGGACTGCAGTTTTTCTGAGGGCTATTTGGCAGAATCTATTACTTGATTTTTTTCAGCATCCAGAGGCCAGCCACCTTTATTCCTTGAAACATGACCTCATTCTTAGATCCTATGTTTCCTTTTTTTTGTGGGGGGGGATGGAGTCTCCTTCTGTCACCCAGGCTGGAGTGCAGTGGCACGATCTCAGCTCACTGCAACCTCTGCCTCCCAGGTTCAAGTGATTCTTCTGCCTCAGCTTCCTGAGTAGCTTGGACTACAGGCACTTGCCACCACGCCCAGTTAATTTTTTGTATTTTTAGTAGGGATGGGCTTTCACCATGTTAGCCAGGATGGTCTCAATCTCCTGACCTCGTGATAAACCCACCCCAGCCTCCCAAAGTGCTGGGATTAGGCGAGAGCCACCGCGCTGGGTCCTCATTCTTGTATCTTAAAAATCAGTGATATTGAGTAATTTCTCATGCCACCACCTCCAAGGTTGCCTTTCTTCTGTCTTCTTCTTTCACTTATAAGGAAGTTTGTGATTTCATTGATCCCACCCATTTAAGACAATCTCTCTATCATTTTTCCGCAACCTTAATTTCACTCGAAATCTAATTTCACACTGCCGTGCAACCTAACATATTTGTATGTTAGACTCTGGGAATTAGGACATGAAAATTTTTGGGAGGCCATTCTTTGGCCTACAGCAGACATAATCTGTTTACCTGCAGATTAAAGCGTTCTTTATTTTTCTGTCTCCCTGTCTTAATTTTTTTAAAATAATAATATTTGTAGTAAAGAGAAAGAAAGAAAAGAAAACAAAGAAAGAAAAAGAAGGAAGGAAAGAAGGAAGGAACTAAAGAAAGAAGAAAGAAAAGGAGGAAATGAGGGAAGGAAGGGAGGGAGGGAGGAAGGGAGAAAGGCAGGAGGGGAGAAAAAAGAAAGCATGAACACAAGAAAGAAAGAAGGAAAGAAAGAAAAAGAAAGAGAGAGAGAAAGAAAGAAGGGAGGAAGGAAAGGAGGAAGAGAGAATGGTAAAAGGGAAGAAGGCACAGAAACAAAGAAAATAAAGAGGCGAAGGAAGGAAGGAAAAAGAGGAAAGGGAGGGAGGAAGGAAGAAAAGGAGGGCGGGAGGAAGGGAGAAAAAAGGAAAGAAAGCAAGAAGGCGAGAAAGAAAGAAAGAATATGAGAAAGGAAGGAAGAAAAGGGAGGGAGAAAGGAAGGGAGGGAGGAGGGAAGGAAGAATAATAGGAAAGAAAGGAAAGAAGGAAGGAAGGAGAAAAAAGAAAAGAAAGAAAGGTAAAGAAAAAAGAAAAGAAAAGGAAGAGGAAAAGAAGAAAGGAAGAAAGAAGGCAAGGGAAGGGAAGAGAAGAGAAAGGAAGATGGAAAGAAAGAAGGAAAAACGCAAATATTAGAAATTCTGGGTTTGTTAGAGAATATGCCATACTGTTTTTTTTTTCACTTGAAAGGAAAGAGTATCTGCCATTGAAGATTGGATGTCTTTTTGGTGATATTGTTGTTCTTATCTTCCACATGATTACTGAGTTAGTGCCTAGTCTTTCCATTTCTAAGACAAAAGTGTTGATGTCGGCAAATATAGTTTCGGATTTTTCTAGTTCACCTTTTATTTCTTTCCTGTTTTACCTCATGTATTTGGAGGTTCTGTTGTTAGCTGCATACCCTAATTAGTAGGATGTTTACATCTTCTTGAGAATTGATGATTCTATTATCTATTATCTCTCATCTCTGATACTATTTCTTGTTCCGAACTCTGTTGTGTCTAATATCAATGTAGTCCTTCCACAGCCTTATTTTAGTGTTTCCATGATATGGCTTTCTCCATATCTTGATAACCTCTTTATATCTCTATATATTTGGAGCAAGATATAAAATTTAGACTTGATTTTTTAAAGATTTTTCAAGATGTGATTCTTATTTCTTTTGGTTCTATTTGACATTCTCTGAGTTTCCTATATTTGAAGTTTGATTTTCTGTCACTTCTTTTAGAATATTTTTGGCAGTTATTTTGAAAAATATTTCTTTTGCTCCATTATTTTTCCCTCTTTTCTTTTTGGGATTTCAATCATAACTAGAGTAGGTAATTTCATCTCAGTCTTATGCAGGTACTTTTTCTCAGGGTCTCAGGAATGTAGCCTTCTCACACTTCCGTTCTTTTCCTGGCTGTGTTGGTGAGCTCAGTGATATTCCTCCTTCACCTTCAAGAGCAGTTTTGTTTTGTTTTTCCTGTTTTCATACTCCCAGCATCAGGAGGATCCTAAGTGTGGCAGTTTTTGTTGCCTTCCCCTACATATTAAGTGGAATATCTTGCTCTATTTGGACTCTTATAACAAAATAACATAAACCGGGTGACTAAAAAACAACAGATATTTCTTTTTTCACACTTCTTGAGGCTGTAAGATCTCAGGTCAAGATGCTCACAAATTCAGTGTTGATGAGAGCCCATTTCATGGTTCATAGGTGGTGCCTGCTTTCTATGTCCTCACATAGTGGAAGGCACACAACAACTCCATTGAGCTTCTTTTATAAAGGCACTAATCCCATTCATAAGGGCTCGGCCCCCAAGACCTGGTCACCTCCCAAGTGTTCTGCTCTCCCTGATCTGTGTCATATACAGACTCTCTTGGATTCCTTACCAATTGCTTGAGAGATCGCAGTGGGTTTGTGGGGAAAAAGTTTTCAAGATGATGGATCTTTCCCAACTTCTGCAGCTGTCAGCGGTCTCCCAATCTCACCAGCCCCACTTTGCCTTTAGGAATTTATTGATTATTCCAGCTTTACTTGTCATAGTGGTGTCTATTTGCATCTGTCCTATGTAAGTGCATCCGTCCTCTTTCTCCTTGCAGGTGCTTGTTTTCCCTCACATTTTGACTCAGTTCTTGGCAACCTCGTTGCTATAAAAATAAAGTCATGACTTTGAAGTTAGTTTGGGTCTTTCATTGTTGTCAGGTTAGGAACCCTATTCCATCCCAGATCTCCAAAACCCAGACTTTTTGGGGGGTTGAAATTTTAGGGTTTCTCTTTGAATTGTAGTTTTATCTTCTTTCAGTTACCATTTGCATTTTCATAATGATTAATGAGACTAAGCTTTTTGTGTGTAGTTGACTGTACCTTTGGATTTTTTCCCAAATACCTTTTTATTTCTTCTTTTCTTTATGGTTTTAGAAAATGTAGTTTACATAATTGCAGCTTGATTTTTTTACTCAGTTAATGGCATGCCTAATGGAGAGAAAAATATTAAATATATTTCCCTTTTTAATTACTGTGCTTTTTTCTTTTCTAAGGAAATGTTTCATTATGTTAAATTTCAGTGTTATTCTACTTAGCTATTCCTTAAATATTATAGTATTTTGGATTTCACATGTAAATTTGTAACATATCTGGAGTTTATTATGTATAGAGTAAGGCTATTTTCTCTTTTTTGTTTTTTAAGGTAAAAATCACATAATATAAAATTAACAACCACCATTTTAAAGCATACAGTGCACTTGCTTTTAGCATATTCACAATGTTCCAGGGCAATTTCATCATGTCCCTTCCAAAAACCCATTATGCATAAAGTTATTACACCCTAATCTGCTTCCCTGAGCCCTAATGACCACTAATCTGATTTATATCCCAATTGATTTGCCAATTCCTGATGTTTCATGTGAATAAAATCAAGTAATATTTGTCCTTTTGTGCACTTAACAGAATGCTTTCAAATTTCACCAATATTATACCATATATAAGTACTTCATTCTTTGTTATAGCTGAAAATTGGGTGTCCATTTATGAGTCAACAAGCATATGGATTGTTTCCACTTTTTGACTGTATGAATATTACTGCTGAAAATATTCATGCACATGTTTATTTTTTGAGCACCTATGTTTTGTAAGATTAACAGCTGACTTAAGAGAAACAATGGAAGCAAGAGGCAGTAGAATAATATATTCAAAAGAGGCAAAGGAAAAAAAACTCTCAGCCACGAATTCCTTATCCAGCAATTATTTTTCAAAAATGAAGATAACACAGAGACTTACCCAGATAAACAGAAATATTAACTGACGTTGTTGCTGGCAGACCTACTATATTAAAAAAATCTCTAAAATAAATTCCTAAGGCTAAAAGCAAGTTACAGAAGACAGTCACTTGAATCCACATTTTTAAAAAAGCACTGGTACAGGTAATATTGACATTATAAAAGACAGTAAAAATACATTTTTTCTCTTTATCATAAATTGTTTATTAAATAACATGTGTATAATGGCCGGGCACGATGGCTCACACCTGTAATCTCAGCACTTTGGGAGGCCAAGGCGGGCGTATTACGAGGCCAGGAGATCGAGACCATCCTGGCTAACACAGTGAAACCCCGTTTGTACTAAAAATACAAAAAATGAGCCAGGCGTGATGGCAGGCGCCTGTAGTCCCAGCTACTCGGGAAGCTGAAGAAGAAAAATGGCATGAAGCCGGGAGATGGAGCTTGCAGTGAGCGGAGATTGTGCCAGTGCACTCCAGCCTGGGTGACAGAGGGAGACTCCGTCTCAATGATAATAATAATAATATGTGCAGAATGTATTGCTGAGTATTTGACATGTAGAAATGGAATACGTCTGTAACATATTTTCCAGTAACATCAAAAAGGAGGTAGTTGGAAGAAAAATGTATTGTGATAAGGTAATAACTCTAGATGGTAAAGTAATAATTACTAAAATGTATTGTTGGGTTTGTAACTTTAATAGATGTAATGTGTAAAGTGATAATACTTTAAAATGGAGGAAACAAAAGAGATTTATATAAGAATGATGTTTCTATGCATTACTAAAAGTTTACTAGTATAAATTGGAAGATGGTTTGAATAATTAATTTTCCATATACCTATATGGTAAACTTACAACAACAACAAAAATTCTCAAAAATATATAATAAAATAATTGATTAGTAATCTAAAGTTCCCTATTTTAGAAAATATGCTTTCATTGCAAAATAAAGCAATAAAGAAAAATATTTGAGAAATATATAAAACAAACGGTAAAATGGCAGACATAAATAGAATTATACCAATTATAATCTTAAATGTGAGCAGATTAAAATCCATTCCAGAGGCAGAGATTGTCAGACTGGATTAAAACAAGTGATCCCAATATACGCTGAGATGCAAGGATACTAATGGATTGAAAGTAAAAAGATGACAAAAAATATCATGCAAAGAGCAATCATAAGAACACTGAACTCATTATACTCATAACACACAATATAGACTATTACAAATGTGAATAGGATTTTAAAAATTTATATTGTAGTAAAAAGGGGGTCAACGCTTTAGGAAGACATAGCTATTACAATCATGTATGCACAGATAGGAGTTAAATTGTTTCCTCTATATAGATGCTGAAATTCTAACCACTGAATATGACCTCATTAGGAAATAGGTTCTTTGCAGCTGATCAAGTTAAGATACAATCAGATGAGCCTGAATTCAATATGACTGATGTCCTTGTGAAAAGAAGAAATTTGAGTAGAGGGAGACATACACACAGGGAGAGTACCATGTGATTATGAGGACAGAGATTAGCCAAGGAATGCCAAAGACTGCCACTAAACCACCAGAAGTGAGAAACAAGGCACAGAGCAGGCTTCCTCTCATAGCCCTTGAAGGGACCATCCCTGCTGACACCTCAATCTCAGACTTTTAGCTTCCAGGACTATAAGACTATAAGACTATAAATGTATGTTGTTCAAGGCACCCAGTTTGTGTTACTTGGTTATGGCAGCCCTAGAAAACTAATACATGAACTAATAACAAAGCATAATAACATGAAGCAAAAATTGACAAAAGAGGAGCATCAGCAAAATGGCAATGGAGACAGCTGCAATCTTTCATTTCCCCACAGAAACATCACACAACTAAGAGAAACTGTCCGAAGAAACTTCACCAAAGCTCTGGAAAATGGTCAAAAGATTACAACAACCAAGTGAAAGCAGACTCAAGAAAATGACAACTGGAAAACTTTATGACATTTTTAACTAGCCTTTGCCCCAGAAAATTGGCAGTCCTGAAGGGTCAGAAGCCCACGTTCCCAGTGAGGAAGCCTGGTCCATGGTCCAAAGGAACAAGAGATCTTACCCGCAAATTATTATGTGTCTGTTCTGACTATTCTGGGGGATACCTAAAGGACTCATGAAAGGCTTTTTTTTTTCTGTGTTGCTAGAATACAGAACAGATAAGGAATGGACATTATTAAGAAACTCTGCAAGGAGACCTAACAAACCACTGATGCTTAGGGCAAAAATTAAAGTTTACACATATAGTAGATCACCTTCAGCACAGCAAGAAAAGTTGGAGAAGAGTATTTCAAAAACTAAGACATACAAAATCATTCACGTACATGGGAGAGTCTACAAAGTCACATGTATTCATAGGTTAAGCCACATGCTGACAAATGTCATAAGAAGATCCTACACTTTTACCTTGGCCGATCCCTCCCCTCAGTGCAACCTCTGTGCAAGAATGAACTTGAACTTCATTCAGTGCAAGAGTGAACACACACTTTTCTCTGGCTTTAAAGAACCCAGCACAAAGCCAGTCTGCATGGCCTAGAGACATATTTTGCTGGACAATGATTACTTGCTTTTCTTTTTGTTTTTCTTTTATTTGCCTGTTTCATTGGTTCCTGACATACCAGAAAGTCACTGCCAAAACATTAGCTTAACATTTGTTAAGGAAACAAAAAGACTTCGGTGACCACACCTTATAAAGCAAATAGTTTTGTAAATCACTTAGGAAAATTTCACTAAAAAAAAAAATCCTTAACAATATAATAAGTAAAGAAAATTTAAAACCACAAAACATTACTGTGTTTGTAGGGGGGGGTCTGATTTACAGAGTAACCACATAGTAATTATAATTATTAGAATGTCCAGTTTTCAAAAAACGTTACAAGGCATACAAAGAATGGAAAAGTGTGGCTCATTCGAAGGAACAAAATTAATTGACGGAAAACATCCCTAAGGAAACCCAGACATCAAACTTACCAGACAAAGACTTTTAAACAACTCTCTTCATTATACTCAAATGTCAAAAGGAAAACATAAACAAAGAAATAAAGGAATCAGAAAAAATATTAAAAAGTAGGAATATCAGCAAAGAGATAACAGAAATTCTGGAGTGGAAAACTACAATGATAAAAATTTAAAAATCACCAGAGGGATTTAAGAGTATATTTGCACATACAGAAGAAGCCATGAACTTGAAGAGAAGAAAATGGAAAACACTGACTCTCAGAAACAGAAAGAATAAAAAATAAACAATGAGCAGAGACTAATGAATCTGTGGGACATCATCAAATAGACCAACATTCATATTCTAGAAGGATAAATTATGTTGTTAAAAAGTTTACCATTCTTTCTTTTCACTTTTCTTCCTTCCTCCTTCCCCCTCCTCCTTTTTACTTTTCTTCCTCTTCCTTTCTCTTCTTCTTTCTCTCCTTCATTATCCCTTTCGCTGTTTCTCTTTCTCCCTTTCTCTTTTTTCTTTTCTTTCAATTTTCTCAATTACTAAGAGATGTTTAAGTACCCTTACCATGTTAGTAGATACGGTTATTTCTCCCTTTAGTTCTCTTTTGAGATTTATAGTCACTCAAATAAAGAGATAACCCAAACATAAGCGTCACAAACAGGCTTTCATACCATTCTTAATTTGGTCCTGTAATTCTTCATTGCTGTATTAACTTTCTGATGCTTTTAAGGATGTTTTATAACAAATTGTGTAGCTTTTTCCAATGGAATGTTTATTCTGAATTATCTAATTCATATTGTAAGTATAGAGGGAGTTTAATATAAAATTATTAAACTAATATTTGTGAAAGAATGTATTTGTGCATTTAACATATATTTTAATCCTCAGACTGTTATTGGGCAGCTGAGCATACAGGAATAAAAATAACACAATTTTTATGTGTACAATATTTATGGAATACGTTACTGGACCCAATAAATAATTTAGTTAATAACATGACAAAGAACAGAAATTGTATACACTATAGAGCATAGTAATGGAATAATGAATGACTAAAGTTATTAATATTAGGTAGAAAATGAAGGGTATCTTTGAGAGCAGAACTCAAGGAAGCAAGCAATTCGCCTTAGGAGGAAAGAGTTACCTGTGGATAAAGGAGAAACTGAAAAATTCACAAGTCAAGACTTTTTGAGCAAAAACAAAAATATGACTATTAGTCACCAATTCAGTACAGTGAAAAAAAAGTTGAAGAGATATCTTGGAAGTAAACCATGTTGTGGAAGAGCATGTAGGGTTTTGACAATCATGGGATGATTCTGAATTAATTTTAAATGCGATAGGAATATATGAGATAATTTCACCAGAGAATAACATGATTGTGTTTGCATTTCAAAGGGGTGTATCTGGTGCACTGTGTAGAATAAATAGGTTATGTGAGCAAATAAATTGGGAGGCTACTCTCATCCAGAGAAAAAAGGTAGTGACTTAGGTGAGAATGCTGTCAGGATGAGTGGTAGTAGAGGTGAGAAGTCATTAGGCCATGGATGTATTTCATAGGACTGGCCAAGAGAACTGCAGCTAAATTGGAGTGTAGGGAGTGAAATGGAGAACTCAAAGATGACTCTCAGCAATGGAAGGTGACAGCTGTCACTGAAGCATGCTGATGCCTCTTATTAAGAGAGTTACTTGGGAATGGCAAGATCAAAACTTCTCACTTTCAAATTTATGAAAAATATTGTTTTCAGAACGAATGACTTTGGGATCAGAAAGCCACCATTCTAATTGATGGTTCCACGACTGCACGGGCTCACACTCCCAAGAGCAAAAGTAAATCATCACAAAGGTGCTTCTTGATAATTCTAGAGAATGGAGAATTACTGTAACATCTTTCTGATTTTAGGAGAGGTAGCAGTTCCCTTTTTAGCCTAAACGCTATTTTTTTTTAAAGCTCAGCCAAGAGACTCCATTATAATTTTCAAATGTGTGTAACTTAAATTCTCATATGAAATACCACTATGCTTAAATTAGTCAAAACATTTTCCCCATCTACAACTCTATCTTGTCATTGCAATCATTTTCGCAAAAGTGACTGCAGCTCACAGACCCTAAAACGAGAAAATCCAGGGTAGGTTATCTGATCTAGTTAGTTTCGAAGACAGGATCTAGAGATTATTTAATATGAAACAGGTCACCTGAAATGAAGTGTTTACTGAAAACAGCTTGGATCAACCCAGTTTTCTACCACTGAACCATGCATTTGGTTTAAAAAACACAACAACTCTGGGGAATATCGGCTGCTTCCAACTGTGTTGAAGGTGTTAAAGAAAAGGGCATACAATTTAAAATGATCATCTGAGGCCTTTATAGTCTCTGCTCAAGAGACTAGAGTCTTCCATTCTTAACGAAACACCCAAATATCTTAATAATTGGGCAAAATCTAAATATCAGAGATAATTTTATCTTGAAGATTGTTAAATTATAACGGTGATTCACTACCTTGCCACGTCTCTGAGTCAAAAATTAGGTCTTTGTTTAGGAATCAATCATAATCTGCAATTTGGAAATAGGAAGATTTTAGAAGACTCAGACATTGACTTTCTTGTGTGCAAAAAAAAAGATGTATTGAGATAAGACAAGTCTTTCCTTGCAAGGATACCTCTAATGCTCATACACCACCTCCCCTAACGTTAATATAGCTTCCAGGTCACTAACCAGTGTCAGAGAGCAGCCCATGCAACTAGAAATTCAAAAGATGTCGAACATAGGGTCAAGCTTAGAATAAGACGTCTTAGCTAATTAAGTATGCTTTTTTCCCGAAATTCATATTAACAAAATCTTGGATATGTCAGAGAATGCATTCTAAGTTCACTCAACCTAGGAGGGAGAAACATAATTTTAAATTAAGAGCTGAAGCATTCTTGTCCTAACAGAAAGCAAGGAAAACGAAATATCACACCACAGGAGGGATTTCACAAATTAGTGTCAACATCAAAACCTTAAAATAGACAAGGAGAATGGAGATTCAAATGAACTCTTGTACTTTTGTTCAGAGAAGAGATGGTTCTGAGAGAATGACAGTGAACTCACCCCAGCTGGTTTAGTTGGTGCTTTCAACTGCTGCTTCTGATCAACTCCTTTAGCTAGAATAAACTGATGAGGATTTTGGCATGTGGTATTAGCGATGGTTATTAATTTTTTCCTCTTATTTGCATTGTTCAATATAGTAAATACTAGCTGTATATGGCTACTTCAATTCAAATTAATTACAATGAAATATACTTAAATATTGAATTTTTTAGTCACTCTTGGTTCATTATTGAATATCTTCAGCTAAGATTTCCCAACGAAAGACACTAAGAGCTGGCTTAGTTAACTGGTCGTCCACAAATATTGAAGCTGTTGTTAACTCCTGATATATTCTCTGCAAAGAGAATATTCATGAGCCTCCTCCTGAAATCAGCAGCCTAGAGATAGTTTTATAAATGGGATACAAGTTGGAAATCTATATACTCTTTAAGTGTTTGAAATATTAGCTTCCCAGGGAAGAAAATCAAATTCATAAGATATGTTAGGACAATTTAACTCAAGATGTTCAAAACTGAAATGACATATTCTACAACATGTGATAAAACCACCCCCTAACAACTTAAAGCAAAACAGGGATGGACCTTAAAGACCTGCCTTTTCCTCATCCCCCAGCCAATCAGTTTTCAAATCTTGCATTTTATTTTGAAAGGTCCTTATACCCCTGGTCTCTTGTTTCTAGACTTGGCACATATTTAAGTTTGTTACCTCTCTCTACTGACTTTTCTCTCTTCAAACAGTATCTATGCCTGCCAAATGTGAACATACAAAAAACAAATCAGAATGTGCCATTCTGATTTAAACTGCTTATTAATTAATACCCTCAAGATAACATCTGGGTTCTTAGCTTCAATGAGTCAAGCCTACTTACATCTTTTTTTGTCTTTGGCTTCACATTTCCTATCACATCCCATTCCAGCAATGCCAAGCTGTGCCGGCCTTCTACCCCATCTCCATTATTTTGCCCACCCGCCGCCGCTGCTTTTTGACCCCCCGCCGCCGCGGCTTTTTGCCCCCCCTGCCGCCGCGGCTTTTTCCCGCCCCGCCGCCGCGGCTTTTTCCCCCCACCGCGCCTCCGCTTTTTGCCCGCCGCGGCTTTTTGCCCCCCAAGCGCCAAGGCTTTTTGACCACCGCGGCTTTTTGACCTTCGCCTCTGCGAATTTTGCCGCCGTGGCTTTTTGCCCGCCGCGGCTTTTTCCCCCAACTGGTGCAGCGGCTGTTTGCCCCCTGCCGCTTTTTGCCCCCCGCCGCTTTTTGCCCCCCCCGCCGCCGCGGCTTTTTCGCTGCCATGGCTTTTTCCCCCCTGCCCCCGCGGCTTTTTACCCGCCGCGGCTTTTCGCCCCCCCGCCACCGCGGCTTTTCACCAGCCGCAGCTTTTTGTCCCCCGCCGCCGCGGCTTTTTGCCCGCTGCGGCTTTTTGGCCCCCCCACCGCCGCGGCTTTTTGCCCCCCGCCGCTTTTTGCACCCCGCCGCCGCCGCGGCTTTTTCCCCCCTGCCCCCGCGGCTTTTTACCCGCCGCGGCTTTTTGCCCCAACCCCGCCTCGGCTTTTTACCCCCCGCCGCCTCGGCTTTTTGCCCCCACCCTGCCTCGGCTTTTTGACCTCCGCGGCTTTTTTCCTCCCGCCGCCGCGACTTTTCGCCCTCCGCCGCCGCGGCTTTTTGCCCTTCGCCGCTGCCGCGGCTTTTTTCCCGACCAGGCTTTTTGCCCCACCGCCGACACAGCTTTTTGCACCCTCGCCGCCATGGCTTTTTGCCGCCGCGGCTTTTTGCCCGCCGTGGCTTTCTGCCCCCACGCCGCCGCGGCTTTTTGTCCCCGCCGCCGCGGCTTTTTGCTGCCGCGACTTTTTGCCCCCGTCGCCGCCGCTTTTTGCCACCGCGACTTTTTGCCCCCGCCGCCGAGGATTTTTGTCCCCGCCGCCGCGGCTCTGAGGGCGGGAGCAGCAGACTCGGCTGCCGGCTCTACTGGCGTCCTGGCAAGGGCAGCGACCAGGGGTGCTCCTGGTCCAGCTCTCCTGGCTCAGGGATTCCTTGCCTAGGCGCCGGCGCCCCGGGCTCCTTGCCTAGGCCCCTGTGGCCTGCATAGAGTGGCGCTGCCTGCGGAGGCGATGGGAGAGAATAAGGAGGGCGGTGGCGGGGGTGATGCGGCGGCCACGGAGGGTGGCGCAGGGGCTGCGGCCAGCCGGGCGCTGCAGCAGTGCGGGCAGCTCCAGAAGCTCATCGTCATCTTCATTGGCAGCCTGTGCGGGCTGTGCACCAAGTGCGCTGTGTCCAATGACCTCACCCAGCAGGAGATACAGACCCTGGAGGTAAGGGGTTCGGGGACCCGGGCTGGGCTCCAGGAGTGGCCTGGACACCTCCTTCGGGGCCCCAGTTCACTCCTGGCTGAGTTGCATCCTTGAGCCCACGTCACCCCCTTGGAGGCTTCCCCTCCCTCCTGCACTCGCTGACGCGGCAGCCAGAGGACCCGGGACCAGCCCTCACCTTGGGCAGGATTTGTGGAGCAGGTGCGTGGTGGGAACTGGGATGGAGGCTCCAGGGTCCCGTGGGGGTGGGGGTGGGCTGCGCGAGGACATCCCCTTACCCCCTGAATTTCCATCTGGTCCAGCCCTCTCATCTTGTAGGTGAGGAAACCGAAGGCCTGAGGGAGAAATGACTTGCCAGGAACCCCTGTTAAGGAAAATTAACAAAGTGTGGTTATTAAAGAAGAACTGAGTTGGGAGTCAGACCTGGAGGCCCCCACCCTTAGGTAAGACATTATACCACCTTGAGTCTGGCCTGTTGACTGAGGGTGAGCCACTCCATCCTCATGTGATTGTGGGGTCTTAACCTCAAGGGGTTTCCTGCAGGAAGAAGCAAATGGGTTTGCTTTCCTAGCTCTGTCCAGTACGTTAGGGACCCTGAGGACTGAAGGGATTCTTGGAGAGCCATCTGGTGTATGTCATGGGTGGGTCTTTTTTGAAGGTCAGTCTGCCCAGTGGGCTGGCTCAGCCCGAATGAACTGTCTTGAATCTTTGGAGTTGTCTGTGTACTTTTAAGGGCTTCTCAGCTGTGCCCCAAAAGATCCCCCTGGAAATTAGGTGGGAAAAACCTTAACTTTTGTGGGGCCCTGTGTTTGTCTTAAAAGTTCATGCACATAGCCAGGTGTGGTGGCTCCCACCTGTTATCCTTTCCTGGATCCCTTGAGTCAAGGAGTTTGAGACCAACCCGGACAATATAGTGAGACCCCATCTCTACAAAAAAGAAAATATTAGCCAGGGGTGGTTGTGCGCATCTGTAGTCCCAGCTACTACTGTGGCTGAGGCGGGAGGAGCACTTGATCCTGCACTGAGCTGTGATCTCACCAGTGTACTCCAGCCTGGGCCACAGAGCAAGACCGTGACTCAAAAAAAAAAAAAGACAAGAAAAATTCTTCAACATTTTGCATTCTGTCCCACTATCCATTGGTTTTCATGTCAAGATTATGTCAGAAATTCTTTACAATTGCTTCCAGAAGGAGTAGCCTTTTGATCTAGTGCACAGGTGTCCAGTCTTTTGGCTTCTCAGGGCCACATTGGAAGAAGAATGCTCCTGGGCTGCACATAAAATACACTAATGCTAACAACAGCTGATGAGGTTAAAAAAAAAAAAAAGGTTTGTGCATAATTTTCATGCTACCCACCACCACAGATAGGTGGAAAAGTCCTTGTAGTCAAAGGGTTGGACACGGCTGATCTAGTGTCTTGTCGTCAGTTTTGGCTTTCTCCCTGATTCCAGAATGCAGGTAGAGATAACATGGTCTCAGGACAGCTGTTGAGATAAAAAAATTCGTTGTCATTTATTCCCAAGCACAGCTGTTTCTCATTGCATTGAAAAAGTCTCCATTCAAACTGCTGTCACATATAAAATCTACTTATGTAAGTCTGTATATTTCTGTTGTCTTGGCCTTTGTAGGCAGTAGTGTGTTTTAACCGAGCAAACTGTCCTTCCAAATAATGAAGCCGAAGTCAGCCTACCTACTTTCCATTTTTCTTCCCCTTCCATTTTTGTAACCTCAGAATAATTGTAAGAATGAATTAAGATTTGTGTTTAAGGCCAGACACAGTGTCTCAGGCCTGCATTCTCAGCACTTTGGGAGGCGGAGACAGCTGTATCGCTTGAGCTCAGGAGTTGAAGACCAGCCTGGGCAACATACTGAGACTCGGTCTTGTATAATTTAATTAAAATTGAAAAAAAGAAGATAAAAAGACCTGTGTTTAAAATTTTTAAAAAAGGGGGGAAAGTGTAATGCAAAATGTGGACTATGCCAGCTATGATTGGGAAAACTAGTTTTTCATACAGCATTATCTGTAGACTTGTATTAGCAGCATACTGGTCATATGCGTTTTGCTTTCCTCAAATATGATGAGGTAAGCTAATTTAAAGTGTGTTGGGGCTTTCTGCCGCGTGGCTTCTGGAGGTGTTGAGTCCCAATTTAGCCAATTAATTTGGGTTTAGTTTTGACATGGATAAGGGAGACCAGCTTCATTCATGGTGTACACACAGTTTTGCCAATAAGGAAAAAGAAAAGCCACCTGAATGTTCCTACTCATTAAATGCTATCTGGAGAGCTCCTACCCCACCCCCACCAAGGCCCGGGCCATTAAAAAGACTCAATGCAGCCTTTCTGGATCTCATACTGTATTCTGCAAGATACTCCTGTGAAAGAAAATTGTGCTGCATCAGCCATCTCCCTCCTGAAGATCCCTGCGGATGAGGATTTGTGTTTTGAAAGTTCTGAGAATTCCTGCAACAACAATTCTCAAACTTATTTGTCCAGGGGATCTTTTCTTCCACTGAATGTAGTTGGGGAGACACGGCCTTAAGCCTTGAGCAGAGAAAGAGACAAAAAACTGTTGGCTCACTTACAACCAAGTGTTGTGTTTATGTTTTAGGTTTTTATGAAACTGAGGTGCTGTTTGAGGTTCTAAATGAAATTGGGTGGTTGAAGAGAGGCTGGTATCCGTGTAGACTTAACCAGCCATGAGAAGTTGCCTTTTGTTGAAGGAGGTGTTTTACAAAGGGAAATAGGGTGTTTCCTGGGCATCGCATTAGCAATTAAATACATGTATCAGTGAAATGAAATGAAATGATGAGATGATGAAATGAAATGATGAAATGATGAAATGAAATGATGAAATGAAGAAATGAAATGAGATGAAATGATGAAATGAAATGGAATGATGAAAAATGATGAAATGATGACATAAAATGGTGAAATGAAATGAAATAATGAAATGAAATAATGAACTGAAATGAAATGAAATGATAAAATGATGAAATGAAATGAAAAGATGAAATGATGAATTGAGGAAATGATATGAAATGATGAAATGAAATGATGAAATGAAGTGAAGGAAGAAATGATGAAAAAATGAAATTAAATGATGAACTAATGAAATGATGAGATGAAAAGGTGAAATGAAATGAAATGATTAAATGAAATGAGATGAAAAGATGAAATGAAATGATGAGATGAAATGAAATGATGTGATGAAATGATGAGATGAAGTGAAATGATGAAATGAGATGAAATGAAATAAAGCAATGAAGGATGATATGATGAGATGAAGTGAAATGATGAAATGTAATGAAATGATGAAATGTAATGAAATGATGAAATGGAATGATGAAATGAAATGATGAGATGAAATTGTGAAATGAAATGAGGAAATGAAATGGAATGATGAAATGATGAAATGAAAAGATCAAATGGTGAAATGAAGAAATGACATGAAATGATGAAATGAAATGAAATGATGAAATGAAGTGAAATGATTAAATGATGAAATAATGAAATGAAATGTAATGATGAAATGATGAATTGATGAAATGATCAAATGAAATGACGAGATGAAAAGATGAAATGAAATGAAATGATGAAATGAGATGAAAAGATGAGATGAAATGATGAAATCATGAGATGATGAAATGATGAGTTGAAGTGAAATGATGATGAGATGATGAAATGCAACAATGAGAAGAAATGATGAAATGAAATAATGAAAGGATGAAATGATGAGATGAAATGATGAAAGGATGAAATGAAATGATGAAATGAAATGAAATGATGGAATGAAATGATGAAGTGATATGAAATGATGACATGAAGTCAAATGATGAAATAAATGAAATGATGAAATGAAATGAGATGAAATGAAATCATGAGATGAAATGATGAAATGAGATGTAGTGAAATGACGAAATGAAATATTGAGATGAAGTGATGAAATGAAATGAAACAATGAAATGAAGTGAAATGAAATGAGATGAAATGAAATGATGAAATGAAATGATGAAGTGAAATGATGAAATGAAAAGATCAAATGGTGAAATGAAGAAATGATATGAAAAGATGAAATGAAGTGATGAAATGAAGTTAAATGATTAAATGATGAAATAAATGAAATGATGAAATGATGAATTGATGAAATGATCAAATGAAATGAGATGAAAAGATGAAATGAAATGATGAAATGACGAGATGAAAAGATAAAATGAGATGAAATGATGGGATGAAATGAAATCGTGAGATGAAGAAATGATGAGATGAAATGATAAAATGATGGAATGACGAAATGCAACAATAAGAAGAAATTATGAAATGAAATAATGAAATGAAAGGATGAAATGAGATGAAATGATGAAAGGATGAAATGAAATGAGGAAATGAAATGAAGTGAAATGATGGAATGAAAAGATGAAATGATGAAATGATATGAAATGATGACATGAAGTCAAATGATGCAATGATGAAATAAATGAAATGAAATGGTGAAATGAAATGAGATGAAATGATGAGATGAAAAGATGAAATGATGAGAGGAAATGAAATGAGACGAAATGAGATGAAATCATGAGATGAAATGATGAAATGAGATAAAGTGAAATGACGAAATGAAATGTTGAGATGAAGTGATGAAATGAAATGATGAAATGAAATGAAACAATGAAATGAAGTGAAATGAAATGAGGTGAAATGATGAATTGATGAAATGAGATGAAAAGATGAAATGAAATAATGAAATGATGAGATCAAAAGATGAAATGAGATGAAATGAAATGAGATGAAATGAAATGATGAGATGAAATGAAATGATGAGATGAAATGATGAAATGATGAGATGAAGTGAAATGATGAAATGAAATGAAAGAATGAAATGAAATGATAAAATGAGATGAAATGATGAAATGAAAGGATGAAATGAGGAAATGAAATGAAATGATGAAAAGAAATGAAATAATGAAATGAAATGATGTAATAGATGAACCAAAAATACTTATTCACTTTTTTTCTTGGCATCCTTCTTAGAGTATTTTAGTGAGGTTAATTTCTAAAAATAAATTGCTATTCAATGGCTATACAGTTGGCCTTTGCACCACAGGGGTTTGAACTGTGCACGTCCACTTAGCAAAACCAACAATTCTTCATCCTTATCCACACCCTGCCCATGAAAAGGATGAGGATGAAGACCTGTTTGATCATCTACTTCCATTTAATAACTAGTAAATCTATTTTCCTTATGATTTTCTTTTTTCTTTTCTCTGGCATGTTTGTTAAGAATACAGTATATAAGACATATAACATATTAAATATGTGTTAATTGTGTTATTTGTAAGGCTTACAGTAGGCTATTAGTAGTTAAGTTTTGGGGGAGTCAAAGTTATAGTGGATTTTCTACTGTGCAGGGGGCAAGCACCCCAACCTCCGTGTTGCTTAAGGGTCAACTGTACATGTTATTTCCTTTCCTGTAAGAGAAAAATGATGAGAAGGTCTTTTCTCCAATAAGTGTCTTCAAAATTTAGCAGATGTGAAATGTGTTGGCGCCACCATTTTGCGTCTCACTTTGAAAACTTATTATTTAAAATCGTACTAAAGCCTACCTTACTTTTCCAACCTTAGAAAAAATGTTCCAAAGAAAAGGGGTGAAACCATGCTAGTTTGCCCTGAAATTTGAAATTATCTTTTAAAAATATATTTTGACATTAATTACTTCCAAACTAGAGATCAGTTGCATACAAATGGCAGGTCACCCTAATCCACCCTATGACTGCACTTAGATTCATGAGGGATTGTGCCATCTAGAAAGGGCAGAGAGGAGGAATAGAGTGCTCTGCGTCTTGAAATATAAACATGCACATAGCCACATGCTTTGATTCTGTTGTCACTGTGTACTTACTGCTAGGAAGAGGGCATGTTTGTGTATTTTTATGCAAATTATTATCCAAGTTGTTAATGATTTACGCTTTCAGAACCATATAAAGATTCTTTTCCTTTCAGATATAAACTATCTTGCATTGTTCTTCTGATCATATGAGGGATAAATTTGCCTAAATATTCTTCAGACCATAATAGTATGTCCATATAAATGCCAGTAGCAAGAGTAGAATCAACCACAACTGCCTTAGTAATTATTTAAAGCATGTCTGCCTATAAGTAATTGGCATTTTATATAATCAAGAATCTTTGATATAATAATCTCTCAACTATTTGAAACACGGCTCATATGTATTAATTTTTTAAGCAAATATATATATAATATCAGTGTATATGAAACTAAATTTTGGACTTTAGAACAGCTTCTTAGAATCCTGACTTAAATGTCTACAGTAATAGTTGGCTTAAAAAAATTTAGCACACTGTCACTATGATGAAAAAAATTACTATAAAATATTTAAAAATTTTTTCCACCCTAACATTTAGAATATTCTCACATTTGTGGTTAAAACCTATTGTGATTGTTCTTAGAAGTTAGATAAAAAATGTTCCAGAAAGATTGAAGAGAAGCACTTTAGTCAATTTTTAGTTGTTGAAGCATGAAGAAATGGCATTTCATTGACATTTTAAAAATTATTCAGATTCCCTCTTTGAATTCAAGAGTTTCAAAGATATCTTATTTTAAAATACCAAAATAGGAATAGAATATGAAGGGCTGGTTATGAGTAATATGATACAATTTTATGAGATGACGAGATTACAATAACAATACCTCCTCTCATAGAATAGCCAGCAAGTCTCCACTAAATAACAGTGCCTTGATTTTATAGATGTTTAATCATGGATATTGAATTAATGTGAACCATTTGTAGACACAGGAGTTTATTAAAGACTTATATAATATCTTTCAAGTATTTAGAATAGTGTTGAAATTAAGCCTGCATCCCCACGATTTTCAGCGGTGCTGATGCCTAATAAACTCAACCCCTTGCATGCCAAAATTGGCTTAAAGCCCATCTGTTACCCAAGCTACACTTCAAGCATCAAGGTTCAAAAATGTGATTTTGAATATGCAAGAGTTTGAGGAATTCACTACTCACACTTTCTTGAACAGTCTATCCAAGTGCATCAAGCAAAATGTGAGTAAAGAAATTTTGACCAAAGGATTGATAGTAATGTTGAATACATTTAATAGTAGATCTAAGATTAAAAGGTGAAAGTGAAGGTGAGAAGAGTGTATGAATGCTTTGTGTTCTGACAAAGAGAATGTAGCACCCAGGTCCTACCTGCTTGGATGCATTGCCAGTGCCCACGGTAGGCCATTTTATCCAGGTTTTTAGGTTTTGTCTTGTTTTGTTTGGTTTTTTCCTTTTAAGGAGTGTTAGTCCAAGACCAATAACTCTGTAACTGGTAGATTTGGAAGACTTTAATAGTGCTTAACATTTTGTACATAGCTTTATAACAGTTTTCTTTTTCTTTTTTTCTGAGAGATTCTTTTCAATATACCCCTTCATGGTTGAACTCAAAAATCATTGCTTATTTAAAAACTACAACTGCTGACGTTTTGTAACGTTCGCATTCCAGGTAATTGCTTTTTTGTGCATTTTCTGTATTTTTCTCCATCAGTCTCCCTAGATATTTGTTAGATTTAATATTTTAATATTTTTCTGAAGAAGTGAGCTTTTGTATTTTTAAATATATACCCAGTTGCTTTAATTCTTCTTTTTCGTGTACTATTTCCTCGTTGTTTTTTTTTTTTTTTTTTTTTTTTGACACGGAGTCTTGCTCTGTTGCCCAAGCTGGAGTGCAGTCGCGTGATCTCTACTCACTGCAACTTCCACCCCCCACGTTCAAGCAATTCTCCCACCTCAGCCTCCCGAGTAGCTGGGATTACAGATGCATGCCACCATGCCAGGCTAATTTTTGTATATTTAGTAGAGAGTGGGTTTCACCATGTTAGACCAGGCTGGTCTCGAACTCCTGACCTCAGGTGATCCACCTGCCTCGGCCTCCCAAAGTGCTGGGATTACAGGCGTGAACAATGGCGCCTGGCTATCTCCTTCATTCTTTATGTTTATTTTACTGGTTTTATCTCTCTCTCTCTCTCTGTTTCTCTCCTTCTCACATTCACTTTGCAGTTGTCAAATAGCCCAGGTGATGTTACAGATTTACTCCTTATAAAAGGAGGCATTACACATTACACATGCATCTTAGTGGCCTTACAAAAGTGTTTGGTTTATTTGTATTGACTATTCACCTTTAAAATATTTCAATATTCATTAAAATAGCTTCCAACCAATATTATTACACTTATGTTTCTAACTTTCATTTTTGTATTGATATCTGCCTTCATTTCTGTTTGTTTAGGAAATATATTCTGTGTCACGTTATTTCCGTGAAAATTGTTTGAATTTGTGGTATGGTCTAGAAAATGTTAATTTTTGTATGTATTCTGTATGAACATGAAAATAACATGAATTATAATATTCATGTTCCTTATATAATATTTGCCCTTTTTAAAATCCACTAGCTTCTTTTGAAACTTACTCTTTAATTTTTTCTTTTATCTATTGCTGAAAGACGTGTGTTTGAAATGTCTATAATATTTGGGGGCTTATCCATTTCTACTTACTTTCTGATATTTTTGCTTTATATAATTTGACTCTCTCTCTAAATACGTGTGTGTCTGTGTGTGTGAGAGTGTGTGGTTTGTGTGTCTATATATATGTATGTATCAGGCTAATGCACATTTAAGTCATCACATCTTCTTAATAACTTAAAACTTTTATCACACTGGTTAGACTAACTTATTTTAATAAATGTTTCTAACTTACATTCTATTTTGTCTACATAGCAACTTTTTAAAAAATTATATTCATGTAGTATGTTTGTATGTATATCATATATACACAGTATCTGTATTGTTTGAACTTCAAAGTTTCTGTAAATTTATATATTAGTTGTGTCTCTTATAACTATGATAGAGACGGATGTTTTAAATTTTGCCAATCTTTGTATTTTAACAAAAACATTGTCTACTTAGGTTTAAGTTAATCTTTGATCATTTATACTTAATTTTGTATTATTAATTTGTTGTGTATATATATATATATATAATGTCTCATTTTCTCCTATCACTTTCTGTCTTCTTGTTTTAAAATTATGACTTTTATTTTTATTGTTTTCATAGATACAACAGAGAAATGCATAATGTCCAGTCAATTTATTAAAGTTCCAAAGTCGGTCGCGCGCAGTGGCTCACGCCTGTAATCTCAACACTTCGGGAGGCCGAGACGTGTGGATCACGAGGTCAGGAGTTGGAGACTAGCCTGACCAACATGGTGAAACCCCGTCTCTACTAAAAATACAAAAATTAGCCAGGCATGGTGGCACGCGGCTGTAATCCCCGCTACTCAGGAGGCTGAGGCAGGAGAATTGCTTGAACCTGGGAGGCAGAGGTTGCAGTGAGCAGAGATGACGCCACCGCACTCCAGCCTGGGAGAAAGAGTGAATGAGACTCCTTCTCAAAAAAAAAAAAAAAAAAAAAAAAAAAAAAAAAGTTGCAAAGTCATACCTTTCTGCTCTTGTCAGACAATTAAGGGGTCTTTGAATACTTCAGCTCTAATAATTTCCTTCCTAACATACATATTGCAGTGCTTATCTAATTTTAAATATCCTTTTGTTTCAACACCTAATTTTCTATTTTGATCTATCTGTATGTTTACAATATATTTTGCTCTGTGTTCATTCTTTGATTTCAGAACTTCAATCTTTCTGAAGCGTGTTTTCAGTTTCGTTTGAGTTTCTTTAGTGGAATTCTGCTGGTGGTGTTTTGTTTTTTGTCTCTAAATATGTTATTTAGCCATAGGTTGATGAATGTTTTTCTTGGTTGAGAATTTCAGAATGGCATTATTATTCTTAACAAATAATATTGTTTATTTTACCTTTCATGCTTTCAGATTTCAATATGATTAAAGGTAATTTGATTTTTCTAGTGCTAATTGAAATATTTTTCCCTTCCTGATTGTTTACTATTTCTCTAGGAGATATGTAGATGTAGGTTTATCTCCATCGTAGCTTGCTTAGCATGCATAGAAGTTTTGAATATGTGGATTAGTGTCTTACAAAAGTCTAGAGAACTTTCAGCCAAAATACCATCACATATTGTCCCTTCCCTGTTCCCTTCCTCTATGAGAACACTCACTAAACACATGCTACACTTTCTCACTGTATCTTCCATGTCTCTTCATGATTCTGTCCACATTGTGCCTTTTTTAAAATTTTCTGTAATGCATTCTGAAATATTTATGAACTCTCACCATGGCCATGTCTAATCTGATGAGTTCATTTTTGAGTTTTTAATTTAAAATACTATATATAAACTACTTTTCAAATTTACTACATCAATTTTTTAGTCTCCTAAAAATATATTCATTTTTTTTTAATTTTTTGAAAGCAAATGTGCTTTATAATCTAACAGTGATATTTCTACTAATGAACCTTTGTGGATCTGTTTGTACTCTTTTTCTGCTTTCCTTTCAAATGGTGGAATATCATTTCCTTGCGTACTTAGATGCCTTTGAATGACAAAGATTTATTTTTCTCTGAAAATTATTATTGTGCACTTTTGCATATTAGAAGAAAATTTGCCAAAGAGAATTTGAATTTTTTGTGAGTCTACTAAAGGCACCACCATTCTGGGACCACATTATATTAATTCTTGGCCTAAAGGTGTTTGGACGTATGTTTGGACAGCACATTTAAACAATTTTTAAATTAATTGCTGTAAATCATTAATGATTGAGTTGCTTTAAATCTGTCCAATCTCAAGTCATTTTTATTTGCCATTTCCAGGGAATGTGAAATGAGACTAATTTACCTCTGATTCTTCTTTAGACTGAGGATATAAATTTTGGTTCTAGCTTTAGGGAAGAGCTCCTGTGTGATGCCCTATCTTGGGAAACACTATGTATTTCTTTACTGTCCTATGTGATGTATGACAGTAGGAATCTGCAGTCATTCATTTTGCTACATGTCCGTAGGGCAAAATCAGTTTCAGTGTTTAGGTGTATTTTGTCTGCTCCCTGCATTCCCATGGTTTTGACCTTATATTTTACTTTTTTTTTGTGAACGTACCAATGCTTCAATTTTTTTCCAGTAATATAATCAACTATACTATAAGAGAAAAATTTTGATAAAACACAAATTTCATGTTTTCCTACTCTAATTGGCTTTTACGTAAAAATACAGGTAAAATTTATTTGTGCTTTTTTGCTATTATTTTTTGCTATTCTCTGTTTGTCTATGTCTTCACCACATAGACACAATTAGGGAATTTTGTACACTCTTGTGCCAACTGCTTTGATAGGAACAAAATGTATTTCTCGAACTCCTAGGTATAAAACTCAAGTATCCATGATTGAAATTCTTTTTTGCTCACTTCTATTATGTTTCCAGTCTCAATAGAAATCGATGCCAATCCAGAAATACAAGCATTATTCTAATACTTCTCACACATTACTGGTATAGATTAAATTTTCTAGATCTCCTTAAATACTATCATTTTTCACTATTTGTATATTCACTGTTAAGTTCAACATTTTCTGTAATATTAATATATTGTGAAAATTTCCTTTCTTCCTTATTTGTCCCAGGTTCAATGTTTTGCAGTCTCTACCTCACCCTGTGAAGCATAAACATTGTACATGCTGTACAAATAATACATCGTTCATGTACTTAGAGATTGCACAATTTTCATTTGGTTGACAATAGCTAATGTTTTCTTCTTCATTTTCTATTTCCTGATTTTTCTTTATTTAGTATATACTACATTGTCATGAAAATAAGAACGTTTTACAAACTAAAGCAAAAGCAACCCTAGGAATAAAATGCACAAATAAAATATATAAACATACATTTAGATGTACCACGTACCCTTGTAATTTATTTAGACTTTTAATTTTAGTACAATTTTAATTAAAGTCTGTGTATTATCTGTCATCGTCTTAGTATTTTTTATATAACAAATAGTGTAAATCAAAAAGTCTCAATGTCATTATAAAGTATCTTGGCAGAGGTTGATCTCCAAGGAATAATTTCTCTCCTAAATTATGCCAATCCAAATTTCACTCTACCGTAATACTTTTAATCAGTTTCAGAGGAATAATAAATTTCAAAATTGTTCAAGGTACTTCTTTTAGTTCAAGTACCTTTTGACAGGTGTAAAACTGTAGACAGACTGATACATACATATTCTAATTGACTCAAAATTATATGGGACCTATTTTAAAATCTAGATTTTAAAATGTGTCAACATACACATGTTCTCCTTGTGAAATAATTGCTTTATATTCTCTGGATAGAATAATTTAATCTTTAAACCTTCCATTCACTCTTAGAAACAAAATACTACATAAGGATATGCTTATAAAAATAATTCCCAACTAGCTTTTCAGTTCAGAAATATATGTGAAGAATCATCAAACATCTAATGGATTTCAAGGAGAAATGGGTTAGTAATTTATTCCATATGTCTCAAATTTTCCTAGACTCAAGGCTTCCTTTAAAATAATTGTAGGCGTTTAAGAAACCATGTAAACTAAAAAGAAGAAATTGTGACGCTGCCGCTTAGTCTTTTTAAGTCTTTGGACATGATTCAATATATTTTTTAAATTGTATCTTAATTAGACATTGTGAGTTCACCATCTTCCTGTCAATATAGCATCCAAGCTGATTATCATAGATTACAAGTCCAACTATCAACTGTGTTCTGAGAGTCTAAAAAAATAAATGAACGTATTTGTTTGGGTATTCTTAAAGCAGGAGTGAGGACACAGCGAAAGTGAGACAAGGAAAAGAGAACAAAATAAAACAGGAAAGATAGAAAAGCCAATACCACACGTGTTAAGAGGTAAGTTCCTGTGTTAGATATCTGGGCTTAATTTTATGGGAAGCTATGTGGAGCATGCCTCAGAATTACATCACTGAATCCAGGGAGATTCTTCTTAGCTACCCTCACCTTTTCTTCCCACTTCATGCCCAGTAACAAGCTCCCGTGCTGCTAGAGAAAGTCCTCAGCTAGAAACTGGTGCAAATTCTGGAGATGAGACCTTGTAGAGTGTTAAGAATGGTTTTCTTCCCAGCAGCTACAGGTAAGGAATAGGGGCTGGGCTATTAATACATCTGCTACAAACCAATAAAGCCCTTATGCTCCTTTTGGTGATCGACAATGTATTTAAAAATATTAGATGATCAAGAAGGACTGCAGAAAGGAGGAAACAGAAACAAACAGCACACCTCTTGGTTTATTTGTATTCATTTCATCAGTTTCAAGGAAAATATGTTGGGAGTTCCTCGCATAGAGAATGTCACAAAGACATGTTTTCAATAGTAGTGCTATCCCTAGGGCAGAGAAGACCCAGAGAAAGCCCAAGTGGCTGCTGGAACACAGTCAGACACCGTGCCACCTGTCCACACTCCTTGGCTCTGCCATCATGCTGAAGATCGCTTTAAAGGACTGGCTTCCCTCCCCCCAAAATGAATAGAGCACAGACTGAGAAACTGAATGTGGGAGACAGCAGTGGATTATGCTGTTCTCAGGGGTCACCTCAGGTTTGGAAGCATTCTTTCAAATTAACCCATCTCAGGCCATCTGCAGAGAAGAAAGGTGGTACCTAACTTTTTTCTTGTCAGCATTTGGTAGGGGTGTTTTATTGACCAAATATGTTCCCACAACCTAGTTTTTTGTGAGTAACTAAATATAGTAGAGTTTTAAATTTTATCATCAAAATCTATAGACAATTTTTGATGAAAATAGACTCCATCTCTATGTCCTGCTTTTCTTCTTCTTATTAATTACATTGCTGTATAAAAGAACAAGACTTCAGAATCAAGAATATCTTGTCTCTTGGCATTGAATTTATACAAGGTGCTCTTTCTTTAATGCTGTCTCAAAGGACATATTTTTACTCATTAAAAAGGAAGATCGGAATCTAGTTGTATGCGCTGCTCCAACATATTAATAATTAAAATTAGGAGGTAAATGTGGTCAAAACTATAGAAAGACTGAGATGTCATTTATATTGATTGCTGTATAGCATTCTACAAACAGAAATTGTTAAATAAGTTTATATAAATATTTTGTAGCATTTCAAATATTTGAGTGCTTGACGTTTCTCCTCTTCTATAGTTCAGATTATCAATTTGAAGACTTACTCCGCTAGTTAAAATGTTTTTAGTCTCGTTCGAGTATTATATAAAAGCAATTTTCAGTTAAATGTGTTCCGCTTACATACAACATTACAAATTATTGAGGATTTAATTACTTATTCATGTTCCTGTAATATCTTTAGAAGATTTTCTTATTATTACCTATCAATATATGTATGCTTTGTCAAAGAAAAATCAAACATATATATCATTGAAATTGAAACTTTTTAAAAGTACTTATTAATTCTATTGAAAAACCACATCCATAGGAACAATTACAATATAATATTGTGAACATGTAAACATATACCCTATGTCTATTTTATGTATAAGCATGTATGATTAAAAATATAGTGAAGAATTTTTAAACCTAGTATTATAAAGTAAAAATTAGTTAACTTCTGATGATTATTTGTTAATTAAGATAAAATTATTTTGATTTGGGTGATTTTAAATAAAGAAAAATATTAAATTACATGACAAAAATTCTTTATAAAATGTTTATGATTTTTACATTGGTTTTATCACTTTTTCCACTATTTTATTTTAAGATGACCTGCCTTGTTTAAAACACTGTATTCATCTTAATTAAATTAGATTCCATTTGTAAAATAATTAACAAATGATTTGCTCTATTTTACAGTGCGGTTATAAACTGAGTCAGTATCTCAAGATTTGATCCCCATTATCATCATCTGTGGCCCTATTTGTTTTATAAATGTATTGTCTTTTTCCATGCCTGTCACATCTCTATTGCTTTTTCATTTTTCTCTTTGTCCCTTATAGGGAGCATTGCCTATCTCTAGATTAAGCAAAGGTTGCATCATAAAAAAGCACAATAACCTGCTCAATCTTTCTCACACAGAGAAATGTTTGTTAAGTAATTAAAGTGTAGATGATGATACAAAGACCTTGATTAAATTAGATAACAAAGTACCCTTGTGATTCAGAATATGAATGGTATTTAATTTCTTTGAAATCATTAATTGCTGAGTGACATTAATTAATGCCAATTTTCCAGAAGATGTTCTAGTTAATGAAATGTATACAACGAAAAGCACAATAACCTGCTCAATCTTTCTCACACAGAGAAATGTTTGTTAAGTAATTAAACTGTAGATGATGATACAAAGAGCTTGATTAAATAAGATGCCAAAGTACCCTTGTGATTCAGAATATGAATGGTATTTAATTTCTTTGAAATCATTAATTGCTGAGTGACATTAATTAATGCCAATATTCCAGAAGATGTTCTAGTGAGTGAAATGTATACAACGTGCAAAAGATTCAGAACTCTGAAGGGCAACATTATTCTATAATTAAGAATTAAGAATTAATTCACATCAGTTATTGGGGAGAAATAATTTTTAAGAATTAATGACTGAGAAAATGTTATTTTTTACTTAGAAAATTATTTTGTGCATGAGCATTACCGCAAGTTTTGCAAGAAACATAAATTTAAAGAAACAATTATGTGCACAAGATGAATTTAATAACATCTTGATATATTCCATGATTGCGGTTTTATTTGGTAAATCTTTAAATGCACACCATTTAATGATAATAAATGAATCTTGGAAATCTTGTAGGTAAGGGTAAATATTAGGATGCATCCAGTTACATTTACACACACATACATGCATACAGACTGATTCACGTGTGTATATATATATATATGAATTTACCAATTGATGTTAACTAATATTTATAAGAGCCAGTTGGATTGATATATATTGTTGAACCTGAAAAATATTTATTATATACATGTTTAAAATACACACAGAAATAAATAGCAATTGCACTAGGTATTTGAAACTGTACTAAAATATAAGCTGTGAACATTTTGTGATCATTACAAATTCTTACACTGAATAAATATGTTTATTTTTACAATATTAATATGTTTGATACCTGTGTACATTTTTTACAATGTGTTATTTTATTTTTGTCATAGAGTCATGTCATGCATAATAACATTTTAGTCAAAGATGGATTACATATACAAAAGTGGTCCCATGAGATTATAATATATATTTTTACATACTTTTCTACGTTTAAGTATGTTTAGATACATAACCTCTTACCACTGTGCTCTTATTGCCTGCAGTATTCAGTAGAGTAATGTAGTACACAGATTTGTAGCCTAGGAGAAAGAGGCTATACCATATAACCTAAACGTGGTAGGCTGTACAATCTAGGTGTTTGTAATATTCTCTGTGATGTTTGCAAAATGATGAAATTGCCTATGAATACATCTGTTAAAACGTATCCCTATCATTCAGTGATGTGTGACTGTACTAAAATGCTCAATGTAAGTTTCAATGCCCTCCATAAAATTGTTGTACTGTGAAATACAAATCTCTCACCCATGGCCTGAATATGTTTGCAAACTAAGCAGATCATGGGAAGGAGAATGTGCTGGCATCGCTGGGATGATTTTCTCACACTACATGAATAATATCTACAGACTTCGTGAATATGAGCCACTTGCATAGAGTTAAAGTAGACGTCTCTTTGCTGGGAAATTTATCAAATGGGAGTATGAAGTGTTTTTACAAGATACTTGTTTGTTTGTAGCTGGTAGGCCTACAGTGGCTCATGGCAATGGTTGAGGTTGCTAAGATTTGGTGGAAGAAGGCAAAATGAGATGGCCACTTATATGGTATATGGATCACTTGTTTCTGTTGAGTTACAAACTCAGCTGGCTATTTCTCCAATGTTAGTTATTTGGAGAAAAAAAAACGTGATGGTAATTTTGGGGTAACAAATACAATATTTGATGAAAGCAAATTTATTGAGGGTTAGACAAACTACAAGATACTTTAGGCTGCAAAGTCAACACGAGACTTCTGGCCCAAATTGTGAAGAGTTTGCGTCCAGCTGCACAGTTCAAAGGAAGAGGCCATGTAAGAAGATTCTCACTTCTGACACCAACTGCCAGTTCAGGGGTTTCCCCTGAACACCCTCAGTTTCAAGAGTTTACTAGAAAGACTCACAGAACTCATTGAATGCCACTGTACTCATGGTTTATAATAGAGAAAGGGTAGAAATTAGGACCAATAGAAGAGACATATCATATAAGGTGGAATCTAGGAGATTTTGAATGTTAAGTTTCCATTGTCTTCAGGACATATTACCTGTCACTGTTGTACAGCAACAAACATGGAGTACTACCAACCTGGGGAGCTCACCTGATGCTAACAAGACACTATTTACAAAATGAAAAGACAAATGAAAGGATGAGATAAGATGACGTTCCACATTAAGGCACTGGAACGATTAGCAAACTAAACCTAAAGCAAGCAGAAGGAAGAAAATTAAAATTAGAGAAATTAATAATTTATAACAATAATATTTGTTAGTGTTGAATAATTGATATTACTTCTTGACTAGCTTTTTTAAAAAAGAGAAATATTCACTTCCCAATTTATTCTGTGGGGCCAGTGTTACTTTGATACAAAAATTAGTCCAAATAGCATAGAAAAATAAAACTACTATAAGTATAAATGCAAACTTCCTTAAAAAATACTAACAAATCAGATCTAGCAACATATAAAAGAATTATACACTATGACAAAGTGAAATTTATACAAGTAATCCCAGGTTGGTTTAACAGCCCAAAATCCATTAAGGTAATACATCTTATCCATAGAATAAGAAACGAGAATTGCATGATCACGTCGATAGATTCGGAAAAGACATTTAACAGAATCCAAATGCTTTAATGACTAAAAATAAAAATAAAAACTCAATGAACCAGGAATAGAGAACTTTCTACACCTGATATATGGCACCTGTGAAAAGCCAACAGCAAGCATGCAACTTAATGGTAAAGGATGCTTTCCCGCTATGGTGAGAGATATATACTTTGATAGGATATATACTTTGACCTCTTCTAGTCAACACTGTACTAAAGATTTTATGCAGGGCAAATCGGCAACTAAAAAAATAAGAGTCACCCATACTGAACAGGAAGAAATAAAACTTTATTTGAAAATAACATTCTTGTATATAGAAAATTTTAAGGAATCCACCGAACGATAGAACTCGTAAATTATTTCAGCAATATTACAGCAAACAAGGTAAATGTACAAAAATCAATTTCACACATCTGCAATGAAAACCCCAAAATGAATTTAAGAAAACACTTCAATTTAAAATAGCATCAAAAAAAGAAATAATAATTAATTTGGAAAATGTGATACAAGATTTTCCTCTGAAAATTAAAAATTATTGTTTAAAGAATATTTAAATAATTAGCAAACACCTTACACCCATGAATTGGACTATTTAATATTGTAGTACTTTACAATTTGAACTACAGATTTGATGAAATCCCTGCAAGTATCCCAACAGACTTCTGTCTAGAAACTGACAAGCTGATTCTAAAATACACATGGAATTGTAAGGGACTCAAAATAGCCAAAATAATCTTAAGAAAAGAAAACATGTTAGGATAATTCACACCCCCATGCTCCAAACCTTACTGCAAAGTATCGGTAATCAAGACAACACAATACTGATGAAGGAAAAATATATAGATTGATGGAAGATAATTGAGAGTCCATATATAAAACTATGTGTCTACAGTCAATGGATTCTTACAGTGGTACCATGTGCAATTCAATGAGGAAGAGACAGTCTTTGAACAAACTGGGTCAACAAAGTACACATGGATCACCACTTGCAAAATAATAAATTCGAACCCTTACCCCAAAGCATACAAAAATATTAACTCAAATGAATTAAAGACACACATGCAAGAGGTAGAATAAAGCATATGGGAAAGTCTTCAGGATTTTGGATCTAGCAAAGAAATAGCTGTAACCCCAAAAACATGAGCAACAAAATAAAAATTAGATATTTAAAATTTCTTAAAAATTAAAGACATTGGTGTTTCAAAGGACAAACAAGCAAGTCAAAAGGCAGCTCAAAAATTGTGAGAAGATATTTGAAAAACACGTATCTATATGTCTGTATATATATATGTATCTTGAATATAGAAAAATTGTTTTAACTCCGTCACAAATATCCCAACTCAAAACTGATAAATGATAGGAATAGATGTGTTTCCCAAGAAGATACACGAACGGTCAATAATCCCATAAAAATATACTCAATAGCATCACTCATCAGGCAACTACAAATCAAAACCACAGTTAGATACTCTATGGGTAGAACTGGCCACCTTGGAAAATAATTTGATGGCTTCTAAATATATGAAACATAGAATTGTCATATGACCCAGAAATTTATTCCTAGGTATACACCCAGATTATTGGAAAGAGGTGTTCAAACACAAATTGTACACAAGTATTTTTAGCAGCAGTATTTAAAATAGCCAAAGGCTGAACACAACTCAAATGTCAATAAAAATATTATTGGATAAACAAAATGTTATATCCAAGAAATTGAATGTTATACAGTTATAAAAAGAAATAAAGTACCAATACGTACATGAACCTTGATAGCATTATGCCAACTGAAAGAAGCCAGGCAGAAAAGGCCACCTATTGTATGATTCTATTTAGATGAAAACAGACTAGGAAAATCTATAGAGACAGAAAACAGATTTGTGGTTGCTTAGGATTGAGTAGGGGATGGGTGCATAGGAGGTTAACAGCTAGGGAAGGTGGGGTTTCTTTTTGAAGTGATGAAAATGCTCTAAAATTCATTGTGATGATGGCTCCACTTATCTGTGCATATACTAAAAGCCACTGACTTGTAGACATTAATGTGTGCACTCTACACTATGTAAATTATATCTCAATAAATCCTTTCAAAAATACACAGAAGAGTAAGGGGTTTTGGAATGCTGCAGCTGGGAGGCAGTTTGAAATACTGAATAGGCCTCATCGAGAATGTGAAGTTTCAGTAAAGACTTGAGGAAGTTGAATGAGCTGATCAATGGATATATGGAGGGCTATCTTTCCAAGCCAAGAAATTAACTAGAGTCTTGACCATAAGGCAGCAGCATGTTGGCATGTCCAGAGGACAGTGAGGTGGCCAGGACCACTGGTAAGATCAAGGGTGAAGATATAAAAGAATTTTGGCAGTTAACATGTGGCAGATGATGATGGGCTTGCAGATCATTGTAAGAAATGTTGTTTTGGCCGGGCGCGGTGGCTCACGCCTGTAATCCCAGCACTTTGGGAGGCCGAGGCGGGTGGATCACGAGGTCAGGAGATCGAGACCATCCTGGCTAACAAGGTGAAACCCCGTCTCTACTAAAAATACAAAAAATTAGCCGGGCGTGGTAGCGGGCGCCTGTAGTCCCAGCTACTCGGGAGGCTGAGGCAGGAGAATGGCGTGAACCCGGGAGGCGGAGCTTGCAGTGAGCCGAGATCGCGCCACTGCACTCCAGCCTGGGCGACAGAGCGAGACTCCGTCTCAAAAAAAAAAAAAAAAAGAAAAAGAAATGTTGTTTTTAGTGTACATGAAATGGGGAGACAAATCATTATCCCATTATCAATATTTTAATAAATTGGATCCATGAACCAAATCCAATGAGATTAAATCAATTAATAATAATATGCAAATTTGTATTAAAATTAAAAGAATTACTTGCACATTTGAGAACAGGAGAGACATGATTTTTATCAGCAATAATAAACATTATTAATTTTAATTGTGATCAGCTAATTGAGATTAATTGCAATACATCATGCTTTATAATGTGACTGCCAAAAGGAAAATATGATTGTAATCTTATACTACATCTATCAATGTCTTTTATACATAAGAGTATAGAGTAAGCCCGTAGTTTTCAAAGCCAACCTATGAAGCAGTGACATCTTATGCAAGTTTGCTGCTTTCTGCCACAGTGATCCTTGGTCAGCGGGCACAAATTGTTTTACAAACGCCCCCTAGGTCTAAAAGTAGTTTGGATCACAATGAACACAGAAACACCTTCATCCCTTCAGAAATACCTATCAATTACTTCCAATACAGAATGAAAAATTGACAAAGGAAATATGTGGATTGTAAAAATGCCAGTTAGCTTGCAACTACATGAAAGAAAAATGCCATTTTTATTACATTAGGTCATTGTTTCACATGAGTTTTGGTATAGCAAAATGTTGAACCAAGGGAAAAGAGACATGAATTAATGAAGTCTTAAGATATCAAGAATTTGAAAGAAAAGGCAGGTCATCTTTGAAGGTTAGTGACATAGCATTCATCTTCTGTTGTCACCTTTCCTGTCATTCCCTGTATGCCTGATGGACAGGTTTCACTCAAGTTCAGAGAACAGCATGCAAAATTAGCTATCAATTAATCTTTAGGAAGTGAGCTGCATTTCTAGCCAGACTGAGCTTACGTTTTAGCAGGAAGCATTTTTGGGAAATGTTTATGTTAGAGTTGGCCCTTCTTGACAAGGTGAGACATAAATGTCTACTTTATAGACATGAATTAAGATGGGAAGATATTTGGGGGAATCATTTACTCAAACGCTAAATAATAAAGGTACACAAAGGGCAAATTATACTAGATTTCTTTCCCACTTGTTTTCTATGTCTCATGCAATTCACCTTGATTCCCTTCAGTTTCTGTTTAATGTAGAAAGTGGCATTTTCATTATTTTAAGCTTCTAGCACAATGAAAGAATTTCTCTTTTTCATGAACAGGATCATACATGAAAAGGAGGAAGAGTGTCCTATATCATATTTATTGTTCAACAAAACACTGCTCCACGGCTTAAATTCAGTTTAAGAAAGAGAATTTGTTGAACATCTAACACATACATAAAAGGCAGTAAAGACACATGAGAAGAGGGCAGGATATTGAAGTATACAGACTTCAATGCTGAGTTTTATATCTTAGGGAGTTACTCCACCTTACAGAGGCTCAATTTCCCCTGATTTAGGAAGGCGATGCTAATGGGTATTGCATAGGTGTAAGTATAAAAATGTTGTATTGAAGAGAATCCCACAAGCTTGGTATAAGGCCGAAAATAAATTGATGTGACATGAATAAGTAGTTTATTACATTTGTATGCTACCTGCAGACTAGAGGAAGCAAGAAACACAGCCACTATGCTTGATTAGCATTATAGGGATGGTACAATGATTGTTGCCAGAAGCTGGAGGGAGGAAGAAATGGGGAAGTATTGTTTAATGGGTATAGAGTTTCAGTTTTACAAGATGAAACGAATTATGGAGATGGATGGTAGGGACGGCTGCACAATGTTATGACTATATTTAGTACCACTGAACTGTACACTTAAAATGGTTAACCGAGTACATTTTATGTTATGTGTATTTTACCACAATAAAAAAATAAAATACCTTAGGAACATTTTCATGAAAAAGCCCACATAAAATTCATTTTAATGCACGTGTTTATGCATAGCTTTCTATTTTTCTCTTTTCCCTTTACATTCCTAATTCTAATCAGAGAAGGGAATCCCCTCTGTACCTCCAGGATATTCAGTAAAGACCACTGGAGGTTCATGCCCTAGTGACAGTGCTCATTTAGCTCCAAATTACAGATGGCTCTAGACTAACTCAACAAAGCTTAAAGAGAAGATTTAAAACAACAACAGACAAATACTCATCCTGAAGTTACTGAACTGCCTGCCACAACATTGTTCAAAGGTAGCCAATCAAATCTAGATATTCAATAGCATAACATCAAAATACCCAAAAAAAACTCTGAAATGCAAAGAAGCCGTAAGATATATATAATTAAGATATATATTAACAGGATAAAAATAAGTCATTTATAAATGACAAAAAAGAAGGAAATTTCAAGGTTCTTAAAGTAAATATATTTTATAAATACATATAGATAAATACATATATATGTCAAGGTACTTAAATGAAAATTAAACATAGGAGAAAAATAGAAGTTATAAAATGAAAAAGTGACATATATAGATGAAAAATAAATATTTGAAATAAAAATTCCATGACATAGAATAAGTAATGGATTTTACCCTAACATCAGAAAATTTATAGAACAAATTAGAAGCATTACAAACTAAAGGACAAATGGTAAACTAAAATAAGAAAACCAGAAACTCACTGATACGTCAGACAATATGCATCAGTGTAACATACATGTAATCAACATCTCAAAAAGGATGGGTGGGGTAATTATAGGTGAATAAAGAATGGTACACTCATTCCTGAGGGCACCGAGGAGGGAGGATAGCTTTAGATTTCTAAGGGAGGGTATTATCCATTCATGAAGGTCCAACCCCATGACCAAACACCTCCCAGTGAGCCCCACCTGCAACATTGGGGATCAAATTTTAACATGAGTTTGGAAGGGGCAAGCATTCAAACCATAGCAAGAGTTAAATTTCCTTTTTAAGAAAATCACTGATATGATTCCACTTCGCCATAGATAAAAACTAGTATTTCAGCCTACCGTTGAGTGTGCTTATAGCTCACCAAAAGGGCACTCTGTCTCGGGAATACAGATTTGCCTACAGGTATCCTATTGCAGTCAAAGAAAGAGCAATGAGGGATAGAAAAGGTTAGTGATGGAGACACCAGCGCTGCATTTTGCAACAAACAATGTAAAAACTTTACGGATTGGTTCTGCTAACTTACTACAGTTTACATGCCTCTCAGGTGGGAGAATTGTTGCGTTTTTTCTTAAGATAGAAAAGCAATTCAGATAATCTGAAATCTCCACAAGAAGGATAAGAAGCACAGCAGAAACTATTCTAGGCAGGAAGTCAATCCTTTCAACTGTCTGTGCTCCATAGAAACAATTGTCTGCACTGGGAGTCATATGAGGTACAGACAACAGCCAGACTTCTGATCCTCTCATTAGTGATTTCAGAAGAAATTACCAGTCAACTGAGTAACTCACTGAGTATAGTAAACATTTGGCACTGAAAGAGGTTAGACGGATAACTATTTGTATCACCATATTCATGAAGCTGGAATATTTTCCATTACTGGTATCACATCCGAATGGAAGATGTTAAAAGGTCTCTCATCATGTAAGATAGATATGAAAGAACATTTTCTGAGAAATGAAATTATTAACACACCTGTGAGGTGCATGGAAGAGAAAAAAAGAATAATCACCTTGAGTTCTTCTCCTTGATAAGAGAACTCACTAAAAACATAAAGAGAAAAATACAAGTTTAAAATAATTAACCAGAAGAAGACGACTCTAGAGATTTTAAATTGCTGATAAGATTTTAATTTGCTCCAAGTTGAAAATAATTATATTGCTTGTGTTTTAAGGCACATAATGAGCAATTATATCACACATGATAGTTTCAGCAGTAAAATATGATCCGTTAACAGCTGGAACTCATAAAAGCATAGCACAATGTGAAGATGGAATTTGCTAAAAGAAACCATCTGCTGAAAACTGCTATCCTGCAAATTTAAAAATAAAGTTTAAATGTTATTTGTCTTATTTAATAGGTCTGTGAAAAAAAATGCGCTATTTGAAAAGTAGCTGCTACCTTAATTAATTCTTTATATTAGACGGCTGGTTACAGTAATGCACAGTAAGGTGCTACATAGATATATTGCTAAATTTTCTGCATATACTATGTATTTGGCTTAAATTATTTGAAATTTTATAGTTAAAATAACAAATGTATATTTAAATGTTGTGACACAAATTGCAAATATACCTTTAAAAAGCGTCTTACACTCTAAATATTATTTGTCACCTATATATTTGTCTTTCCTCTATAGGAAAGTTTAAATTCTTCCCTTGAAGCTTTAATTATTGGAGTCTATAAAACAAACTGATAATGTACAAATTAACAGGAAAAAAAGGTTTACAGATATGTGCACAAGTATGCACTTGGAGTTTACATAATATATATAAATATATCTATACAAATATTTGTATATTATAAAGAGATATACAAATATATACTCTTTATATAAAAACTCCAGGAAAGGCAAGGTAGTCAACACGCCTATGCTGTCTTGAGGTTACAGAAAACACAGAGCTGTAGGTTGGTAAATCAGGCTTTGCGGAAGACAGGTGACGACAAGGAAGAAAGAGGAGCCTGGCAGCAGAGGTGGTCTTGTTACATGGATGAAACCTCACAGGGAGCAGCCCTCCTCTTGGGAAGTATAGATAGGAAATGGTTTTTAGAAATGTAAACGTGCCAGGCTCAGTTAATCATTCCAAAACCCAGACAAGGGAGTATCTCAGGGAAAGCCTGTATATATCAATGCAGATTTTCTCTACAAATGCAAATCTCCCCAACAAACACAGCTTTTCAGCTATTCTTGTAGAAGAAGCTATCTCCAGTCTTCCAAGTAGCCATCTTGAAATATGTCAAAAAGCTGGCCAGGCGCACGCCTGTAATCCCAGCACTTTGGGAGGCTGAAGTGGGTAGATCGCCAGAAGTCAGGAGTTGGAGACCAGCCTGACCTACATGGTGAAACCCCGTCTCTACTAAATACAAAAAATTAGCCGAGTGTGGTGGTGCATGCCTGTAATCTCAGCTACTTGGGAGGCTGAGCTAGGAGAATTACTTGACCCTGGGAGGCTGAGGTTGCAGTGAGCCAAGATTATGCCATTGCACTCTAGCCTGGGCAATAAAAACAAAACTCCATCTCAAAAAAATAATGTATTTTAGGGTAATATTTTGAGTATCTTTACCTCCATATGTACAATAAAAATTATTGCGATTTTTAATCTTTTCTGTGGAGAAAACACAGTTGTGATTTCTAGTGTAGCTGAACATCGTTTATTTGACAATATTGCACTTCTGTGTGGGTGTGTGCATGTGTAGCTACTTTTTAATTTGGTTCTCACAAAATGATTAGATACTAACAATTAATTCAGTAAAATGTATGTTTTGCAACATTTCTCCATGTTATTATGCTTTAAATTAGTTTAATCATGCCCCTATAATGTGTACATTTTAACCTTTGACTACAGGTCTCAATCCTACTTTGGTTCCTGTATTTGAATTTATGCTAATAAAGTCCTACAGCTAAAAAAAGATTACATAAACTTTTTAATATAATTTTTACTAGTATTCTGGTGTCATTTTAAATTACGTAATGAAATCACATTTTAATTTGGATTATTGTTATCTGAGTTAAAGATCTAAATTTTTAATTTTCTTATAAATATTACATAATTATTTCTGAACCATATATTGACTAATCTGCCCTTTATAGGATGTGCATTATAAGAGCTTGGGATTGTTTCATTTGCAAAGATGAATGCTTGAGAAGTAGATATTTAATCATAACATTTCAAAATCTACTGGATAACCTAGAATTGAAAAATAGCCTATAGGTTGAAAAACTCCTGTAGTGAAGAAAGAAAATAACTAATATACAGTGACAATATAAATATTATAAGTATTTATTTTATTATCACCATGAAATTTGATAATACAAACATGTAATATCTACATATCATCCATATATCAGGTCATAAAAAATCAATACATTCTTCAAAAATTTAGAATAACAGAAAATGCACTCTCTCTCCTTGATGGAATTAAGTTACAAATAAAAGTAAAAATAAGTAGATAAGTAGATGGAAGTAGATGTTTAAAAACAAAGAAAAATATTTGTTTTGGATAACATAAAATCTCAATTGACAATTCCAATATTTCCAGAACTTTGCCTGTCAACTGGTAGAGAGTTTTCCCCAGGAGACATTTGTCAATGTCTAGGGTTATTGTGGGGATGTCAAGACTGGTGGAGGTGTGAAATTTAGAGGTCAAACGAAACACCTAACATTGCTAGGGCAGCCTCCCACAACAAAGAATCCTCTGGTCCTAAAGGTAAGTAGCACCAAGATTGAGAAACCATAATCTAGACAGGAAACACTACGTAGCTATTCCAAGTGCTCAGGAAAACACATCAGTGCCCTCGAGGGGAAAAGTGTAAACATTTTAATTGCTGTACATGGTGACACAAATCCATGTTGTTAATCTAAGTGGAAGGGGCTGAAGCACAAAACATAATTCAAAGAGTTTACTTGAGCCACAATGAGGACAGCTGCCTGGAAGAAACAGACCCAAGTATCCTTGGATATGAACTCCCTTTGGAGCTTTGCAACAAGCAGTTTCTTAAAGGCAAAAAAGGGTCCAGAAGTGGGATGATGCAAAGAGGTTTGTCACAAATTCTCATTGGCTTATGGAAATAACATTTATTAGTGACTGGCTATACACTGTTACACTATTTTGGGGTGTGGATTATAGTGTCTGGTGTGGCGTTATTGGTTAATTTATAGCTACTGTGGCAACAGCAAGCAGCCTAGATGAACACACAGCTCAAAGAGGAGCAGGACAGAACTGCTGTCTCATTTGAATAACTCTCTGGGCCTGATTATATAAAAGGACTTGCATTTCTCACATGAAAGTTATTTTCTTTTCTCAATGTCCATAAATGAGAATAAATAGACGTAAGATACATCTTTTCGAGGATGAGGTAAATGGAATGAAAAACAAAACCCAAGCTGACCAGAAATCATTGAGGGAAGAAAAGGATATAAATACATGGATTTTTTCAATGTGATTTTAAGCTATTAGGAATCAGTTAAATGTTGGGGGAATTTGTCTGAGAATGGGCTAAAGAGAATGTCGCTTTTGCCTTCTGAAGTTTCCCTGAAAATCACGAATAGGAGGCAGATAAATAGTAGAAAAGGCATACAGGTTTCTGCAATGTGTGTACACTGGAACCCTTAGAACGAAGACCCAGTCACACGATGCGAGCAGAAGCTTATCTACCACATGAAGTTTACAGAAAAATGGGGTCTTGGATCACAGGGAAAAGAAAGAAAAAGGTTATGTGAGAAAACGACCCTGGCTAGCAACAGTGGACTTATTACATTGGTGGAACCTCACTGGGAGTAGTCCTCAGAGAGAATAGACAGAAAATGTTTCTTTCAGACCTTTAGAGACCTCAGCCTCTCAGTTAACCTTTCCTAGATCCAGACAAGGGGGCAGACCTCAGAGAAAACCTGGCTGCATCATGGCAGATTCTCTACCGATGCAAATCTCCCCAAGACAGCTTTGCAGCTAACATTGCATTTGCAGCCCTTCTCAATAGCCATTTTGAAATATATCAAGGAAATATATTTAGGGGTAAAATATATTAGTTTCCTTCATACAGCTGTAAAACATACAGGAATAATTTTTGTCAATGTCTACTACAAATCCAATATAGCAGTAACTATGAAACCCACCAGATACTGATGAAAAAATATGTAGAGTACCTCAATTACAAATGTTGATACTAAAATGCCAAATAAAATACAAATAATATCCAACAATATTTGAAACAGTAAGACAAGAAATTGGCAAAAAAAAAAAAACCAAATATCCACATTTGGGATGAAAGTGTGTTTCCAAATTTGGTAATCCAGTAATATTAATAATCATATTGATTAGCCCAAACTAAAAATAAATAGGCGATTCTCAGTACATGGTAAAATATATTTGTTAAAAGGCAATATTCATGTCTTTAAAGATTTTAAATGCTACAAAGAGTCTGATATTCTATATGCAAACGTGTATGTCCATTAGAAGAAGAGAGGCCTGATTTTCATATGTTACTACATAGAGATAGAGAAGTGGATAGATTAATTTGCATATGCATAGAGAAAGCATAAAATAGAATTTACTATCATATTAAAGGAATTTTAATTCAACAATAAAATAATTCAAAGGTAAAATTTTAAATATTTTTAACAGGTACATTATTAGTATTAGATAATATTTATAATAATTGTGAAAATATTCAGCGCTAAAATAAGATACAATGTCTAAACATCAGTATTAAAACTAGTATAAATATTTGCTTGTTTATACAAGGAAAATTCAAGCTCAACCTCAAATTATAAGGGAAATAAAAGAAAAATATTAAGGGAGCTCTTTAATGACATAAACATATATATATAAACACACACATATTACATGTATATATGTTATATGGGATAGATATAGATTTAACAGGTTATATCTATATTTGTATCTGTAACTACAGCTGTATGTATCCACATTTCTATATATTTACTCAGTGATATAAATGTAGACTGGAATAAATATAAAGACACATATGATTCTTGAATAAAAAGGATTTAGTATCATAAAGACAAATTCTTTCCAAATTCACTTATGAATTCACAACAATATACAGTTTCATTAGTATAATTTAATATTTCTAAATAAATTCCAAGATTCATTTAAAGGAATATACATGTATACAAGCAGTCGAGAAAGAAGCAAGAGGGCACTAAACTAACTTGCTATTAAAATACATTTTTAAACTTAGTCACTAAAACTGAGCAGTACTGATTTGGAGTACTGGAATTTAGGTGTATGGGATCTCAAAAGCACAGAGCTCAAAGGAGGCCCCTGTATGCACGAGAGCTTAGGATGTGCTTTAGAAGGCATTACCAAACCTCGGGCAAAGTTACTTTAGTGTCTTAGTCTTACTAGGTTTGAAAAGCCAGAGAAAAGACTCAAGACCACCATATAAGAGCAAAACAAAAGGACAGGGAGAGAATGTGAAGATACTGAAACATTTTACATAAAGTTGTATAAAACATCCTTTAAAGAAAATATAAACTTTAGGATATACATCAAAATCAGCAGAGCCACTATATAAATAAATAGGCATTGTAAAATAACAAGAGAAAATTTAAATGGATTTCTAAAAAATATTGACACCTATGATTTTTAAAATATGTTTAAGAAATCCCGTATTTCACAGGGCAGCCTTTCACAACACAGATATGTTAGGACATAAAGGTCCTTCTGTTTTTAATTTACTAGTGTTTATAGGGTTACAAATGTCTTCTACACTTGTCTTTTGTCTGATGGTGCAAAAAATTTTCATAAGCATGTATTTCTGAATGCCTGATGGATTGACATATATAATAAGCTGCTAGTATTAAAATATGAGACGGAAAACGCATCCAATCTTCTCACTGTTTACGTAAATTCTAGGTTTCTCCTCTTTACCTCAAGCACATATGGATCGAATTCTTACCTTTTAATATTGCCATGGCATTCACATTGAACATAAGTTGAACTCTCTCATATGGTAGCTGGGTTCGGATTCTCTTGACAATTTCCAGTTCTAACCTTCACAGTTCCTCAGTGTGGTTGGCCCAGATATTGACCCTACACAGTTGTCTCCTCGTGGTGACTACCAGCTATGGAATCGTTGGATACAACCTACCTGACTCACCCCACAGACTTCACAGCACACATGGACAGCACCCACATGCCACAGTAACCAGCTCGGTTGCAGCGGGAGTCAAGAAATGTGCCTGCTGGCACTCACCCCACTGACTAGTACCCCGTGGAAAACTTATTTGGGTAATGTTCTGGGCCAAATAATGGCTGGAGTCCCACAGACCCCTTTTCTGTCTCCTGCTCCCCACTCATCTTCCCCATTTTGTTCAGCCCTATGAGGTGTGCTACTGTATCAGTCCATTTTCACACTGCCGGTAAAGACATGCCCAAGACTGGGTAATTTCCAGAAGAAAGAGGTTTAATAGACGCACGATTCCACATGGCTGGGTAGGCCTCACAATCATGCCGCAAGCTGAAAGGCACATCTCACATGGCAGCAGACAAGACAAGAGAGATTGTGCAGGGAAACTCCCCTTTATAAAACCATCAGATCTTGTGAGACTTATTCACTATCAGAAGAACAGCATGGGAAAGACCTGCCCCCGTGATTCAATTACCTCCCACCTGTTCCCTCCCACAACATGTGGGAAATCAAGATGAGATTTGGCTGGGGACACAGCTAAACCCTCTTCTCAGCTACCCTCTTCTCTCTGGATCTGTGAGTAATAAACCTACTTCTGTGATTTCCCATGTTTGGTTCTGTGGCCTCCATGTGTCTGAGCTGACCTACACTGGAACCTAACTCTCTTCCTGGCCAGGGTCTCTGAGAGTGGCTCTTGTCAGAAATACACAGGACACAAGTCAGGCAACAGTCACTAGGCATCTCCTAGTCTCAACAGATGTTCTGTGAGAGGGAGGCCTGGCCGTGGGATGCACACCTGGCCACTGCTGGGGTAAGGAAGTGTCCTGTGAAAGGCACATGTTAAGCATCCACAACCCCCTGACCAGAACCCCAGAAAGGCAGGGCTGCAATTGTCAGTCACTCTCCAGAGACAAACCTCAAGCCCTAACTGGAGGAAAAGAAAACAATGTAAAAAGTTCAATTTATCTTACTATTTTAATGATCCAGTAAAGACATTCTATGCCTGTACACCACATATTTTCTTCGATTGTGGATTTATTTTAGATAGAATTTTAGGTCTGGCTTTCACTTTAGCCTGGTCCCTACCTCAAGCATAAGGTAAAGATTTTCCATGCGTTCTTTTCTCGTACTACTACCTGCCAGTGTGGGGTCATGTCCTAGTCTATCTTGAGGGAATCCCCCTGTTCATTATTGTCAGAGTGAGACTGTTAAGTCTTGATTTCCCTGGACAACTTCACTGCATGACTTTTAATATGATTTTTTAATATACCCTTTACTGGACAATAAATTCTATAGTTATCTGAGTAAGAGATATGGTCAGGAAGAGGCATTGCCTCATTCAGCTATTCTCTTTGGTGAACTCGCATATGTTCTCCTCACCCGCCAGTCACCTCTAAACCGTATTGTTCCAAGACAACAAACAGAACTCGAGTGTGTATCTTTCACCACTGGATTTGTGTTTGCTCCATAAAGCTTCATGCTTAACAGAGTTTCCGTTAGCATTTTCTCTATTTATTTTCCCATAAAATATCACAGGCCTTCTTCATATGGAATTATGGGTGATTTCCTTCAATCTGCATCATATCAAGTTGAGGTTCATGTTGATGAAAAGTAAAACATACATTGAAAATATCAGTAAGGATGTTTTCCCCTCCTTTTTAGCACCTGTGCTTGTGATACAAGCACATTTTAATACAACTGTACTCTCATGCTTTGATCATTCCTATGATGAAAATAACATTTTTAGATAAAATATCTGAGTTTTATGAGGCCTTTAGTATGTGATGTGATAGAATATCAGAAGACCATACTTTTTTCTAGTTGTCCGTGCAATTCTATCATTGTTTCATCTTTACTCCTACCAGAGTAATTTTCCAAAATACATATCTTGTCATTCTTCCTGTTGTTATCAGTAAAAAAGTGAAATGAAAAGCTAGATTATATAATTTATCTACAACAAGAAAGTAGAATTGAATCTATATTCATTAATGAGTCTAACCAGTCAATTACACAGACAGGCATTTTACATTTTGAAGATCATATGGACCCACTGTCAGAAATATTATTTTTTATGTCTATATGGACATCACCTGTGCATATTTACATAGAAATCAATGAGAGTTGATTTTTATTATTATATATATTTTTTGAGATGGGGTCTTCCTTTGTTGCCTAGGCTGGAGTGCAGTGGTGCAATCGCTACACAAATCAATAAATGTAATCCAGCATATAAACAGAGCCAAAGACAAAAACCACATGATTATCTCAATAGATGCAGAAAAGGCCTTTGACAAAATTCAACAACCCTTCATGCTAAAAACTCTCAATAAATTAGGTATTGATGGGAGGTATTTCAAAATAATAAGAGCTATCTATGACAAACCCACAGCCAATATCACACTGAATGGGCAAAAACTGGAAGCATTCCCTTTGAAAACTGGCACAAGACAGGGATGCCCTCTCTCACCACTCCTATTCAACAAAGTGTTGGAAGTTCTGGCCAGGGCAATTAGGCAGGAGAAGGAAATAAAGGGTATTCAATTAGGAAAAGAGGAAGTCAAATTGTCCCTGTTTGCAGATGACATGATTGTATATCTAGAAAACCCCATTGTCTCAGCCCAAAATCTCCTTAAGCTGGTAAGCAACTTCAGCAAAGTCTCAGGATACAAAATCAATGTACAAAAATCACAAGCATTCTTATACACCAACAACAGACAAACAGAGAGCCAAATCATGAGTGAACTCCCACTCACAATCACTTCTAAGAGAATAAAATACCTAGGAATCCAACTTACAAGGGATGTGAAGGACCTCTTCAAGGAGAACTACAAACCACTGCTCAAGGAAATAAAAGAGGATACAAACAAATGGAAGAACATTCCCTGCTCATAGGTAGGAAGAATCAGTATCGTGAAAATGGCCATACTGCCCAAGGTAATTTACAGATTCAATGCCATCCCCATCAAGCTACCAATGCCTTTCTTCACAGAATTGGAAAAAACTACTTTAAAGTTCATATGGAACCAAAAAAAGAGCCCGCATCACCAAGTCAATCCTAAGCCAAAAGAACAAAGCTGGAGGCATCACACTACCTGACTTCAAACTATACTACAAGGCTACAGTAACCAAAACAGCATGGCACTGGTACCAAAACAGAGATATAGATCAATGGAACAGAACAGAGCCCTCAGAAATAACGCTGCATATCTACAACTATCTGATCTTTGACAAACCTGAGAAAAACAAGCAATGGGGAAAGGATTCCCTATTTAATAGATGGTGGTGGGAAAATTGGCTAGCCATATGTAGAAAGCTGAAACTGGATCCCTTCCTTACACCTTATACAGAAATCAATTCAAGATGGATTAAAGACTTAAATGTTAGACCTAAAACCATAAAAACCCTAGAAGAAAACCTAGGCATTACCATTCAGGACATAGGCATGGGCAAGGACTTCATGTCTAAAACACCAAAAGCAATGGCAACAAAAGCCAAAATTGACAAATGGGATCTAATTAAACTAAAGAGCTTCTGCACAGCAAAAGAAACTACCATCAGAGTGAACAGGCAACCTACAAAATGGGAGAAAATTTTCACAACCTACTCATCTGACAAAGGGCTAATATCCAGAATCTACAATGAACTCAAACAAATGTACAAGAAAAAAACAAACAACCCCATCAAAAAGTGGGCGAAGGACATGAACAGACACTTCTCAAAAGAAGACATTTATGCAGCCAAAACACACATGAAAAAATGCTCACCATCACTGGCCATCACAGAAATGCAAATCAAAACCACAATGAGATACCATCTCACACCAGTTAGAATGGCAATCATTAAAAAGTCAGGAAACAACAGGTGCTGGAGAGGATGTGGAGAAATAGCAACACTTTTACACTGTTGGTGGGACTGTAAACTAGTTCAACCATTGTGGAAGTCAGTGTGGCGATTCCTCAGGGATCTAGAACTAGAAATACCATTTGACCCAGCCATCCCATTACTGGGTATATACCCAAAGGACTATAAATCATGCTGCTATAAAGACACATGCACACGTATGTTTATTGCGGCATTATTCACAATAGCAAAGACTTGGAACCAACCCAAATGTCCAACAATGATAGACTGGATTAAGAAAATGTGGCACATATACACCATGGAATACTATGCAGCCATAAAAAACGATGAGTTCATGTCCTTTGTAGGGACATGGATGAAATTGGAAATCATCATTCTCAGTAAACTATCGCAAGAACAAAAAACCAAACGCCGCATATTCTCACTCATAGGTGGGAATTGAACAATGAGATCACATGGACACAGGAAGGGGTACATCACACTCTGGGGACTGTTGTGGGGTGGGGGGAGTGGGGAGGGATAGCACTGGGAGATATACCTAATGCTAGATGACAAGTTAGTGGGTGCAGCGCACCAGCATGGCACATGTATACATATGTAACTAACCTGCACAATGTGCACATTTACCCTAAAACTTAAAGTATAATAATAAAAGAAAAAAAAAACTTAAAAAAAAGTTTTTTTAAAACTTGAGTTGTTCAATAAAAAGTAAACTTCATAAATTCACATTTTAAAATAATTAGAACTACCTCATAGACGCACGGTACCTTCTAGGTTGCTAAAGCCCTCTTCATGTCTCTGAGGCTGAAAAACACAGGAACCACTGCTTTAGGTGCCCTGTGAGACAGGCCCTGCTCACCACAGAAGCGCAAGCTCACACAGCTTCCTAGAAGGCAAACTTGAAGTACCAGAATCAAGTTCTTTCAAGTGCTAATGTTGGTGCTGGGTCCTAGTGTAAAGCCAATTTCCCTTATCATACAGTAACTGAGCACAAGTTCACCTACTGGTTTCAGCTGATTCAATGGGCAAATGTGACACGTCCGCATGTCAGAGAACTGCACGGTGATTTTGCCCTTCGGGGTGATGCCAGTCACGGTGCCTTCTCCAAACTCATCGTGCACAATTTGGCCGCCCAGGCACAGGCGACCATCGATGCCTCCAATCACAGCCAGGACCGCCATGAGGCCCCCCACTTCAGGGTTCTCGGAGTTGGGGAAGTAGTCCTCTAACTGGGCCTAGTGCAGACCAAACAGTGAGCTCGACCAGGGACACTCACGGAGCTGCCCAATCCCTACAAGTTTACTGTTCAACTAAATTAATTCTGAGAACACAAACTCACCCCTTCAGAAGGCCTTCCCGCAAAGCTGTGGGTGATGGAGCGGAGCTGGGAGTTGATGTACTTGTTGATGAGCCCATTCCACTGAGTCAGGGAGTGCAGCGTGCACAGCAGTGCCACCACCACCTCCACCAGTGTGCTGCTATGGGTGGCAGTCAGCAAGGCCTGCGGGCACACCCTGCGCCACCTCGGCATGGACTCTGAGGAGGAAACAAGGGGAGAAGCTGCTGCACTGCTCTTCACCAGGACACAGGGAAGGGAGATGGCCACCGACCTCTGAGTGATGGCACTGTGCCACAATTCACCAGGGCACAGGGAAGGGAGACAGCCACCCACCTCTGAGTGATGGCACTGTGCCGCTCTTCACCAGGGCATGGGGAAGGGAGACGGCCACCCACCTCTGAGTAATGGCACGTCAGAGGAGCAGGTAGTGAGCAAGCTCCCCAAGAAGTCAAACAGCTTCTCCACCAGGCATTTCATGTCCCTCGCCCTTTTGGTCTTGTCCCATGACCGAAGGACTGCTTGCAACAAATGCACAGCTAAGATCTGATAAAAGAAAACTTAAAATGACAAGCATTAAAAATCTGATTAAGAAACTACAGATTGTTACTTTCTCTTTTCTTTCTTTTTTTTTTTTTTTTTTTTTTGAGACAGAGTCTCGCACTGTCACCCGGGCTGGAGTGCAGTGGCACGGTCTCGGCTCACTACAACCTCCACCTCCCAGGTTCAAGCGATTCTCCTTGCCTTAGCTTCCTGAGTAGCTGGGATTACAGGCACCCACCACCAAGCCCGGCTCATTTTTCTTGGATTTTTAGTAGAGACAGGATTTCACTATGTTGGCCAGGCTGGTCTCAAACTCCTGACCTCATGATCCACCTGCCTCGGCCTCCCAAAGTGCTGGGATTACAGGCATGAGCCACTGTGCCCAGCCTCTCTTTATTTTCTGTTCTCATAATGCAAATAATCATGTGAAAATTTTGAGATTCGTTATTTTACAGCCAGGTAATTACACTCAAGTTGATTAGTGATTAGGATTGTCAGGGACTTTAGAAAAAAGCAACATTACAGATGCATGTGTTTAATTAAAAAAGAATTATTTTTAGTTTAATTCTTAAGACAATTATGCTACAAATTCTGTGAAGCAGATGAGCAAGTAGTTGCAGGATTTACCACTTAAAAGCAGGTAAACTAAAGGTTAGCAACTTACCAATTATCAAGGACCACTGCCCCTTGCCTCCAGAAAATCTACCCTGTTACTTCTAGACCCTTTCTGCACTCCTTACTGAATAAAGGCCCGACTCTAAGGGCAGGGAACTTCAGTACATGGATGCCTCTCTCAGGGAACTGGTTTTGCCTGGCAGCACGTTACCTGCCTCTGCAGCGAGGCGGCAGGGAAGGGTGCGTGCCCTTTCATGACCTTCATGAGCAGCGTGATCCACTGCGGGGAGCTGAGGGCGCCGCACACCTGCGGCGTGAGAGCGATGCTCCGCACAAACCCCAGCATGCACCAGCTCCGGTGTTGCTCCCTGTACACCAGCCTGTTTGGAGAAGCTGCGGGAGGGAAAATAGACATGCTTGGTAACAAGTCCCTAAAGACAAATCCCTAAAGATAAATCCTTATTTTTTTATCAACTTATTTTATTTTCTACAATAAGCTCCTTTAAAATATATTGCAGTTTGTAAATTAATTCAAACTAATTCAAAGTGAGAAGTGCAAGAAGGCTTTTAAGGTAGTTCAAGAAACATTTCCGCATTTTTCTTTTTTTTTTTTTTTTGTTTTTTTTTTTTTTAAGAGATGGGCCCTGCCCTCACTACGTTGCCCAGGCTGGTCTAAAACTCCTTCAAGTGATTCTCCTGCCTTGCCCTGCTGAATAGCTGAGACTACAGGTATTTTTAAAACCTTCTAAGTATGTGTAGTAAAAGTAGTTAGGGAATTTTAGCTATGTATTGTTTCTAGGCAATAAGAAAATGATCTATAATTCAAATAGCAGTAATTTGCAACAGTGTATCTACTGTATTTTTAATTTTGTGTTTTAAATATCTCCACAATCTTGCTTATATTTAATCTGCACCACTTAAATACTTTTTTTGCATTTTTAGTAGAGACAGTTTCCAATCCAAGTTTAATACATCTGCATTAACAAAATGAGTTTTTCACTAGGTTTACACCATTGGATTCTGGCACCAGTGGGCCCACCTCTGCTCCGCCTGGCTCCAGGACTCCATTACTCCCTGAATGGAGGCTGAGGCTTGGAGGCTGGGCCCCCCTAAGGGACCCCGCCCACAGCCCCACAGGACCTGCTCTCGCCTCCCACCTCCCACCCGCCCACCTCCCCCGCCCTCAGCTATCCAAGCTTTTGAGGACACCTGCCTTCTTTCAGCATACTCACATGCGCTCACACACACACACTCTCACACCCTCACATGCATCCTCACACCCACACCCATACTAAGTTATTCAGACACACTCATGGGCACTCACACACCCACCCTCACACAGGTGCACTCACACCACTGTCGCAATCACTAACACACACACAATCCCAGTCACACGTATGCACACACAACCTAAGATGCAATCTGACACACACTCCTATGCACTCTCACATACACTTACCCCTCCCACTGCATACAAAAACTCACATATGCACTCACACTCAACACTAGTCACAACCGATTCCTCACCCACTCACACCTTTACCCACTTTCTCACTTTACACTCACACCTACACCCACTTTCTCACTTTACACTCACACCTACACTGTTACCTCCCACTGACACAAGCAAAATGCTCACATTCGCTCACACGCCTTCACAATAACGTCACTCGTGCTCACACTGATTCAAGGCACTCATACACATTTACACAAATGCTCACAATCGCACACTTACACTTGTGCTGCCACCCATACTTCCTCACACTCATCAAGCCTCACTGACTTACACTTCATCTCATTGGCACACCCAGTAATCCCCTCACACTCACACTCATGCCTCCCTCGTGCTCACCCTCACACACACACTGGCTCAATGCACTGACGCTTTCACTCCCACTTCACCTGACTGTAGTCACCTGCCCACTCACATGCTGTCACGGACATACACACCACTCACATAAATGCATGCATACATACACCCACACAACCACATGCTACAAACACACTGTCACACTTGCAACACAAACGCTCAGCCACTTGCCCATCAACCGCTAACACACTCTCACCAATATGTGCAGATGCTCCAGCACACCACTAATACATGCATGTTCTCACACACACTGGAGCACACCCACATACCCACCCACACTCACATGTGCTCACTCTCAGTCGCATGCACACTCACCCCACTCCCTCAGCTCACATTTCTCATACTTATTCTCCACACACACAAACACTTTATGGATTAAACTGTGCCTGTCCCCCAACTTCACATACATTCGGAACTCAGAATATGATCTTATTTAATGAGGTCTCTGTAGACGTCCTTAAGGTAAGAATTTAGGTGACATCATGTTGGATTAGAGTCAAAGAAGCTCAATGAAAGAGTCCTTTCAGAGACAGAAAAGGACATGCAGAACACAGGGGCAGGGGCCATGTGAAGACGCAGGCCTCTGAGACTGGCACAATGCGTCCCCACACCAGGGAAGCCTGGAGCTCCCAGAAGCTGGATAAGGTAAGGAAGGACCTTCCCCTAGAGCCTGTGGAGGGAGCATGGCCCTGCCCGCACCTGGATTTGGGACTTCTGGTCTCCAGAACTCTGAGAGAACAAATTTGTTGTTTGAAGCCAGTGTTATGGGTTGAATTCAGAATTGCAAAATTCGTATGTTGAAGCCCTAACCCCTACCATACCTCGGCAGGTGACCTTGTTTGGAAATAGGGCCGCTGCAGATGTAATCAGTTTGATGAGGTTGAATGATGTCCTTATGAAAAGGGGAGATTTGGAGGTGACTCACACACAGGGAGAATGCCATGTGAAGATGATGGCAGAGATCAGGGTGACCCCTCTACAAGCCGAGGAACGCTAAAGAGGCCAGCAAACTCCAGAAGCTGGGGCAGAGCCCTGAAGCAGCTTCTCCCTCACAGCCCCAGAAGGAACCACCCTTGATCTCAGTCTTCCAACCACCAGAATCATGAGAATTTCTACTGCGTAAGCCCCCAAGTTTGTAGTACTTTGTTACAGCAGCCACAGGAAATGAATCCACACACATCCACACCCACCCACATGCACACCCGGACACGACAAGCGTGCGGCCCCCAGCGCTGACTCCCTGGGCCCTCAATCTCTCATTCCATGCGTGTCTTGTCCGTCGTTCCGCTTTCCACTAATATTTGCAGCAGTCCGCATAAAGTCTTGGTGGCTTCGCTCTGCATGATCTCAGCATGAACTCTGGCAGGCAGACAAAGAGTCTGCAGTAAGTTAATAGTGCTGGTAAACATCATTGTAGTGGGGTGAATGTTCCTTTCAGTTTGTTCAGCTTCTAAAAAAAATAATCAAAATAACAAATTATATTGGCAGCCCCAGCCTCTTGGATGGTCTTACCAAGCCCAGCCATGTGAAGCTTCGCATGTCTTTTAGGAACAGCTAAGAAATGTCATGAAACCTCCTCCCACAACCTGGATCTCCACAGATAGGATCTAGCTTTCTTGGTCCACCCCTAAATTCTCACCTCTGCTTCCCTAGAAGCAATAAAGTGCTGACTAACTCCACATTACTTGAAGAGTTCAGAGTCAGGGACCGCAGAGGAAAGGTAAAGACAGGTGGCAGGTTGGGTGTGCTCAGGCGGGGGCTCTCACTGGAGGAGGAGGCAATGGACCGAGACCGCAGGGCAATTCCACCAGGCCTCGGCTCACTCGCTCAGATGCAGGCTCAGCACCAACCACATGAGACTCACTGGTGGTGCAGCTGCCCCGACCTGGCCACCACATTCTCAAAGAGGGGCAGGTGCACACGTGAGAGGAAAATGCAGAAAGTCAGTTCCAGACAGATCGCCGGATCCCACAGCCACTCCATGCACCTGCATCGGAGGTGCCTGGGAGCTTATTTAAATGGCAGGTTCCGAGGACAGAGTGCCAGCTGCAGGTGCGTCCTGACATCCCATTCTAAGGCCCAGATGGCAGTGGTGGCAGCCAGCACCTGGACAGTTTGTGGGCTGCCTTGGACTAAAGGCCTTCCTGAGTCACCCACCAGAGTCGTCCTCTGTGTCCGAATCCTCTGCTGAGGGCTGTGCAGCGGCCGGCAGCTCTGCCAGCTTGAGGTCGTATTTTCCTTCTTTCCCCATCCTGTAGGAGTTGGTGCTGCCCGTGCCCCACTGGACTCTTATCCACCCGTCCTCTCCCAGCTCACCAATCACTCGGCCTAGGCCTGGAGGAGGCCCATCCTGACAAAGCCCAAGTAGAGATCAGTTAGGAGGGTGCGTGCCTTGCCCTGGTCCTTCCATGGCTCCCAGCAGACCTCAGTTAGGCGGGTGCGTGCCCTGCCCTGGTCCTTCCATGGCTCCCAGCAGACCTCAGTTGGGAGGGTGCGTGCCCTGCCCTGGTCCTTCCATGGCTCCCACCAGACCTCAGTTGGGAGGGTGCGTGCCCTGCCCTGGTCCTTCCATGGCTCCCACCAGACCTCAGTTAGGAGGGTGCGTGCCCTGCCCTGGTCCTTCCATGGCTCCCACCAGACCTCAGTTAGAAGGGTGCGTGCTCTGTCCTGGTCCTTCCATGGCTCACACCAGACCTGCCACACAGATGTCGCCATATGCCACCCTGTCTGTCAGGGGCTGTCCCCAGACACAGATTTCACCTCTCCTACAAAATGTGTGCTTGCATCATTTTAAATTAAATGGCATAAAATAACGTGCTCATGCTGCTTTACCAAGGAAGTAGGGGAAATCTCATCTCAATGAGGATCCTCTGAGTTAATGCACAGACAGGGCTTTGCAGCAAGTCCTGACCCCTCAATCCCTCACCGGCCTTGCAAGAGCAGAAACCTGAAACAAGTACCAGCACCTGCACATTCCCTTTTCTTCAGTTTCCTCCGGGCCCCAGGGGGAAGCTCTGTCTCTCACTTCTGTAGGAGAAAGCTGTTTCTAGGATGGATGCTGCTGTCTCCAGACACTGCTATTTCTAAGATGACTGTGACAAAGCCGGGGCTTACTAGCGTGGCTGAGAAAAGCTAGACAGACCATGGGAAGGTGAACACTGCCCTAACTTAGCTAGGGCTGTGGTAAGTGACTTCCACCTGGGGGCACCTGGCAGCGATTTAGAAGACACCTGCGATGAGGGAAAATGGAGACATGGCCACAGGCCCATGAAGTATATCCCTAACTACTGGGTTCAGGGCACTTCGCAGCACGTGGCCATCAGCTCACAGGGGCAGAATCTGGGCTTCCTGCCTCAGAGCCTTCACTACACCAACTTTCAGAATGAGATTTACTCTCTTGCTCACTCTCACTCTTGTTCCAGTGACCCATCAAACTGAGCCTCATGCCAGTGAGTTTCCTGAAAAGAGCTGCCTCTCTTTCCAGACTTGATTCTGCTCAGATGCCCTACTTATGATTCCCTATTTGTGTTCACTCCCTTCAGCAGCTCGGGAACCAACACCTGTGTCATCTATCAACCGACACATCCTGGATTATTCCAATTTCCACCCACCAGTATCGTACAGACCTGTGCAGAAGATAACTAATGTGTGGCTAATGTGTTCACATCAAATCTCTGAGTACCTGATCGCCCCATTTCCAGTCCACACCTCTCATGACCCTCGTTCCAATCTTCATCGTGGCAGCCAGTTCTGGCCCTGAAACAGGGAGATGCACAGGAGCCGTTTCCTTCCTTGTTGCTTCCAAAACTGTGGCAGAAACACCTTGAGCAGAAGCATTCATATCTTCCTCAACATTGTCACAACTGGGGCCTGACAGAGCATCAAAAACAATAGCTGAGCCAACAAGTAGCTACAATGTCCCTTTAATACACACAAAACATTTAAAAAATACTAATGAAGATCATAATGTTTTGAAGAATCCATACTATATGTTTATCAATATAATACTATGAATATTTTACTGATATACGATAAAAAGAAGATAAACGGAAGGACAAAATACATAAATATCCTAGGAAGATATAAAAGATATTAAAATGCTCAGTAAAGCTACTTTCTCTACTTCTAGGAATTACTCCCCCGTAAAAAGCAAAATAACTGAGTTAGAAAGATACTCATCACATTTTTTATTAATAGAAAAACAAAGATAACTACCTAAATATCTAACAGTGGGAAACTGACAAACTTTAATCATGGTTCTGTGCAGAAGACAGCTAACAGCTGGCCCGAGATACAACCTCAGACAGGATTGCTGCAGGCTAGCCCTCGGCTGGAGTCTGGATTTCAGGAGGGCTCCCCAATTCCCTAGGTGGTAGTTGTGGTTCGCTGTGCCTGAATTGACTGTACAAACAACATGGTCTGTGCTGAAACCTGCTTTCCTTGTTCTGGAACTTGGTATGCACCAGGCACGGGGTGCCCATGTGGTCAGCCCTGATGGAAACCCTGGGCCTGGAGTCTCTACCCAGCTTCCCGGCAGACAGCACTTGACATGGCTCGGTGCCGGGGCAGTTATGCTCGTCCTGTGTGGATCCTGTGGAAGCTTGTACCTGCTTTCCTCTGGACTTTACACACGTCCTTTTTCATGATTTTGCTCTGTGTCCCTTCACTGTAATAAACTATAGCCCTGAGTACAACTACATGCTGAGTCTTGTGAGTCCTCCTGGCCAACCATCAAACCTGGAGACCCCTGACAATTGGTGCCCTGGGTGGCTACAGAGTCATCCATAGCATGAAACAGAAGCTGAGCTGCTGTCACCTGAGAGAAGTAAAACTTACCAATGGATTTGAAAATAGGAGAGCTAACCCTAGGAGAGTAGGCTAGATTTTTAACCCCCCTTTTCTCACTTGCTAAACTGAGAGCGGGTAGGAGTGCGGTTCTGGTAACTCCCTTGATTTTAGTTTTCTCCTCCAGGTGGGAGGGAAAAAGATCCAAACGGTCCCAAAGGTGGGCTTGGGTGAGCCAAAAAATGTAAAAAGTTTGTGTTTCTCTCTCTTCCAAGAGAGCAAAAAAGGATATTCAATTCCCAGGGCTGGAGCAAAACTTTAGATAAACTAGCGGGGGAAACAGCCTTTCCTTTAGCCTAGCCGCTACTTTAGGGCTCCCAGGAAGGGGCCCCAAGGAAGGGACAGGAGTTGCATTCCAGGTGGATCTCCCAGGATCCCCTGGGCAGCTATACTGTTAACTCTGTAAAGACTGAATTTATTGCTAAGGGCTTGAATAAATTTGCAACCAAAACTGGGGGAAATTTTTTATTTTACATAGCTTTATGTTTTGTGGCTGTTACATGTGGATGTACACATTAAGCTGGTATAAAATATTATATGCTTATAATTTCTTAAATGATAAGAAGGATACCCTGATCAGGGCAAGCTGCAAATATAGACGGATATTCATGAGACACAACTTCCTTGCTTTTTGCAGCCAGTGGGCCAGATGAAATTTAAACACATGAATACTATCAACAGAACAAGTCCCCATACTTAATGATTTGTGCTGTGATTTTTACTTATTGGAACCTCTGGGGAAAAAGCAGACAACATAAAAAGGCCATTTCTCGATGGAGATATGCTTCTGTAATTTTTAAATGTAACTTTTGGTTGCTAATGAGGCCTCAAGAAATCAGATATAACTCTTACTAGATGATTCTTTTCAGCTGTAATACACATATTAAAATATATATTTAACATAATACAACATATAAATATAATATATAAATTAAAAAATAATTATATACATATATATATATAGAGAGAGAGAGAGAGAGAGACAAACTGACAGACAGACAGACAGAAAGATTCCCCCCACCCCCAAGACAGGATTTCACTCTGTCGCCCAGGCTGGAGTGCAGTGGCTTGATCTCCGCTCACTGCAACCTCTGCCTCCCTGGCTCAAGCAATCCTCCCACCTCAGCCTCCCAGGTAGCTGGGACCACAGGCACACACCACTATGCCAAGCTAATTTTCATATTTTTTATAGAGACAGGGTTTCGCTATGTTGCCCAAGTTGGTCTCAAACTCCTGAGCTCAAGCAATCCACCCGCCTCAGCCTCCCAAAGTGCTAGGATTACAGCCTGGCCTGATACGTATTTTTGAATGGATTAATGTGAACTCTAAGACTGATGTGATTAAAAGAGCTTGGGAAAACCTTGCTTTTTCACTGTGACTTTGACAACGGGCCCTGCAGCATCTCAGTTTTAGCCAAAGAACACCACCATAAACCAATCAGATCTAATAGACATATACAGAACATTTCACCAAAAAGAGCAGAATAAACATTATTCTCAAGTATACCACAGAACACTCTCTTAGACTGACCAGACCATATGTTAGGCCACAAAGTCTCAAATTTAAACAGACTAAAATCATACAAATTACCTTCTCCAACCAAAATGAAATGATGAGAAATTAATAACAAAAGGAAAAGTGGAAAATTCACAAGTATATGAAAATTAAACAACACACGGTAAACAATCAGTGGGTCAAAGAAGAAATCACAAGGGAGATTAGAAAATACTATGAGATGAATGAAAACACAACATACCAAAACTTCTGTGCTGCGCCAAAAGCAGGGCTAAGACGGGCAATTATACTATAGAAGTCTGCATTCACAGAAGATGATCTCAAATCAATAACTCTACATCTGGAAGAACTAAAAAAATAAGAACACAATAAAAACCAAAGTTAGGCCAGGTGTGGTGCCTCACACCTGTAATCCCAGCACTTTGGGAGGTTGAGGCAGGTGGATAACTTGAGCCAAGGAGGTTGAGGCTGCAGTGAGCCATGACTGCGCCACTGTACTTCGGCCTGAGGGACAAAGTAAGACCCTGTCTCAAAACAAAGACAAAAAAACAAAAACAAAAACAAAAAAATACAAAGCAGAAGGAAGGAAACGACAGAGATTAGAGCAGCCATAAATTAAATAGGGAATGGAAAAATAATCTACAAAACCAAAAGTTCGGTTTCTGGCAAGAACAAAAAATCTGATAAACTTTCCGCAAATTAAGAAAAAAAGAGGCCAGGCAAGGTGGCTCACGCCTGCAATCCCAGCACTTTGGGAAGCTGAGGTGGGCGGATCACGAGGTCAAGAGATCGAGACCATCCTGGTCAACATGGTGAAACCCTATCTCCACTAAAAATACAAAAAAATTAGCCGGGCATGGTGGCGGGAGCCTGTAGTTCCAGCTACTTGGGAGGCTGAGGCAGGAGAATCACTTGAACCTGCGAGGCGGAGGTTGCAGTAAGCCGAGACTGTGCCACTGCACTCCGGCCTGGCAACAGAGTGAGACTCCGTCTCAAAAAAAAAAAAAAAGAAAAAAAGAGAAAAGATGCAAATAACTAACATCAGAAATGTAAGTGGAGACAGTACTAGCAACATAAAAATAAAAAAGATTATAAAAGAACACTGTGAACAACTGTATGCCAACAAATAAAATAGCCTAGATAAAATGGACACATTCCTAGAAACATAAATTACCCAACCTGACTCAAGAAGAAATAGAAAATCTGAATAGACCCATAACAAGTAAAGAGATTGAATCGGTAATTAAAAATCTTTCAGGCCGGGCGCGGTGGCTCACGCCTGTAATCCCAGCACTTTGGGAGGCCAAGGCGGGTGGATCACGAGGTCAGGAGATCGAGACCATCCTGGCCAACATGGTGAAACCCTGTCTCTACTAAAAATACAAAAAATTAGCCAGGCGTGGTGGCAGGCGCCTGTAGTCCCAGCTACTCGGGAGGCTGAGGCAGGAGAATGGCGTGAACCTACGAGGCGGAGCTTGTAGTGAGCCGAGATCGTGCCACTGCAGTCCAGCCTGGGCAACAGAGTGATACTCCGCCTCAAAAAAAAAAAAAAAAATCTTTCAACAAAGAAAAGCTTAGCTGGTTAACTCTACCAAACATTTAAAGCAGAATTGACACCAATCCTCAAACTCTTCTAAAAATAGAATATATGGGAACACTACCTAGTTCATTCTATGAGGCCATTATTACCCTGATAACTGTAAAACAATAAAATATTGCTGAAAGAAATTAAAGAGGACGGAAATAAATGGAAAGACATTCCACATTCAGAGAATGGATGTTAACATTGTTAAGATGGCACTATTCCCCAGAACAATCTACAGATTCAATCCCTAGCAAAAATCCCAATGGTCTTTTTTGCAGATATGGAAAAGCCAGCCTTGAAGTTCATATGAAAATTCAGCGGAACCAAAGCAGACAAAATAATCTTGAGAAAGAAGACACACTTCTCAATTTTAAAACAGTACAAAACTACAATGTTCAAAACAGTGTGGTACCTGCATAATTATCAACATATAGAATGTAATAATGTAATTGAGAGTCCAGAAATAAACCTAAATATCTACAGCCAACTGATCTTTGCCAAGGGTACCGAGAACCTCAGGGAAAGAATAGTCCTCAACAAGTGGTATTGAAACAATCAGATAATCAAAAGGAAAAGGCTGGACTCTTACCATACACTGTGTAAAAGAAATTACCTAAAAATGGACCAAAGATCTAACTATAAGAGCTAAAACTATAAAACTTACGGAAGAAAACATGAGATGAGGATAATCTTCATCAGTCTTGTATTTGGAAATGGCTTTTTGGGTATGATATCAAAAGCATAGACGACAAAAGAGAAACAGATAAACTAAACTTCATCAAAATAAAAAACTTCTCTATGAAAGGAAATACAATCCAGAGAACAGGAGAAAATACCCACAAATGATATATCTGATAAAGGTCTACAGATCTGTGAAGGTCTAGTATACATGAAATTTTTAAAGAGTCTGAGGACTGGTGTTAATTCTTCTTTAAATGTTTGGTACACTTACATAGTGCATTTACCGGTACAACAACAAGATGACGACAAATAACCCTATTTAAAAAGGAGAAAGGGGCTGGGCGCAGTGGCTCATGCCTGTTATCCCAGCACTTTGGGAGGCCAAGGCAGGCAGATCACCTGAGGTCACGAGTTCCAGACCAGCCTGGCCAACATGGCGAAGCCCCATCTCTACTAAAAATACAAAAATTAGCCAGGTGTGGTGGTGTGTGACTGTAATCCCAGCTACTCGGGAGGCTGAGGCACGAGAAGCGCTTGAACCCGGGAGGTGGAGGTTGCAGTGAGCCGAGATTGTGCCACTGCGCTCCAGCCTGAGTGACAGAGTGAGATTCCGTCTCAAAAAAATAAAATAAAAAATAAAGAGAAAGGGACTTGAATAGACACTTCTCCGAAGAAGATATACAAATGGCCAACAAGCACAAACATGTAAAGAAGCTCAATGTCATTCATCATTAGTGAAATGCAAATCAAAATCACAATGAGATAGCACTTCACACCCACTAGGATGGCCTTAATCCAAAAAAAAAAAAGAAAACCACAAAAAATAGTGTTGGCAGGGAAGTAGAGAAACTGGGACCCTGGAATCCTGCCCCCTGGTGGTGGGAATGTAAAAATGATATGGCACTGTGGAAAAGTTTGGTAGTCTCTTAGTAAGTTACACATAGTTGTACCATATGACCCTGTAATTCCAGTCCTAGGTGTATAATCAAAAGAACTAGAAACAAGTGTTCAAACAAGTATTTGTATATAAATGTTGCTAGCAACACTATTCACAAAAGTCAAAAGGCAAAACCAACCCAAATGTCCATCAACAGATAAATGAATAAACAAAATGTTATATATTCATACAATGGAAATCTTTTTCAGCCATAAAAATAAAGTACTGATATATACCAAATGAAATAACCCAGACACAAAGGCCACAAATGGTATGATTCCATTTATATGAAATATCCAGGATATGCAAATCCATAGACAGAGAAAGCAGATTTGTGACTACCAGGGGCTGGAGAGCAGGTGAGTCAGGACTGATGGCTAAATGGGGTGCATTTATAGTGATGAAAAAGTTCTACAACCAGACAGTGGTGATGACTCTAGAAAATTGTGAATGTATTTAATACTGCTGAATTGCGACGTTAAAATGCTACACTTTCTGCTATTTGTGTCTTACCATAATTTACAAAAAGCTTAAAAAAAAAAAAAAGAAATCAAAGCAAAATCTTGACGTTTTCCCAAAGGCTCTCAAGCCAGTGCAGACCTACCAATCAGGCGCAGTGCCGTCTGAGTGAGGGCCAGCGTGCCGGAATTGAGCAGGAGGTCGAGGTTGTTTGCGCTGTGCTGCAGGGTGAGCATGCTGAGCATCATCAGGAGGAAGCGGGCTTGCGGGATGCTCCCCAGGCTCGGTCCCAATGGGTTCTCACTGGTGATGGTCTGCAGGGGAACCGGCTGGATACCTAATAAGCATTGACACCCACTTACGTTTCTTGTGATGGATACAAGAATAAACATAACGCAGAAAGCACGGGCTATTACTTTAAACATCTGACTAATAAGCATTGACACCCACTGACATTTCTTGTGCGTGGATACAAGAATAAAAGTAACACAGAAAGCACGGGCAATTACTCTAAACATCTGACTATTTTTCAGTGGTTTCCACAGAGTGGGCAGCTCTGTCATGCTGCACGATGGGCCCAACCCCTGTATTCTATGCACAGGTCGTTCCATCTGTCTACAGGACTTAGCATGTTTCTCTCTGAATACACTGGTGCCCTATTCCATTCCTTCCATTTCAAATATAAAAGTTATGTCTCACTTTTCCTCCACAAAACCAATCCAATCAACTCTCTGTAGATGCTCAGACTATCCAGGAAATAAATATTAATATAGGACACAGACACTTAGGATATGTGGTGATACACATATAAATGTCAAAATGTAAAAATGTTATACTAGAGTACTTCAACATTGTATCTCCTGCTAAATTTTAAAGTTTTGTTTAAAATCTGAGAAAGCTGACAGCAGCATAGATTATACAAGTACAAAGTACAAACTTATTACAGTCTTCTCAAAAGCAAAAATTGGCATTTGCAAGTTTCCACAACACATAATTAAAGGCAAACTATAAAATAACATTGATGCAATTGTTGACTCACCAAGCTCTTTAAATTTGGCACTGGCATCCATCAGAACATTTAGAATGTTCTGAACAGTCCAAGCATACAGCTTGCCAAAGGTGACTTCCAGCAGCATCCGATTAAAAGGTGGGATCAAATCAACATCCTTTAAACAATCAGTAAGAGGTTCCCTTTCAAATAAAGATAAAGAATTTGACTCGGGACACTGCCAGACTTCTAACTGTTACAGAACAACATTCTGTTGCCACAGCTTCCTTAGTTAGGAAAAAAATATGCTAACGTTTTACCCTATATCGATTCCTTCAGGAATAAGTCTTTGCCATCCACAAAACATCGCTTACTGCACAGATGGAAGTAAGAAATTCTTGCTCACCAGATACAATTTCAAAATTGTATCTATCCCTTCCAGGCGAACCTCTGCTCTCTCCAACTGCAAAATATCAATGCATATACAGTTAAGTGTTATGTATATTACCCACTGCAGAGAAGCATTTCTCATCAAATGTTATCTGTTTTAGTAGGCACTATCTCATTTTTTCCACATCCACTGGCTCTTCCTTAAGGGCAAATTCAGCAATTGTACTGAGGAGTGGAGACTGCGGATAAAGATCCTGAACATTCTGCTTCAACCACTTGTATCTGTGAACCCCTGTAACAGTACTCAACAGTGGCTGCCATTTGTCCTAACAAAGGAAAACAATTTTCATCATTAGTCTACCCTATTTAATATTAAACTGTGCTCTAAAAGTTATTCAAGTAAAATATAAATAATGCTCATAGGTTTAAATTGGTTAAAATATGTTAAATTTAGTAATTAATACATGGTTTTAAAACTATGCTATAAATATAAGTGAACTTATCTCTATACTAATATATGTTGGAACAGGCTAGCTTGGCATACGAAGTTAAGTTGTGGTTCATATTAATAGCCACAGGGCCCAGCACTGTTTCTGGAACAAAGAATATATTTAAGGAATGAATGGTGAATAATTAATGATACAATCTAGTACCAAAAATAAAAGGAAACCCTTCTCCAGCTACAGCTCTGACCAGGACATCATAAGTCAAGTTCATGAACCATCACTGGGGCCGTATTTCTAACAACCGCCCGTCCCTCCCTCCGGATGCTCAGGTACGGAGGTACAAGACTGTGGATTCCTTTGCTACATGCTATGATTCTATTCAGCTAACCTCAGAATCACAGAAAACACTGCACCTTGGGTGATTTAATTGCAATGGGTCTCTTGTCCACATTTATTGGACTATGAGGCAAAATGCAGGCTTCTTCTAAATCACTCTCTTCGTTTCCAATTTTTTCTTCATCAGCCGTAGATTCTGGCTTCTTAGGAACTGTGTTTTAAAACATCATTCACTATAAAAAATCATACACTTAAACATTAATTTTAAATTAGGAAATACTTAGACTTACATGAAAGACAAATATTTCATTCAAATAAACATCTGAACAACATTATAAATTGCAAGGCTCAAACAACAAGAGTGAAATGATCACCATGGCAGAACAAAATGACAAAGTGAGAGCGTGACAAGGGGAGAAGCCCCGAAGCAGGGGAAGCCCAGCAGCCAGCAAGCTCTTCCTCAAGTGCCAGAGAGTGAACATTTGAGTCTTTCAGGCCACGCAGTCTGTTGGAAATACTCAACTCTGCTGCTGTAGCACAAAAAGTAACCACAGATAAAGCAACAGGTGTGGCTGTGCTCCCGTAAAACTTTATGGTGCTACAATTTTAGCTTCATGTAATTTTCATGTGTCAAAAATAATATACTTCTTTTAATTTTTAAAAAACAATTTCAAACTGCAAAAAAAAAAAAAAAAAAAGGTCTTAGTCCACGGGCAACACAAAGCAAGCAAGAGGTGGAATTTGGCCCACAGTTCCTGGCTTGTCCACCATGGTCCAGTTCAGTGGTTCTGTTAGTGTGTAACTGAATTAATTGAATTCATTGTGATATGTGGAATTTCCTCCCTATATTTTATCTCTTTTAAAATTTTTGGTCTAAATCTCCTCAGCATATAATATAAAAAATAAGCAACATGACAATACACCTGGGCAGTAAAGAGCTAACATAGCAGGCCGGGGTTGCTCAAACACTGCAAATTCCCAAGGAAGGTCTGTCCCTTCAGGATTGGTCCTTCTTCTTCTAGGAGCTGAGCTCTGAGGCCTTGGAACATCCTGCCTGATAAGTTTTTTGGTATACCTGACACCCAGGACCTTGTGGCAGTGGTCTGGCCAGGCAATTTATGCTAATGATGTGACTTGCGAGGGACCACTTGTTTTTGCACTGGGGCACTGGAGTGTAAGTAGTTGAGGTCAGTCACATGGGCACTGCCTGCGTATGTGACTGGCCCCCAACAAAATCTCTAGACTCGAGGTTCAGGTGCGCTGGCCTGGTTAACAATTCTGCACACATGATGTGACCCACTGTTGCTGGGAGAGCTAAGCACATCCACGTGACGCCACTAGGGAGAGACACCAAAGCTTGTGCCTAGTTTCCTCTGGACTTCCCTCCATGCACCCTTCCCTTTGCTAATTTTAATCTGTATCCTTTTTGCGGTTAAAAAAAAAAAAAACACACAGCTGTGAGTATAACAGCTCTTCTGAGTCCTTTTGGTGAATCATCAAGCCTGAGAGAAGGCTTGGCGATCCCTGACACAGCAACAGGAATATTAATCACTTAATCTTCTTAAGTTACTTAATTTCCAAAAAAAAAAAAAGAAAACCAGCTTGAAACAACACACAATAAATCTATAAACCCACAAGAAACTCTAAAAGTGACAGTGTGGGCTCAGAACCCACGGATATGAAATGGCAAATGGTGGAGTCTCTCTCCCTCATGCTGAGGCAGGCCTGTCTCCTGGGCCCGGGCTGAGTTCCTGCATGCCTGGGTTAAAGGAATTGCAGCAGTGTGACTGCTGTGACTTCCTGATCCAGAGCACCCATCGGATTCCGACAGGCTGTTATGGTGTAGGGTTTGTTCAGGAACAATCAAATTAGGATGGCTTCTAAAACGCTCTAGTCTTTCATAAGCTTATTGTTCAAAATGCCCATCAGAAACTGAGTAATTAATACTGTTCAATAAGCAGGTTTGTGAGTAAATCAGTATAAGTCATAAGAACATGATCAGAGGCCAGGCGGGGTGGCTCATGCCTGTAATCCCAGCACTTTGGGAGGCCGAGGCAGGCAGATAACAAGGTCAGGAGATCGAGATCATCCTGGCCAACATGGTGAAACTCCGTCTCTACTAAAATACAAAAATTAGTCAGGCGTGGTGGCGCATGCCTGTAATCCCAGCTACTTGGAAGGCTGAGGCAGGGGAATCGTTTGAACCTGGGAGGCGGAGGTTGCAGTGAGCTGAGATTGTACCACTGCACTCCAGCCTGGCGACAGAGCAAGACCCCGTCTCAAAGAAAACAAAAAAGGATATAATCAGAAACTTCTGTAGTTTATTTATAATCACAAGTGACTGAATTCTAAACTATTTTATAATTTCTAAGCATTTTTATTCAAATTTGGATTTAATGCAAAAAGACTTTTCTGTACTCTTACACAGCTACTTCCAGGAAAATGTCAGTAACTCTTTCAGCTTCCCTTTATAATTCTCCATGTATCAGAATACTCAATATTTCCAAACAAAAAACATTTCTTTAGAAGAATGGCAATAAGTTTAAATGTTCCCATTATATCTCATTACCAGGATAACTAATAAAATAAAAATACGTCCTTGTTCCCATCAATTTAGCAAAGATTATTTACGTTTTCAACATCAATTTACTAGTAATCAAATCATACCACACTCAATTCCTAAACTGCCTCATTGTCTGATCGGTTGAAAAAATAGGAGAGATTTCCGTATTTAATCATAACTATACATAAAAATGATGGCAGCAGGTAGAAATGTCACATGGAATCAACAGTAGAGAAACTTCACTCTGAAATCACAGGTCCAGCGAGGCAGGGTGAAGCACATGCTTTAATAGTATCTTCTGTCCTTTTACATTCTTACTTCTCTTTTTCCTCCGTTCCCGAATTATCTTCTGAGCTATCCTCCTCCAACGGGGCAAAGAACTTAACAATTTAAACTCAGAGATTATAGAGAGGTCATTACCAACAGCAGGTCTCAATTCATTAGAGAGGAATCTCAAACGTTCGATGACAGGAGTGCAGACCTCCTTGTAAGAACGGCCCTGTTCTTGATGAGTCTGCAAAGTTAACCAGGAAAAGACAACTTTAACAACAAATATTTCTGCAACTGTCTGCAAAGCACAGAATAAAAAGAATTAAAATATATCACCTTAATGAGCGAACATTTTGCTTGGTAGACAACTCTACAAACATCCACCACTGACTTAGGCAACGTTCTGTGCTTTATTTGCTCAATATCAAGTACACCTGCATGAACTAAAGATAATGCCACATGACCTGCAAAAAGACATTTAAAAGAAGGACAGGGAAGGAATGAATATGTACCACAGGTTAGTCGAGGAATCTGCAGTCTAGCTGAAGTACACAGATATTGAGCTCCTTACCTAAATCTTCATGTTTTAAGAAGCAACATAACAGCAAGCGACCGACCTCTTCCACGGGGTGCTCGGGGGGAAACATGATCGGTGTGGTCAAATGGCACTGCCTACAGTACCTTTCTATTTGACACAAAAAGCCCTGCAACAGAAACAGCTGGAGGTAACTTCAGGGCCGGCCAGTGAGTCTTCACAAATCTTAAACATGCCACAGCTTCTGATGCACTTGCAATCAGTAATGCTTCCGAAGCCTTGCTAGCATGTTAACACAATCAGGTTCTCACCTCAAAACCCTCCAAATAATACATGAAACAAAGTCTGTGCTATGTTAACCAAAGAGCACATAAGTATTCCTATGTCAAAGTCCTCAGATAAACAGAGCACTGAGGTGGCAGTGGGGACAGGCCTAGCTCACCTTCACGTTGTGATCCTGAATGTTATTGTCTGCAATGGCTTGCAGAAATGCCTGAGAATGGTCCCCCAGGGCCCATCTGTGGGAGCAGTCGCGATTTGCTGGCAGGTGTGCCCACTGGGAGCTGCAGTGGTCCTCATCTTTCTCCTCGTTGTAGCTGTAGTGGATCTGGCTGGTCTGCAGCCTCCAGAGAAGATGGATGACTGAAGCCATTCTAGAAAATGCACACGCAAACATGAAAGAGAAACTCAAGTGCACAACTCAAAATAAATACTAAAAAAAAAAAAAAGATGCTCAACTGAACACTCAATTTAGAAGGTAAAATACAGCATCATTCATATGAAAGAGCTCCACCTAACATGTTTACACAGGTTGACTTGTAATTCCTCTATCTACGTGAATACACTTTCTGGTGATTCCACACACCTCAGGCACGGCATCAGAACTCAGGATTGTAGTTCCAGTCCAAAATTCTCTGGATACCTGTGCTCTGCCTGCAGCTGCCTGGTTCCACAGATACCGTGTGAAGACTGAGTTGCACACTCTAACAAGGAAGGCAGCAAAGGGCACCGCTGACACAACTAATCACAGGATTTCAAGTCCAAAACTGTGCACGGATGACTATGGGGGTACCAGGGAGACCGGAGGACAGACCACCGCTATTCTGAGGGTCAGTAAGGGACTTGTGGAAGCAACAACTGAGCTAAGATGAGGAATAAGACCCAGACGCTGAGTATCCAGGCAGGGAACAGCATATCTGAAGGGTTTCTACAAAGAATTACATCCTCAGGGTAGGCTATGTATTCCTAGAGCACTTATAAAGGAATGAAAAGGAGAAAATATTTAACAAACACACAATCTTTAATGAAGGATAGATCCTTGGAGACGGGAGGGCCGATGGACTGGAAAGGAGACCTGTGCATGGTGCAAGGCATGGGATCAGCCAGTGCAAATGTTAATTACAACTGCTTATGGTCACTTGAGGGAGCGGCACATACACACAAAATTAGGATGTGCACCACTACAGATCTCTATTAACGATCTGTGTTATCAAATACTGCTCCAAATCCAAGCAATCAAAGCGGGGATGCACTTACTGTTCTTTTACTGGACATTTAGATTTTTAGAGCACTCAGGAGCATTCCCCAACCCACCACATTCGTTCTTCTGAAACACTAATCCAATGCCAACTCTCTCTGGCCCCCTTTCTTTAAGCACAGGACAGCCCCTCCTTACTGCTCCAAGATAAGCCTCTGATCCTCCTGTGGCTCGGACCCACCTGCCAGGGCTCATGGCACCCTCTGCTCTGGAGCTCGCCAGCCCTGCCCTCCTTGTCAATTTAAACAAAGCCCATCTTCTGGCAAGCAATGAGCCTTGAGGAGGAGGGAGGGAAGCAGACACCTCAGAGGGCACCACAGGCAGTCCAGCACCCAGCACTGCACAAAGGTCCACCCAACGGGGGGCTGTGTGGACACCAAGATCCTCCTTTCCCGCAAGCCTCTCCCACACCCACTCTCGCAAGCAGCAGGAAAGCCCTGCTCCTCTCAGCATTGCCCTTGACACTCCTGTGTTTTCTGCCCAGAATGCTCCCTCATGCAATTTCAGGACTGCTGCCGGTGTGAAGCCTTTCTTCTCCCAGAACCACGTATGAACGTCTCCATTTCACCATTCACCACCTTGTAACGTGACCTGCTTAGAATGCTGGCTCATCAACAAGCAGCAACTGAAAGCAGAGGCGTGTCCTATCCATCACTGCATCCTGAACACCTCGCATGGTAACGGCACCAGGCAACTGCTCAACAGAAGCTGCTCACACGGACGGACAGATAGACAGATGGGAAATGCACGACTACATGAAGGAAAATGTAAACCCATCTTAGGAGACAGGAAAAAGCTTATTATTTTAGGTGGTTACAAAGGCTGCCATCCTGAAATATAACTGACTTGAGCCTGGTCTGGTAAAAACGCAGTCCTCAAATAGAACGCTGTTCCCTGAGAGAACAGCTGATCCACATTCTGTGCAATTTCTGGGCATGCAGGGAGACAAAAGCCATGCTGGGCCCATCAGGCAGGGGCTGCAATACGTGAGACCACCACAGGGTAGACGGGTAGACACTCCTGCACACTTTTTAGCTTCCTCTGCAGCAACAGACCATGAGGGCAAATGACAGCCACTCACAGCTGTTTCTACCTGATTGAGTCTCACTATCCTTATTATTATTTTTTGTAGCATCATCAACTGTGTTGAATCCTCCTCTTTTTTTTTGAGACGGAGTCTCGCTCTTGTCACCCAGACTGGAGCGCAGTGGTGCGATCTTGGCTCACTGCAACCTCTGTCTCCTGGGTTCAAGCAATTCTCCTACCTCAGCCTCCCGAGTAACCGGGATTACAAGCACCCGTCACCACGCCCAGCTAATTTTTGCATTTTTAGTAGACATGGGGTTTCACCACATTGGCCAGGCTGGTCTCGAACTCCTGACCTCAGGTGATCCACCCGCCTCAGCCTCCCAAAGTGCTGGGATTACAGGCATGAGCCACCGCCTGGCCATCTCCTACTTTTTTAAAGAGAGAGTCTTGCTCTGTCACCCCGGCTGGAGTGCCGTGGTATGATCATGACTCACTGCAACCTCAACCTCCCAGGCTTAAGCGATCCTCCTACCTCAGGCTCCTGAGTATCTGGGACTACAAGTACATGCCACCATGCCTGGCTAATTTTTGTGTTTTTTGTAGAGATGGGGTTTTGCCGTGTTGCCCAGGCTGGTCTCAAACTCTTGACCTCAAGCAATCCACATGCCTCAACCTCCCAAAGTGCTGGGATTACAGGCATGAACCACTGTGCCTGGCCCTCTCCCACTCTTAATGGCACTTACAGTTCAAAAAAAATAATCTGCTAATCAGCAAAAAGCAAAGATTTTCTTACTGGCACATTCAATCTCGACAGGAGACAGCGGTGTGCTCATTGCTAAATAGGAAGTGTGTAATCCGAGAAGCAGGCCCAGATTCCTCTCTGTGTCTATCAGAGGTGAAGAGAGACTTCCCGGATCTGGTATGGTGACAACTTCTTGGTCAGGCTGGAAAAATAAACTTCATCATCAATCTGAGGAAACAGAATTAATTAAAAACATAAAACCAAAAGGACAGCTCTGTCCTGCAGCTGTACCGCCATGTGAGCCCAGGGGTGCCCTGGGTGTTCTGCCCCTCCATCCTGTAATGAGTTGATGCTGCTGTGCCCAAGTAACAGCAGATACCACATAAACCCACATGCCCTATAAAGCTGGCAGCAACCGTACACGCAGAAAAACTAAAGCACAGATACATGATTTGGCTAGAATATTCCTTAGGAATCAGTTTCCAAAGTGACTGTACACCATGCTTCAGAAAGTATAATGAATTGTTACATGCATAAAGAACCCACTGGGCAACAAAACTATGACAAGTATTCGATGACAAGTATTAGTGGACTGTGACCACACAGGTAGAGGAAATGAAATTTATTCTAACAAAAATCAAACTCTGAAAAAAGCAAGAGTTCAACTTTTCCAGTCACAGAAGATATTTACAGCAAAGTTAATTCTCCCCTTCATAAAATGCTTTAAGCCCTGCCCTAATGGCATTTAATACATTTTATTACTTGTGGATAGCTGGAAAGCTAATCCCAGTATATAAATTCTATGTGTTCGTGAATACATAGGAAGGACATATTTCTATTGTAAAGAATTACACTTCTACATAGTTCTTCCCAAAAAATACATACCTCAATATAATAAGCCATTCCAAATTTCTACATAAGACCAAAGTTTAACCTCTTTTCTTGTGGAACACTGTCTATATTTCTCACAAATTGATCATTTAAAAAACAATCTTTCAAGACCAGTACATCACAGATCCTAACACGAATAAATGTAAATTCATTTATGACAAAACTTCTAAAGGATCTTTATATTATCCCTAATGCCCCCCAAAAGACCCAGATATCAGTACTTCTAGATCCAAATATTCCTATCACAAACACACGGAGGGTGTCCCCTGCCATCCTCTGCATCACTCAAGGCATACAGCCTCACCTCCAAATATTGGCCAACACAAAATGCGTGCATGGATTCCCGGGTGACTTCAAACTCGAAAGCAGCTTCCAAAGCTACCACTGGGTTTTCCCCTGCAAACTGAGCTGAAAGAAAAAGGGAAAAAGCAACAGGAGTTCAATTCAGCTTGCCTGAAGAGCTATAGGAGAAACAGTGAGTAGGAAATAAGTTAGGCGCTTAACTCAAAAGTGAGGGTTACCAGAGTATAATGACCTCCCACTGTCTCCCAGGGTTGCCTGGGCCAACTCAGAACTTGAAATGAGTTCCAAGTATTAAAACAAAAAATGCATAATGAAAGGAAATTCTTCAAATGTGCTGAATTTGTTGATAAGACAGACACCAAAGCCACAGATACATTAAAATATGCGGGGGCTGGCACAAAACTAAAGAAATCATTTATAAGCCAAATACTCTGCTTAAAATGATACAGGCTGTAACTTTTAACCAGGAAATAAGAAGGGTAATCTTACCAAGAATACTATTTCCTGTTAACGACTGTGTCTGGAAGTCCTTTATATCATACACTTTCTCATCAATCACAATCCAGAAGCCTCCATCTTTATTATGGTTCTCCAAATCAGCTTTGCATATAAGTGTCACTTCCTCATTATTTCTACAGTTCTGACCTGTAAAAAAATGACTCTCTGTATACAGAAACCAGAATCAGTCCATTGATCAATCAACAGGTAAAATGAAAAGAACAAACTGTGTGAAAGAACTACAAGCAGAAATAAACAAATCCACAATCACAATGGGAGAAATACATACCTAGCTCTGAAACTAATACCACACATACAAATTCTATTAAATATAGAATGCTTTAAAAAAAATCTAGGCAGCATGAATATCAAATCAGGCCATGCCAGGCCATAGAGCAAATCTCAACAGATTTCAAAGAAATAAAGTTACACAGCATGTGTGCTGACTACAATGCAGTTAAATTAGAAATAGGTTTTCAAAAGTTCATTCAAAATAAAATAAAAATGACTCTGTATATACAGAAAATGAAAATATTCATCCACATATTTGAAAATTACAAAATACACTTATAAGTAACCCAAAATTCTAAGAAAAAATGACTATGAAAATTAGAAAATGAGTTCAATTAATAATCAAAATATTGCAGATCAAAATTGGTGACATACAACTAAATGCATGCTTGAGGGCATTTACGCCTTTAAATGTGTATATTAGGGGGAAAAAGCTAAAAAAGAAAAGAAACACCAAATCAATAGAAGTCTATTAGTTCATAAAAATACTCAAAAAAAAAGAAAACCTGAGTGGTGGTCACCTATGCAAGTGCTAGGATACCAACTCAATATTATGAAAAATAGTTAAAGGGAGGTGGCAGTTCAAGAAGTCAAGCTTAGATTATGTCCTTCCTGTACAAATTGTACCTCCTGCTAACCAGACAGCAGAGGGCAAGGTTGGTAGGGGATTTTATAGAGGACACGCAACACATGAATTCCCTGGTCTAGCTTCACAGAACTAAAGCGGGGAGCCACTGAGCATTACAGGCCTCCTGAGCCAACAGAAAGCATGCAGCATGACTCCAGACATAACACCACCCCAACGAGACTGAATTCAAATCCAACCAAACCTCTAGATCTAACCAGCAGATTAATGTAACTAACAGAAGAATATGTTGGTCTAGAATAAGAGAATGCAATCAACCAAGTTCAGAAAATGTGAAGTTCTCCAAAATAACCAACTTGCTTCTTTGAAAAAGAAAATGGTATGATCAGAGACAGGGAGAGGAGGGCCTGGAGCCATGTTGTTTGGGGAAAGAGACTAGAAGCATTATGTCAACCAATGCCAATACACAGAACATATTCAGGTCCTAATTCAAAATTACCACCTAAAAAAGGCATTTTTGAGATAGTCCAGGAAAATGTAACATGGACTACATGTTAGATTAAGGAATCACTGTTAATCTTATAGACAGGATAATGATATTGTAGGGTTTTTCTTAAATCCTTATCATTAAGAGGTAAAATGCCTTAAAATGTTTTAAAGACAGAGTTATGCTTTAAAATAATCCAATTGGCCGGGCACAGTGGCTCATGCCTGTAATCCCAGCACTTTTGGAGGCCGAGGCAGGCAGATCACGAAGTCAGGAGATCGAGACCATCCTGGCTAACATGGTGAAACCCCATCTCCTACCACGCCGTATTACCGCATTTAACAGGTATGATGAAGCAACTGAACAGGCTATTTTTCCATTTCCATTGCATTTCAACAGAACCCATTAAAAAGTAGTATAAATGGCCCTTAAATACTAATATATTTTAAAATGCTCAAACTATATCAGGGTCACCATTTTGTGCTTTAGCAGGCAAAATCCCAAAAGCCCACACACAAGGCTGGGAGACCAGCATCCCTATTGGTGGTGAGAGAAATCAAGATGTACAGGAGCGATCTGGTGACAACCAGCCCACACTAGGTGCATCCCCACCTGTGCATGTGCACAGGCACACACGCGTGCACACATGGAGGACACATGTTCCAGGTCAGGCCTTGCAGCACTATTTGTGTTTTTTGTTATTGTTGTTGTTGTCTTTTGAGACAGTTTCACTCTTGTTGCCCAGGCTAAGGTGCAGTGGCGCAATCTCGGCTCACTGCAACCTCTGCCTCCCAGGTTCAAGCGATTCTCCTGCCTCAGCCTCCCGAGTAGCTGGGATTACAGGCATGTGCCACCATGCCCCACTAACTTTTGTATTTTTTAGTAGAGACGGGGTTTCTCCAAGTTGGCCAGGCTGATCACCTCAAACTCCAAACCTCAGGTGATCCACCTACCCTGGCCTCCCAAAGTGCTGGGATTACAGGCATGAGCCACCACAACCGACCCTCAGCACTATTTGTGTAGCAACACTGTGGCAATAAGCCCAAGTGTCCACCAATAAGAGACTCACTGAAGAATGATACATAAAAGACATATCTACACACTGAAGACTAAGCTGCTTTATAAAAACAAAGAGCGACACTCTGATAAAGTACTCCAGTATATATGGTTAGTAAAAAAAAAAACAAGCAACACAAGTAATGCAACATGCTACCACTAGCATACTCATTCCAGAGAACAAGGAGGTTACAGAGGAGACTGAAAAGCCAGAGAGAGCAGGTAGGAAAATGGGTGGAAGGGGTGGGCAGGGGAAGTGACAGTGTGTCTCTGCCTAGGTTTGATTTTTGAACCATGTGACTGTATTCCTCTTTTTTTTTTAACGACTGTAAAACAAAATAAACACTCTTCATACTAGAAATAAAATGTTAGAAAAATCTGGATTCAAAACTAGGATTACTGTTATACACTGGCAAAGTTCACTAACATTCCCAAAGGCAGTTTTCTCATTGACATAATGAGATACAACAGCGTGCATGAGGTCCTCAGTGGGCCTGCACCCTACAGGTGCTCCACACATGCAAATCACTACTATTACCATTACTATTACATAACAGATATAATATATAATTATACTGTCACTACTATAACCAGCATTACATACTAAGACAGCCCACGTTCAGAGTATAAAGAAGGCTGTGGAACCCTCTGTAGAAGGTGGGAGGGCCTGGGGCTGTGGCTAAAGGGGAGCTCTCTGGGGCTGTGCCACCTGAACCTGGAACCTGGGCCCCCAGGTTGGGTCCCCAGGCCTGTGCGCCTCAGCTTGCTCATCATTCACTCTCAACACGGATAACACGTTCAACTGCAAACACGTTTAAAAACCACAGGCCAGCTCCCCCTACCAATACCAGAAAAAGCAAGTCTCCACACGGGCCCAGGATGAGAACCTACAAGTGGTACTAGCTACAAAACCCATGGAGAACACGGTTCTTGCACACACACCTTATGAGACGTCGGACAGCTACACGGCAGAGGCATCTACAGGGTGTAGCCAGATCTTCTAAATGGGCCATGACAACAACTGCCGTTTGTTGCAGATCAATGGCAAGCTCGTTGTCTTGTGGAGGGTGAGGTACCTCAGGAAACTCTCACTGGGGCTCAGAGGGCCAGACAAAAGCTAGAAAGGAAAGGTAAACAAACATTCAGAAATGGTGGGAAAAATTAAAGTAATACAGTTAGCCTTTACCCACTCTTTATATTTTGGTATTGACTCATTTGACCCATCAAATGACAATGTCGATGATACAGTTATACTATACATCTATATATTTATGTAGCATACAAACTGTATAAATGTCTAAATGTGCTGTACACATGTACACAACATTGACTGTGCATGTATACATTTATGACACCACAGGTAAGTTGAATCCACACAGATTACTAACATGACCAAACCACCCTACAGGCCTAGGACCCCTGGAGAAAGGCAGAACCACCTCTGTGGGAACCCAGAACAGCATCTCAAGCTGGCCTTGAAATCTAAAACCAAAACCTTTATTTTAATCTAAACATTGCCCACTCTGGAGAACACCTACTTTCATTTGCAAATTAAATCATAGTTCTAATTCTTCTAAAGGCAGAAGAGCCCTATTATCATTAGTTTAAAGACTAACAAATAATAGAAAAATTAAACCAAAGCATGATATTGAAATGCCTAAGACTTTCCCAAAAAGATGCAAAATTCAACTTGTACTTGAACTGTAAAGACCAGCAGTCCTGGAGGTTTACGCCCAGGGCCCCACATGCCTGCTCCTCCCCCAGCTCGGCGTCCACACCTGTTAAGGGGGGAGCTGGTACTAAACAGAGTGACAGCTCAGATGACATGCCCTGCACAGAGCCCAGTACATAGGAAGGGCCAACAAAGAAAGCCACTATTTTCGTTGTTCTTTTCTAGTATTGATTTAAAAGTGTGTGTTTCAAGCTTGGTTCTGTGCTGACAAGGAAGTCGGTGCTCACTGATCCAAGTCTTCTCCACAAACAAGTGGCCTCCCACACCTGTCTCATCTGACTCGCTGCTGTTACCACCAAATACACCCACGCCAGAGAAAAACACTGCCGTGGACACACACACTGGTCTTGCGTAAAAAATAACTAGACTTGAGTACCACCTAAACACAACGTTCCATCATGACACTCACGTGCATGTTGCCCTCGGAGGGGGGCGTATCCTTACCGCAAATGATGCTCTGGAACGTTTGCAGCAAGGACAAAAGCAAGGTGCTGGTGCCCTGGGCAGAACGCTCATTGTCAGTTTCCTGTGCCCTGCTGTCCCACAGCTGAAGCAACAACAGGATGGCAGACAACATTTGGCTAAAGGAGAAAACACATTTATTCCTAGTAAAAACAGATTAACTTTTTTTTTCATGGTTGATCAAAAATAAAAGCAAACAGCTAGATAGAAGTGAAGCAATACTTGGGATATGAAAGGAAATGAAAGTAAAGCCGTGGTAATTAAATCACTGAATTGACACTAAGATTTTAGCACAAGTCATCGCCTTCTGCTGATAGGAAAGACCAGTTAAGAAGCTCAAAGAGCACATTCACATGGAAGTTCTAGGATCTTAAATTCATGGAATAAAAATAATTAAATGAGGAAAACTGAAAGAAAAAAAAAAAAAAAGAACAGTTCCCAGGCTAGAAAACTGAGCATAAAAAAGGAAGTGAAGAAAAGGTAAAGAGAGAGCGAGCTCTGGGACATGGTGCTCTCTGCTGCAGTCAAACACGATTCAGTGAAATGCACACAATGCAACAGGTATTTGGATACAGAGGCGCTTCCCCAAAGCGTTCCCATTCTGCACAAGCCCTCACCTCAGCGTGCCTCTCTGCACAGCCAGCTCCAGCAGGATGGCCAGAGCCAAGTGCTGGTCCTGCAGGGGCATGCTTCTGGCCTTTTGGTGCCTGGCGTTCCGTGAACATCCCTGAAATGAAAACAGTGGATGCAGGAACACAGCGACCTCCAGAAAGACAGTATGCTTACAATCACACTAACATGTTTACTACATGCTCCCTCCCAAGGAAGGATATATTCTTAATATTTAGAACCAAGTTTCTGAGACTTGCTACTCAAATTTTTCAGAGATTTTTAAAGTATACAATTAACTTACAGAAATGTATTTTATTTAAAGTATTCATTCAGATACCGTATTACAGTAGATGACATACTCCAAGTGTGTGAAGCATAAAATATCTCATTATCCAAAACATGAGTAGAAGAATATCTAGCTACCTTTTCCAGTTTCAATGACGTGTAAGCCTATACCAGTATCAACCTTCTCCTACAGAATTAGAGAACCAATTTCTAAAACCACCTGAGGATCTGGAGGCAAAATGTCTATACTAATTTCTATCTCTGATCAAAGATTACCTGGTTGCTTACTCCCATACCCAGCTCTCCAGAATTGACTTGGCCCTATATACAGGTGCAGGAGTTTCATCTTTTTTCTCTTTGTCATCCAGATCTTCTTTCTTTGTTCCACTTGGTTTGACACTATCATCTGCAGAATTAAAATTTTTTTAATCTGTAACCGCTTTTCAGAATGCCATACCATTAGTCAGTCTCTGCAAATGTCCCTCCCTGAAAAGTTACAACACACATCATTAACTGAATGTTTGACAACTCAAAAATAAAATATATCAATCATACCTGTAACAGATCCAGTATAATTTTCATAAACAAACCAATATATCGGCCGGGAGTGGTGGCTTATGCCTGTAATCCCAGCACTCTAAGAGGCCAAGGCCGGTGGATCACGAGGTCAGAAGATGGAGACCATCTTGGCTGACACAGTGAAACCCCGTCTCTACTGAAAATACAAAAAATTGGCCAGGTATGATGGTGGACACCTATAGTTCCAGGTACTCGGGACGCTGAGGCAGGACAATGGCGTGAACCCGGGAGGCGGAGCTTGCGGTAAGCCGAGATGGCACCACTGCACTCTAGCCTGGGCAACAGAGCAAGACTCCATCTGAAAAAAAAAAAAGAAAAGAAAAGAAAAGAAAAGAAACCAATATATCAAATTATTTAAAGCATGTCTTCCAAAATGATATTTCATTAACTTCCTAGTAGATTTCACAACTGAGAAACTTAGTATTTGATATTTACCTACTTCAATTTCACACGAATTGCTTCCATCCATTGAGTCCCAATGCTTGCGTACCCATGGGAAAAGGGAGGGTGTAGAAAAGGAGTATGATTCAAAAATCTTTTAACCCTTTCCAAGGCCCTACTCCACTGCCAACTGGCAAGCACTGCTATGCAGGGGCGCTGTCACTGATAGCATAATTCAAGAGCACTGGGACACAAAGGAAAAGCTGGGAAAAATGACTTTAGGCCACTGACAATGTAACGTTTCAGTCAAAAACAACTGTCATAAAACTCCTGACATAGTAAGCGAAGAGAAGAGAGAACTAACCTTAACCTTGAAGTGTAAACACGGTCCATCACAGAAGGCTGTGACTAAACGTCTAAACAACATAATTAGAAAAATGTACCTCAATCGGTGAAAGACATGATATCCCATCCAGATTATAAATAATGAGTATCTAAAAATCCCTAAGGAAACAGTTCCTCTGTTTACAACACTTCTGACGCCAAATGTATGGACTTTTGCACCAAGCAATTCTCCAGTTCTTTGCGACACCCAGCTATGTGTCCCACAATGCAATTCAATTCTGAAACTAACTACCTAGAATTAGCACAGACCCCACAGGTTAATAACAGGAGAGAAAAGGTACAATGCTGGAAAAAAAATCTAAAGAACTAATAGCTGAAAACTTCCTAGGTTCAGCAAATGACAGAAACCTAGGCAGACTGAAGAATCTGTGCAAAGCCCAAACAAGATAAATCCAAAGGAAGCCATGATGAGGCACATCATAATCAACTGCTAAACACTAAGGACAAAACCTTTTGAAAAGTGCCACAGAAAGTAGATACAGAGGAATGTCTTGTGTGGCCTGAAATTAAGACTAAATATTATGTGCTGCCTTGACGTCAGTAAAATCAAGAAGGCCTCAAATAGCCTAACCACAAGGTCTCCTCCAAGCTCTGCTCCCACGGATAAGATCCCAGAGCCAAACAACCCTCCTTATCGCGGAGACCCGACCCCAGCCTGCTCATCCCTGCCGGTCCAGAGTTATTCCAACAAGCCAATCACATCTTCCCACGGAAGCAAGGTCATTTCACCCTCTTCTTACTACAAAATGTGCCTCCCACAGCCCCTCGTGGTTCACTCTGTTCCCAAGTGCAGCCCCCGTGTGACATGCGGTGTCCCCCACCCCCAGGGCTGTGAGCATGCGTGACTAATAAACTGCTATTTCATCTGTCCAGTGTTGGTGTCTTATGTTCAGCCATCCCATATCCCTAAGGCAGGAATCTTCTAGGATTATAAACAGAACTTTAATCAACCTCTCCTTGGTTATTTTACTGGTTCCATGATACAGCTTTTTCTGTGCAAAAGATCTGAACAGAAACTTCACAAAGGATACAAGAGTGGCAAAGAAGAACATGATATTCAGCATTGTTAGCCATTATGGAAATGCAAATTTAAACCACAATGAGATCCCACTAGACGTGTTAGAATGGCTCAACTAAAAAACACTGATAACACCAAGTGCTAACAAAGACACAGAGCAACAGAAACGTGACAGATTACCAGCAGGAATGCAAACTAAAACAGCCACTTTGGAAAACAGTTCAGCACATGACCCAATTTTCACACTACTAGGTCTTTATCCTAGGGAAATGGAAACTATATTCACACAAAATCTGTACAGAAATGCTCACAGCAGGATTACAATTGTGAAAGAAAAACGGAAACAACCACAAGGTCCTACAATAGCAGAATGGATAAACACAATGTGGTACATCCAAATGATGAAACACCATTCATCAATAAAAAGAACTATTAATACACAGAACAACAATAAATCTCAAACATATAACTAGGAGTAAATGAAGATGGTTTCAAAACGTTACTTAAAATATGGTTCCACTCACATGACATTCTCAAAAAGAATACCCTATACTGATGGAGAACAGATCAGTGGTTGCCAGGGTATGAGGCCAGGGGATATGTGATAAAAAGCAGCACCTTAAGGGAGCTTTTGGGGTGATGAAACTTCTCCATCCTGATGATGGCGGGGGTTAAATGAATCTATAGGGTCAAAATTTACTGAACTAGATACCACAATAAAATAAATTTCATGTAAGTTTTTTAATAAAAAAAAAGTTGGCTGGGTGCGGTGGCTCACACCTATAATCCCAGCATTTTGGGAGGCCGAGGCGAGCAGATCACAAGGTCAGGATTTCGAGACCAGCCTGGCCAACATGGTGAAACACCGTCTCTACTAAAAATGCAAAAATTAGCCAGGTGTGGTGGCATGCACCTGTAATCCCAGCTACTTGGGAGCCTGAGGCAGGAGAATTGCTTAAACCTGGAAGGCGGAGGTTGCAGTGAGCCAAGATCGCCACTGCACTCCAGCCTGGACCGCCAAGTAAAACGTCATCTCAAAAACAAAAAACAAACAAACAAACAAAAAAACAAAGAAAATATCTAGGTCCAGGTAGGACAGTTGGAATACAGTCCAGTGGAATCATGTCAGAGCAGGGAGCTGGGTCTGGAAGGCTGGAGCAGGGCGTGGCCCCACTCTAGGAAGGAACTAGGAAACGCATCCTGGGTGAAGCAAGAGCAGAGTCCCGTTCTGCAACAGATGAGCCTTTATCCTGATCTGAGAAACTATATGCAAATTTAATACATCTCACTTAGCCTCTTATTTTCCTTAACAACATGGAAAATGAGAGAACAAACAATTCAGAAGGTTAAGACATGAAATACATTTCATTCAGAAATCATACACAGAAAGGTAGGAAATAAATGGGGGAAAATAGCAGCTAATGAAAAGTGAAAATGGGCCAGGGCAGTGGCTCACACCTACAATCCCAGCACGCTGGGAGGCTGAGGCGGGCGGATCACTTGAGGTCAGGAGTTTCAGACAAGCTTGGCCAACATGGTGAAACTCCAACTCTACTAAAAATACAAAAATTGGCCCAGCATGGTGGCAGCCACCTGTAATCCCAGCAGCTTGAGAGGCTGAGGCAGGAGAATTGCTTGAACCCAGGAGGCAAAGGTTGCAGTGAGCCAAGATAATGCCACAGTACTCCAGCCTGGGCAACAGAGCAAGACCCTGTCTCAGAAAATAAAATAAAATATTCATAGTCTTAATAATGGAAAATAAAAACATTTACTGAATGCCAAAAAATCTCCCTAAAAACCCCAATCAGTTGGGATCTACATAAAGAACAATTATGCTCTGCTTTCTAACCACAATTTTTAAAAGAACAAAGGACAAAAATATCCATCAAACGTGGGCCGGGTGCGGAGGCTCACGCCTATAATCCTAACACTTTGGGAGGCCGTGGCAGGTGGATCATGAGGTCAGGAGTTCAAGACCAGCCTGGCCAATATGGCGAAACTCCGTCTCTACTAAAAATACAAAAATTAGCTGGGCGTGGTGGAGGGTGCATGTAATCCTAGCTACTCAGGAGGCTAAGGCAGAGAACTGCTTGAACCCGGGAGGCGGAGGTTGCAGTGAGCCAAGATCATGCCACTGCACTCCAGCCTGAGCAACACAGCAAGGCTCCCTCTTGAGAGGAAAAAGAAGCAAACAACAAATTCATCAAATGTAATAAATAAAACATATACTTTGGATTTTTCCATGTGCTTAGCTTTTCTTAGAGCATCTTTTAGAATTATTGTTTCACAAAAAAACACTTTGGGAAATGTTTTAATTTATTAACACATACTAGGGCTAGGAAGAGAGCTTAAAACTTTTTAAAATATACAGAATGAATTACAGATACGTGAAAGAAAAAAAAAAAAAAAAAGATTGCTGACTCCTGTCATGGAAGGCCCTATCATATGGACATTCTTAGCCTCAGCATCCGGAGGTCCAGAAAGGGACAATTTCGAGTCAGAGAGAATTCTATATATACCATTTATTTGGAACCTTCAGCCCTTAAGATTCCAACATCATGACCTCAGTTTCAACACAATTGTCCTTAGACCTTGTATTGCATACAAATACAAAACAAACACCTCGACTGAACTAACTCTTGTCTCTCCAAAAACACAAACACAAGACCTCATAAAATGAGTGCGTTTCTATTGGCCATAATTACTGCAACTTACTTCTCCAACTTTCCCCTGCACAGTTAACTAAACAGCTCAAAAACTATCAGTAACAAATAACAGTCACCATCATATGGTTAGGAGTGTGGCAGATTTCTTAACCAGTAATAAAAAAATAGGAAAAAAATTTTGCCTATTCATAGATCTCAAGTTTCGTGCACTTGCAAGAAACTAATTAAAAGGCAGCCGTGCACGATCTACAAAAACAGCCATAAAGACTGTTACATTTTAAGTTACAGGAAACAAACCTGCTCCTCTACTATAGCAAGAAACAACTGACTTCCCCTTACATACCCTAAAAAAAAAAAGACACGAGAAATTTAAACATGGAAGCAGAAATACACCAAGAAAGAGACATGTCAAACCCCACCTGTATATCTGTTTTCAACCATTTGGAGTCAAGGCGAGCCTGGGCAGCCAAACACAAATATTCAGAGGGCATCTTTTCTCCAGCTTCCTCCCAGTTCTCAGGCCTGCAAGTAAACATACATGTTGAAGACCTAACGCTTTTTAATATTTTACAAAGACATTCCCGAAAAGTTTAATGCAGAAAAAAAAGAACAGAAAGATGGGAGAGAAGAGCTCGGGGAAGGGAATGAAGAGGAAAGAGAGATAGAGGGAAGAGATGGAGGGAGAGGGAGGTGGGGAAGGGAAAGCCTCCTTCCTAGATAGGCAAGGTATGCCGGGTTTCTGCACCACGCTGGCGAGACCTTGAGAATGGACTGTCACAGGAGGCCAAATCACAATGTCATACCCCTGCCCTCAAATCCAAAAGGTACACACACACATGACAGGAAGCCCATCATTTTTTGTTTTGTTTTGTTTGAGATGGAGTCTCCCTCTGTCGCCCAGGCTGGAGTGCAGTGGCGGGATCTCAGTTCACTGCAAGCTCCGCCTCCCGGGTTCATGCCATTCTCCTGCCTCAGCCTCCCGAGTAGCCTGGAGTACCAGCGCCCGCCACCAGCCCGACTAATTTTTTTTTTTTGTATTTTCAGTAGAGACGGGGTTTCACCATGTTAGCCAGGATGATCTCGATCTCCTGACTTCATGATCCGCCCGCCTCGGCCTCCCAAAGTGCTGGGATTACAGGCTTGAGCCACCGCGCCCTGCCAGGAAGCCCATCGTTTGAACGACAAATGACAGCAGCGTGAATCTGCCGCTTTACCCAACAGCAGGGCGCCTGCATGAAACAAATTACTCAAAAGGCTCACCTGCAGAAAAACCCACAGCCACCACCACTTAGAGATAGAGAGAGGCAGGGGGCTGCGCCGCGGGCGGTCCGCGCAGCAACCCCCCCCCGCCCCCCCACCCCTTGTGCCGCCCGCCAACCCCGCACCGCCTCCGACGCCGGACGCCCCGGTGCCCCAGGCCAGGACCTGAGGCGCAGGGCCCGGCCTCCTCGCCCCGCAGGCGTGCGCACACAGCCTCCCAGCAGCCGCTGGCTCAGCCGGCGCCCGCGATCCCGACGCCTCTCGCTACCCGAGGGGCGTGCCCGCGCGGGACTGCCGCCCCCTCCACCGACCCGCGCTTACCGCCAATCGCAAGGCGGCTCCGCGGGCGCAGCCAATGGGGAAGAGGAGCCCTTCCCTGCTCCTCCTGACTCTCCCGCTTCCTGCAATCCCGTTTATCTTCCTACTTGGAGCTCACCCACTGCAGCCAGGGCCAACCGCCGGCGCCGGAAGGCGGGATTTCCGCGGCACGCACGCACGCCCGCACTCCCACGGGAGTCAGTTTCTCACCAGCTGAATTATTTGAATTTAGCACCACTAAAAGTGGAGCAATCAGGTACGGAGTGCCTCCAGAGCTGATGTAGCAGAAATCACTGACACCATCTTTTTTTTTTTTTTTTTTTTTTGAGACAGTCTCATTGCGTCGCGGAGGCTGGACTGCAGTGGCATGATATCAGCTCACTGCAACCTCCACCTCCCGGGTTTAGGTGCCTCAGCTTTCCGAGTAGCTGGGATTACAGGCATCTGCCACCCACCCGGCTAATTTTTGTATTTTCAGTAGGAACGGAGTTTCATCACAAACTGCTGACCTCTGGTGATCCGCCCGCCTCAGCCTACCAAAGTTCTGGGATTACAGGTGTGAGCCGCCGTGCCCGGCCTATTTCAGATATTTTAAATATTAAAAAGTAGAACCTGGCCAGGTGTGGCTCACACCTGTAGTCCCAGCACTTTGGGAGGCTGAAGTGGGAGGATCGTTTGAGCCTAGGAGTTCAAGACCAGCCTGGACAACATAACAATACACTGTCTGTTCAAAAAATAAATTTAGCCAGGTGAGGTGGCACGTGCCTGTGGTCCCAGCTACTCGGGAAGCTGAGGCAGGAGAATTGCTTGAACCCACGAGGTGGAGGTTGCAGTGAACCAAGATCGTGCTACTGCACTCCAGCCTGGGAGACAGAGCCAGACTCCGTCTCAAAATAATAATAATAATAATAAGCTTGGGCGGTGGAGGGCTCCCCCAGGCATTGGCCACCTGTGGAGTGACCTGGCTTTTGGCTCCCTGGCAGCCAAGTTCTGGGTCGGGCATCTTCGTTGGTGACTGCCCCTTCAGCTCTCCTGGTGTGGCTGTGAGTGGTATGGCACTGCTGTGACCCATCATCTTGTCTTAAAGAGGCATCCTGACATCTCCACACTTGCACACTGAAGAACGCAACATCATGATTAACTTTTTAAAGGAATATTACAAAAATCACAGCATCCGAAAATTTTTTGGTCATTGCAATGATCTTGATCAGGCAATGAGAAAATAAATCCTTGAAGAATGAGTACATGGAAAAGAGGACCAAGAGCAGAGACTATGGCAATTTGATGCAAGAGACTTTTTTTTTTTTTTTTTGAGACGGAGTCTTGCTCTGTCACCAGAGCAAGTGCAGTGGCTCAATCTTGGCTTATTGCAACCTCCGCCTCCTGGGTTCAAGCAATTCTTCTGCCTCAGCCTCCCACATAGCTGGGACTACAGGTGTGTGCCACCACACCCAGCTAATTTTTGTATTTTTAGTAGAGACAGGATTTCACCGTGTTGGCTATGGCCAGGATGGTCTCGATCTCCTGACCTTGTGATCTGCCCACCTCAGCCTCCCAAAGTGCTGAGATTACAGGTGTGAGCCACCGTGTCCAGCCGCAAAAGAGACTTTTTAATTCTCCAGAGGAATCTGAAAAATAAATTGTATTTTCACTGGATGCCTTGGCTGAGAGAAGACTGAAAGACTATGGGTTGGCCCGGGCACGGTAGCTCATGTCTGTAATCCCAGCACTCTGGGAGGCCGAGGCGGGTGGATCACCTGAGGTCAGGAGTTCGAGACCAGCCTGACCAATATGGTGAAACGCTGTCTTTACCAAAAATACAAAAATTAGCCAGGCATGGTGGCGTGGGCCTGTAATCCCAGCTACTCGGGAGGCTGAAGCAGGACAATCTCTTGAACCCGGGAGGCAGAGGTTGCAGTAAGCCAAGATGGCGCCACTACACTCCAGCCTGGGCCACAGAGCGAGACTCTGTCTCAAAAAAAAAAAAAAAAAAAAAAAAAAAGACTGGGTTGATACCTGAGAGAATCCTGTCTTATTTGCTCTCCAGAATCCTTGTAATGAAAAGTGACCCATGAGAAATTGAACCATGGAGAAATATGAACATTTCTGGATTCTGAATATTTGTTGGGCAGTCTTTAGTATCATTTTTCCTCCACCAACAAACCTGACTTCACCCTGTTTCTTCTCTTTGCCTACTACCAGTTATCTCAGTAACTTATCTCCCTGAATAAAGGAATATGATAAGTTAAAATAAAATAATTTATTTTAAAAACTTGTTTAAATAGGCCGGGCACGGTGGCTCACACCTATAATCCCAGCACTTTGGGAGGCTGAGGTGGACGAATCATGAGGTCAGGCGATCGAGACCATCCTGGCTAATATGGTGAAACCCTCTCCACTAAACATACAAAATTAACCGGGCCTGGTGGCGGGTGCCTGTAATCGCAGCTACTTAGGAAGCTGAGGCAGGGGAATCACTTGAACCCGGTAGGGGGAGGTTGCAGTGAACCAAGATCGGGCCACTGCACCACTGCCCTCAAGCCTGGGCGACAGAGCGAGACTCCATCACACACACACACACACACACACACACACATACACACACACACACACACACTGTTTATAAATAAATTAATAATTTATTTTTAAAAATTAATAGACTGAATCTGTAGGCTTTGTAATATCTAGTTTATCTACTCCAATACCTCTTGGAGGCATACTTCCTTTACTTGATTTCTGAATTGGGGATCCTATCACTGCAAACAAACAATAGAAAATAAAGAAATAAAGGCCAGGTGTGGTGGCTCACACCGGCAATCCTAGCAATTTGGGAGGCCAACGCTGGCAGATCACCAGAGGTCAGGGGATTGAGACCAGCTGGGCCAACATGGTGAAACCCCATCTCTACTAAAAATACAAAAATTAGCCAGGCATGGTGGCACATGCCTCTACTCCCAGCTACTCCGGAGGCTGAGGCAGAAGAATCGCTTGAACCCAGGAGGCAGACATTACAGTGAGCTGAGATTGTGCCACTGCATTCCAGCCTGGGTGACAGAGTGAGATGAGAGAAAGACAGACAGACAGAGACGGGGTTTCACCGTGTTAGCCAGGATGGTGTCGATCTCCTGACCTCATGATCCGCCTGCCTCGGCCTCCCAAAGTCCTGGGATTACAGGTGTGAGCCACCGCGCTCAGCCAGGTATGTGATCTTGAGCAAGTTTCTAAGCCTCTTTGTGCCCCAATGTCCATTTCTTACAATAGGGATAATAATAGCAACCTTTAAGTGAGTCATTACGCATAGAGTTTAATTAGAAGAGCTCTTGACATACAGCAAATACTAAAAACATTCAGTAGCATCCACAGTAGAAAACGCAGGGCCGGGCGCGGTGGCACACGCCTGTAATCCTAGCACTTTGGGAGGCCGAGACGGGCGGATCATGAGGTCAGGAGATCGAGACCATCCTGGCTAACGCGGCGAAACCCCGTCCCTACTAAAAATCCAAAAAAAAAAAAAAAAAAAAAAAAAAAAAAATTAGCCGGGCGTGGTGGACGGTGCCTGTAGTCCCAGCTACTCGGGAGGCTGAAGCAGGAGAATGGCTTGAACCCGGGAAGCGGAGCTTACAGTGAGCGGAGATAGCGCCACTGCACTCCAGCCTGGGTGACAGAGCGAGACTTCGTCTCAAAAAAAAAAAAGAAAGAAAGAAAACGCAGAGTACATAGCACATGGTAGATACTGACACTGCGCTGAGTCTCTTACAAACATCGTCTCATTTTACTCTCACAAAACCCCAGGAGTTTGGTATCTTTATTCTAATTTTAAAGACGAGAAACTGAGGCTTGAAAATATTAGGGATATGTCCAAGGTCACGGCGGAGCTTGCAATGAGCCGAGATCACGCCACTGCACTCCAGCCTGGGCAACAAACAGAAGAAGACTCCGTCTCAAAATAAATAAAAATAAATAAATAAATAAATAATTAAAAAAGATGTATTTGGATGGTTAATGCATTTTTAATGTATAATCATCTACTGTAGTTAAAAGATGATCAAATGTGCTGATTCACTCAGTGTGTTTCAAATGCAGGACTTAAGGAACAATATGCCATAAGCCACCAACTTATTGTTTTCTTTTAAATTATATATCTAACACGCATACATACACACACACACACACACATATATATACAAAATGTTAATAATGATGAAAATTTTGAGCATCATGAAGAATAGTATATATGTAATATATGTTTTTTCACAAGAGTTTTCCAACTTCTGTACTTTTTTTTTAGTAGAATACATTAGATACTACAAAAGAAATGAAAACAAAATGATGTGGAATAGCATGTAAACAATAGAAGGAAGTTTTTGAAGACTGTTACAACACAGCTTCCCTAGCTAATAATACCTGAGAAAACCTGCACATGTGGCATATATGTGTCGCTACCTTTTAGCATATATAATGGGTTTATTAATATTTCTTCATAGCATTGATGGGATGAATATATAAAATAGTATCTATAAATACCTAGACCTTTGCTGGGTGTATAGTAAATATTGTGTTAAAATAGAACTCTTCCATCTTTCTGCAGAAATACTCTATGCAGTGATTACTTCTGGCTGTGATACATAAAAACAGGAAAATCTCAATAGAGAAAAAATACGTATTGATGATACATAATCTGGATTTTTCCAAAGAACAAAAACTATGAATTGGGTTGCAAGGATTTCATGTTAAGACAACAGTAAGAATAAAGACATGGAGTAGAAGATACACACGTTGAGTAGGTTTAACAGGCCTGAGCAAAAGATGCATATAATGAAACGTCACAAGAACAGACTAGAAATTCCTCTAAGCCTGTTGCGAGAGCCAAAGAAAATACATCTGTATTTGACTGTTGATAATGAGGAATTTCTGAAAGGTTGACCTATAGAAGTTCTGAAAAAATGCTTCTAAACAAACCAGATTCCTTTGTCAAACAGATAAGGGAAATTATGGATATGTAATGCCACTTTAGAAATTTCAAATGCACATTAACAAAGCAACAGCAAAAAGCAAACCCCATTTAACATTGTTTAACCTAGATTTTATGAACTTATTTACCAAGGAAACTCTCCCATCTGTATTTCCCTACTTGTAATACTTATTAAGAATCACTATTTTGGTGTCGTTGGAATTTACTTAGAGAAATGCGGTCTAACCTCTGCTTTAAGAAGACAACTCTGGCAGAACTATCAATTGGAAAAAGAGAGTTTAGATGCTAGGAGGCCATTATAATAGCTCACTTGAGAGCTAATCTGTGCATGACTCTGATGGGAGAAAATAAAACTGAGAAAAAGGCATGCATTGGAGGCAACAATCCTTGGAATGTGATTGACTGTAGAGAATAATGAATGTGGAAGACCCAGAACAGACTTTAAAATGTTAAGCCCAAATGACTGTCTGACAGGTGGTATCTGTAACAAAAATTGGAAACTCTGAAGGAAGAACAAGATTCTGAGGAAACGACTAATTTTTTAATGTGTTGAGCTTGAGGGCCTGCTTTGGAACTAACAGGCAGCTGAAGATTTCATTTCATGTCAAAGAAACTTAATTTAAAATCCATCAAGTACTAAACTCAGAGCTAAATGTGAAGGACTGAAATACCAACTTGCCCACCATGTTAGGTTTATGAGAGCTCAATGCAGAAATGCCTCTGAAGTGGGAAAATCTATAATTTCTCCGAAGAAGCACTGTCTGTGCTCTGGAGGTCAGAAAATTTCTAGACTCATGTCTTCATTAGGGTAGATCGAGAAGCCTTTTAGAAATTAAATTTTGGACATGCCCATGTGTCCTCTGAGCCTGTCCTTTCTGTCAGAAGTCACGCAGAGACCCAAATGTCAAAAAGGGACACACTCTTTTGTTGATGCACAAGATTGTGGCATTCCAATCTCTTTCTGAAAATACATTATTGGATTCTTTGCAGCCAAATTCTTAAGAAAAGTTTGGTATTGGAGACTAATATTCCATGAAGAATTACCTGAAGCATGAGGAAATCATCCCTTTAGATCAGTGGATTTTTTGCTTTAATTTTTAAATTGACACATCATTGTACATATTTATAGGGTATAGGGTGATATTTTGATTAGATCAGTGTTTTATATAGCATGTTATGTAAAGCTTCTGAGAAGAGTCAGGGAGCATCTTAGAAAGCAAAATGGAGTCTGTAAACAGACATGTAATGAATACTAAGACATGTAATGAATCTTCATGCCCTCCCAGATATTTCAGAGACATCCAGTTATGTTGGGATCACGTGGAAAGATCTAAGAGACTCTGAGGTGAAGTGCCATGAATCACTCTGGGGCTGAGGCAGTAAAAAGCCCCTGCCTCCTTCCCAGGTTCTCTCCTTTTCCACTTCCAGTACTTTGAAGGTTACGTGCAATGTGTGTCATAGGTTAATGATAGAGGAGTTTATTCTGACTGACATTGAACTTTATGGGAGCAACCCACAAACTTTGGTGTGGTTGAGCCACTGAGAATTCAAGCTTAGTATCTTCTTGTTGCTGTTGCTGTTTACCAACACTGTGGTATTTCTACAGGGCTCAAGCGGGCAGAGAAATTCCATGTGAACAAGAATGTCTCATGTTGGGCTTCTGTATAAATTGTGCTGTTGAAAAATGTTAAGCAGATAAAAATTTTAGAAATTCATTGCTCCACACTGTATCGATACTATTTTTGTCTCAGTCGAAGCCATCCTAAAGTTATATATACTTAGATCATATAATCTTCAATAGAATTGTTTTTACCAAGTTGCTTTTTGATGTTATAGATGAGCCTTAAGTAATTCACAACTGAATTCATACACAAATGTTATTGAGTCTATTTCCCACCATGTTAGAGAGGTTTATGAGAGCTCAATGCAGAAATGCCTCTGAAGTGGGAAAATCTATAGTTTCTCCAAAGAAACTATTATAGTTGTAACAGAAAGAATGATGGAAAATAATAAGATAGAAAATCGTATGAAGGAGTACAGAAGATGGGGCACTATTGAAGGGATTATTTAACAGCAATAAGGATGAAAATGTGTCATTGAAATTCTTTAGGTTCCACATAGAAATTGCACCAGTTTATCCCGGCAGACATATTGTTTAGAAGTTTTTAAGAAAAGAAATTTTTGAATCATGGTTTTACACTGTTTTAGGTCATGGGAACTAGTAAACATGTTTCACTCTGCAGACTATTAGTCAACATTTAGATCATGCTTTTCAATAAAGAATGTCAAATTGTGAGAGGAGAATCGATAGATCTAATTGTTACAGTCACTCAACTGACATGTTGACGGGCCTGGAAAATTTCTCACATGAATAATGGGTGAAGAGTCAAAGAATGATTCTTTTGGGGAAAAGAAGACCTGCCAGGGTTTTGGAAAGGGTATGTGTATGCATTTAGTATTGTTTAGTGTGGTAGCTCTATGGTCCTGACTGTCACATATTTATTGGGCTGCCATGTGTTAGGTGGAAACACAAAGCTGTCATTTTTTTGTAGGACAGAAAAGGCTGAATACTGACAATTTCATATGGTTCCACCTAATAGAATAGGAAACACAGGTATCTCTGAATTGTTTATCTAAGGTAGAATTTGGGGAAGAACTTAGAACTTATAAAAATTAAATTTTAGACTAAAATATATAGATATATCTAGAGTTGTTCAAAAATGAAAATAGAGCTGAAATATCAAGTGCTATAATGGAGTTCACATAAGAATTCCATGCTTTATATTTGAGGTTGGATATGTGCTTTTTCTTTATCCCTTTCATTTATATGGATCTAATCTTCTATAATGTTTAAAACATTTTGATTGAGATGTTCTTTGGCATTCTTTTTTTCTCTTGATTTAAAGATCTGCTTTACAACCAAACAGTAAGATTAAACAAAACAAAACAATGCCCATGGCTTCATGATCACTCTACCCATTTAGAAAGGCCTTGTGCATGGCCTATTATGGTCATCTTGAAATTCTTTGTAATTTTTTATCAAAGGGTTCTACATTTTCACTTTTTACTGGGCCCTGAAAATTATGCACCCAGTCCTCAATCCGTGGTCTTCTTAAATTTGCATGCAGATTAGAATTATAAAGGTACATTAATTCTAGGCCGTCAAAGCCTAGCTTATAACTTTCAAATTACATTTGGGAATTGTTCTTATATAACAGCATTTATTGCTCCAAAGATCATTATGTAATAACTACTAAATAATCTATATGATTGTACATTTGGGAAACCATGAAAACTTTCTAAAAGAGCTCTGCTGTTTTATGTAACAATCATGAAATATTTCCAAATGCATAAATATAAATAATTACAATAGAAAATCTGAGAGACAAAAAAAGCTATGATAGTATACCAATGCAATTTCTTGAAAACAGATACACATGAAACAAAGAATAAAGGAACAGCAGGAAAATGTGCCACTATTGTGGTTACAGCTTTGAGGCAACACATTAAAATGCCAACCAGACACAGGTGGCAACAGATGTATCTACCACCAAAAAAAAAAGTTAAATCAAGTGAAAAATTTCAAATGAAGTAACTGTTCAATGAAAAGGAAAAAGAATAAAAACCACATCTGCTTACATGGCAATGAAACATGAAAGATTCTGCTAAACATTTATGTTGAAAATTAAGATGGAGGTAATTATGCACACTCATCCAAAAATAGAAAACAAGGAATTAGTGGACCAATGCCAATGTTAATTTTGAAAACCTCAAGAAGAAGAAAATTAAGATATGGTTGATAGGTTCTCTACAATATAGCAAGAAAACTCTGCCCAAATTCTAAAGGATACAAAGTCTACTCAATTTAAAAACAAATGGCACGTTTCTGTTTCTTAAAAGACATACGCATAATCTGTGAGTGCATTTTCTACTTTAGAGACCATTTGAATTAAAATCCTTAAGTTCTTATGAATGTTTTCAAAATATGTACAGTAAATGAATAAAGCCCACAGTTATTTAAGGATAACATTTAAAATTATTTACTAAATCTTTAATATTAAAATAATAGTACATGCCATCCAGTCATAATCAAAAAAGCCAAGGTGATTATGGAGTATTGAGGCTGAAAAGAGAAAGATCTAAACCAACCTATTCTGGACTTCACTGTCAAGGAAAAAAATTGAGAGGAAAATTTTCAAAAAATACTTATACTTGTGAGATTGGTGATGAGAAACAATCTGTGAAATATTGCCATTTCTCTGGAGTAAAAATTTTAAATGATTGGTTATCATGATGTCCCTTTCTCTTCACACTCAACATCTTTCTGATTTGCTCCTCAGATCTCAGGCATGCTGAGGCTATAATGTCTTTCCGTCTACCTTAGGTTTACTATTTTAAAATTGATTTTTGATGTTGTTGTGAACATGAATTTTGTATTAATACAGGAGGATGGGGTGTGTATTTCTGAAAGTCCAGAGTTGTAGGGGCAAAGAAGAGATTTCTGGAGTTCCCCTGCGTGCCTGCTTACAGAGGTTTCCTTCCTGATATTGTCAACTTCTACAATTCTTGCTCTGGCTCCATTTTAAAGCCCTGAGCAGTTAAGTGTCTTTTCCCGACCCTCATTTATACTACCATGAGGCTCCTTTGTAACATGAAATGTACAATGTGACCAATTGTTGGCTGCCCAAACAAACATACGTTAGGACTTTTCACTCTGGCCTCCTATACTGAAACATCATTCACATTTAGTAAAGGAAGGGGCACTCTGTTAAACTCACCACATTCTTTACTTTATGGAGTCAGATAGAGATATTCCACTAAGTCCTTTTGCTTGATCCCATAGAGACCATCCTAGGAAAACTGAATTAATATGAGAGCAGGTAGAGTGAATATTCATTAAAGTCATTTACAACAACATCCAATAGTGTCTCCAAGTGGAACAGATATTTAGAGACCATTTGGCAGGAGATAGGATGGGGAAAGAGAGTGGCTGATGCATGCTGAGAAGTAGGAGGAACAATCCAGCTTTTAAAATATTGTTCTTGTTAAGAGTCTGTTTATCAGGTTAAACACAGTCAAGTGGTCAGTTGGGTCTAATAATTCAGTAACTGAGAACAGATGGAGAATACATGGATATGTGTCTGTGTGTACACTCACATGCAAAACCAGTTGCCCTGACTTTATCTTACTTACATCAATCTATTTACTGATTTTGATAGGAAGAGTATGTATTTTAGATACCTCAAGAGTATCTCCTGAAATACTTCCATATTCTTGCCTTTTGAAGAATCTTTTTAAAGGAAGAAAAATAATTATTAGCAAAGAATTCACATTCCCAATGGCTCCATTTTAATCTCCTTAATCAGGTGTTAAAATTCATGGCTTGGGAAAAGTGGGATGTTTACAAGGCCTATCTGTACCATTTATCTATACCATTAGTTTTAATAGCCTGTTCACTTGAACAATTTCTAAGTATGTGGTAAAAGAAACTAAACTAAAATAATAATGCATTATATTTGAAAACATCAGTATCCTGTACACAAAACTTCCATAAGTAGTTCTTCCTAGATTGAAACTAGAACTAATCCATTTCCAAAATCATCTATATTTTTCTGAAGACAAAAAAAATGTTGCTACAGATAATTGTCATAGGCTGCAAATATTCTGATTCATCCAGTATTTCTCTCTTGTTGCATGTTGTATAGATAAATATAATGAATCAATATTAGGATAGCATATATTTTGTTAAATGTTAATGCAGAATTCTAAATTTTCTAGCATTCACAGAAAAGCAAGCTACTGATAGTAAGTAGTATTTAAAGAGAAATCTTATCTACTACAATGAATTGAGAAATCCAGGATATTAAGACCACAAAAATGATTGTTTAGATGATTTAATTATAGCACAACAGGCTTTTCTGCTGATAATGTTATAATTATGTTTTAATAACCCAATCTCAACAAACATAGCTAGAGTACAAATGATGAGCACAAAAATCCATCTCATCTGTAGCTCAGACTAGTATTTCAAATGTAATTTCTCTATTAGTAATTTAGTCTGATTTTTATAATTCATTAGAATAAATCAATAACTGACTTAGAAATCACTTCTGTGATTTTTTTTCCACAGAAACATTAACAATACCACAAGCATTAAAATGTTGAGAAATATTTGTATATGATGATGTCAGTGGATGTTCCTTTCCTCAGCTAATAAATTCTAGTATAAAGTTTTCAGATCTGTACACAAAAATGGATCATAAAAATATAATCATGGTAGAAACTAGCAATTTTATGAATGTGGAGAAAGAGTTCAAATAGTACTTTTGTACTGTACTGTGTCCATGCAAAGCTTCATTCAATCAAACAAAAACAATACTGAATTTATTATGTTAAAATATTTAAGGACACTCTGGTAGATGAGATCATTTTCCTGCATTTGTTCACACTCTCTCCTATCTCCATCTCTAAGGGACAGATATAATTCCCCACTCCTTGACTTTGATCCTTGCTGTGTGATTTTGCTTAAGCCAAAGGGGTATCTTAGAGGATTTCAGGCAACAGAAGCCTGGCATGTTTTTGCACAGGCAGGTTGCACTCCTGACTTTTGCCATAACAATAACATGCTTCAAGTACCCGGGAGGGCTGAGGAGAATCACAAATACGTAGAACAGATCTGGACACCAGCTGCAGCTTCAAGCCAATGCTAGCCAAGCCCAGCCTAGATCAGCTGAACTGCGTCTGACCAGAGGTGCATGAACAAGGAAGGCAACGCGGTGGACCTGGGCCAGATGAGCAGCTTCTACATTGGCCTGTGTTCCCGCCTCCACTGCAACATTTTCTCCTACCACTACTCTGGCTACGGTGCCAGCTCGGGCAGGCCCTCCGAGACGAACCTCTACGCCGACATCAACGCCGCCTGGCAGGCCCTGCGCACCAGGTGAGGGCGACCCCGGGCGCAGCTCAGCCTGGGCACACCCGAGAGGGGACCAGGCCGGGGGCCAGGGGCCGGGGGGAGGGGCGGGCTTCCCTGGGAGGAAGGTGGGCGGCCCTGCAGGAGAGGAGCCACAGTGGACGCATGCTGCCAGAGAGCCGGACAGGTGAGCTCAGGCATGCGGGTGCTGCCTCCACATGGCTGAGGTGTGGCCAGGAGGTCCCCCCACACCCTGGCCTGTGGAGCCAGGCTCCCTGGGATCCCCTGGCCTGAGGACAGGAAGGGGCTGAGCTTGTCACAGGGGCGTGGACACCACCTGGCGGGAGGGGGTGGGTGGTGTCAGGGGGTCTGTGCATGTGTGGCTGGGAGCCCACGGGCTGAGGCCGCACTTGGGGCCAGGTGAGGCGAGGCTGCTGCATCGAGGTCCCAAGGCCTGGCCCATGAGGCCCCGTGGCTGTGGAGCTCAGCCATCCCGGGGCAGGGCCTGCAGGGTCAGGTGCAGACCCCCAGCACACACCTGAGGTCTCGGCCAGCTTCGATTCCAGATCCAGCCCTCCTAATCATCCAGGTCCCCAGCCCTGCGCTTGCCTGGGCCCTTCACTGGTGTTTGAGCACCACCCGGGCCAGTGCTGCTCTGGACTAGAAGACCCGCGTGGGCCTCTGGGGGCCTTTCCTGCTCGCCACCCGCTGGGGCTGTCTCGTCCTGGCCCTGCCCTGCCCAGCCCAGTGGTCTGACCCGCTCCTGCAGGGGCCAGGCGCAGCTCTGAGAAGTCAGAGGCCCTGGGAGGTGGGGTCCTCGTTGCCTTGGAGATATCCCAGGCAGTCCCTGCTGTGGGCGTGGGAGCTGGGTCCCCTGGCACCACCCTGGCTCTGGGGGCCTCCCGGCAGTGTGGGGCGCCGAAACCAAGCACCACTTCATGCAGCTTCCTGGGCCCCCTCCTGTCTCTACTGCCCGGGGCACTGGCAGAGTCACACCCCCCATGGCCAGCTCTGAGCTCTGTCTACTCCGCCGTCTGTCCTGCTGTCGCTTTGTCCTGCAGGATCCTCGGCCCAGAGCCGTGAGGGGGAGGCCAGATAGCGCTCAGGGCCTCTATGGAGGATGTGTCTTGTTTGATTGTCTGAGTGGTGACATCTAGGTGGCAGCTGGGGGCTCCTGCCTGGAGCAGGTGACAGGGCTGGGCTGGCTCAGCACACTACTGGCCTTGGCTGCCAGGGAGCAGGCCAGGGAGGCTGAGGCAGAGCTGCAGCCACAGGCACAAGCCAGGCAGCATCCTTTGGGGCATGGGTGAGCAGTGAGCTGTGGAGTGCTGCCAGGAGGCTGGGATTCCAGGCCAGGGAGGGAGACAGCCCTGCTGGTGGAGTCCGAATGCCAGCCAGACGGGACGCACACCTGCCCATGCTCCTGTCTCGCAGGAGGGCATCTGCCTGGCATCAGAGCCTGGAGCTTGTGGGAGGAGAGTTCTGGGGTCTCGGCATCGACAGGGTGGCAGGTGGGTCCCGCGTGGTTGGGACTGGGCATGAGGAGGCCTTGGGACTGGTGCTGGATCAGCTGGGCCAGGGGCCGCACACCAGTGACCTGGGAGTGGGGGTGGCCCTGGGTGGGAGCTGGTGGTGCTGAGGTGGCGGAGGACTTGTCCACTCCCAAGGGAAGGCACTGGTGGGAGGAGATGCTGCCCCCGCAGCCACCACCCTCGATGTTGACCTGGGTTGGGCTGGCAGCTCATTGGGCATGGGACTCTGAGAGTCCAAAATTGGGTGGAGACATCTGGGGACACAGCTGCCTGAATTCCTCATGGCCAAGGGGGTAGGCAAGGGCTGCAGGGAGGAAGAGTGTCCCGGCCAGTGCACCAGGAAGAGCTTTCTAACCTGGGCAGGAAGGCGTGAAGCATTCAGGATGTGGGAGGCCACACAGTTCCCAGTGTGCGCCTAGGGGTGACCAAGAGGAGGAGAGGTGCCAGGGCTTCCCCTACCCTAGCCCGAGGGGGACTCCCTAGCCAGGATCCAGCAGATCCTGGCTAGGAAACGCCAGTGAACCATAGTGGCAGGGAACAGGACCAGGCCGCCGGCTTCGCCCACCGCTGCGGTGTTGGGGGGCTTGGGGGTGGCCCTTGAGACTGGTGTGGAGCCTGGGCCTGACCAACTGACTTGGCTGAGCGGGGAGACTGGAGAGTCGCATCCGGAGCTGGGCCCGGGGACGCCCGCTGGCAGGAGGGGTGCGCGCGCGTTGGAGGCCTAGGCTGACCCTGCTCAGGTGCCGCCAGGTACCGCATCAGCCCGGACGGCATCATCCTGTACCGGCAGAGCATCGGCACGGTGCCCACCGTGGACCTGGCCTCGCGCTACGAGTCCGCCACGGTGGTGCTGCACTCGCCGCTCACCTTGGACCTGAGCGTCGCCTTCCGGACACCAAGACCTACTGCTTCGACGCCTTCCCCAAGTGAGCAGGCTGGGGCGGGGACGGGGGCGGGGGCGGAGCGGGGCGGGGCCCGGGCCGGGCGAGGTCTCACCCGCCCCACGCCCCTCCCGCAGAATCCAGAAGGTGTCCAAGATCACGCCGCCCGTGCTCATCTTCCAGGACACGAAATACGAGGTGATGGACTTCTCGCACGGGCTGGCGCTCTACCAGCGCTGCCCCAACGCCGTGGAGCCGCTGTGGGTGGAGGGCGCCGGGCACAAAGACATCCAGCTCTACAGCCAGTACCTGGAGCGCCTGCGCCGCTTCATCTCCCAGGAGCTGCGCAGCCAGAGCGCCTAGCGGCCGCCAGGGCCCCAACCGGCCGGACCTCAGCAATAAGGCGGCCCCCGGACCTCACCCCGCGCCGGCCCCCCCAGGGACTGCATGTGGACCCCCGGGCGGCCCGGGGGACCCCGCCCCAACCCAGGGGCCGTGGACGATGTAAAGGCAACAGAGCTACGCACTCCTTTCCTTTTGGAAGCAAGAAGAAAAATCGTGAAAACGGAAATTAAAGATTTAATTTTTTTTTTAAAAAAACACAATGTTTATTAATATACTCCAAAGTTTTTCTTTTTTTTTTTTTGAGACGGAGTCTCACTCTGTCTCCCAGGCCGGAGTGCAGTGGCGCGATCTCAGCTTACTGCAACCTCCGCCTGCCAGGTTCAAGCGATTCTCCTGCCTCAGCCTCCCGAGTAGCTGGGACTACAGGCGCGTGCCAGCATGCCCAGCTAATTTTTTGTATTTTTAGTAGTTACGGGGTCTCACCGTGTTAGCCAGGATGGTCTCAATCTCCCAACCTCGTGATCCGCCCGCCTCGGCCTCCCAAAGTGCTGGGATTACAGGCGTGAGCCACCATGCCCGGGCGTTTTGCATAGATTTTTTAATGCAGAATCATGGTGGCAATGGCTAATGGCTACCAAGGTGCCATCGTTCAACAATCCTGTTATTCAGTCATCACATCTACTATGTGTAAGCCATAATATCTTCTAAAATGAATTATAACTATTTTCTAATTGAAATAAATGGTATCACAATATTTCACTAAGTAATCTCTGCTAGTTTAGTCTCTATTTCATCTCCACGGAATGCCTTCTGAGTTCCTATAATTGTGACTAATTCTCTGAGACGACATCAGAAATATCAGTATAAACTATGAAACCTACAAAGGGGATTCCTCTTTTTCCTTTTTATTATAGAGATGCTTTTCTGTTTGTTTTCTGCACGCAAGCATGGTCTTAATCAATTTTGTATGCCCGTACCTAGGAGAGCCCCTGATTCATAATAAGACCTCAATAAGATTTGTTGAATAAAGTGAAAATATTACTTTTAGCTTTCCCTCACCATTTTCTTCAAAACAGACTAGTTCATAACTGAAATAGGCATTGTTTCTAGAAAACAGTCACTCCAACTGATCCCCTCATTTAATCATTTTTGTACTCCCTGAATCTATCATAATACCTGGCACATAGTGGGTAAGTAATCAATATTTGTTCACTGAACTAATGGAAGCATGAGTGAATGAAACAATACAGGCATTTTAAAAGTATAATTCAAGATTGAAAGCATATTACTTGTCATTAGAGTGATTTTAAACAGCTAAGTATATGATAATTAGGAAGATTTACTTTCCTGCTTCATTTAGATTTTAAATATAGTGATCGAGGTAATTATGATTTTCATTCGTTTATTCAATAAATGAATGTTTAATATTTTTTATCTCACATGATAGATTGATACTGGTCAAAGACATTACAGTGATATTATACATAAAGATTTGTTTTAAATTTACAATATCTTGAAATTTTTCTCTTGTTAATCTACAAAGTATATTTATAGGTTAGGAAATATACTTTTTAAAATGTCAGATAATGATATTTTTATTTTCTATTTTATATTATTATTATTTTTGATACAAGGTCTCACTGTGTCACCCACACTGGAATGCAGTGGCATAATCATGGCTCACCACAACCTTAACCTCCCAGGCCCAGGTGATCCTCCTACCTCAGCCTCCTGAGTTGCTAGGACTACAGGTGCCTGCCACCTTGCCCAGCTAACTTTTTACTTTTTTTTTTTTTTTTTTTGGTAGAGATGAGTTTTCACCATGTTGCCCAGGCTGGTCTTGAACTCCTGCGCTCAAGCAAAACGGCAGCCTTGGCCACCCAAAGTGTTAGGATTACAGGCATGAGCCACCACTGTGGGGCAGATAATGATAGTTTTTCAAGAATCGGTAAAACATTGTCCTTCAATGAATTAGTGCAGAAGCATGAAAAACATCTATTATGAGCAAATCTGTGAAACAGATGTTGAAATTAGTATTCTAATAAGGCTTTTGTGCTTTTTGATGATACAAAATAATTTTGCTATGACAATACAGTTACTTAAATGAGAAGTATGAATAACTTGCTTTGATATGTTTGTGGTATGTTTCACTTATTTTTTGAGAAGGGTAATTATTAAATTTAAACTATATATGTAAAGAGTGCACATCAAATATTTTAAAACCCTGAAGAGTTAGGTCTTCATTTCAAGAATTGTTAAGTGTCTTAAGAACATGTTTATTTTCTAGAAATGTTGAGCCTCTTCTTGGGTAATGTGATTCTTTTAAAAATTTTGGAAGGATTTCTTATTACATTAAAAATGAATGTACACAATAGGAAGTTACTAGGATAAAGTGAATTTAGCAGCTATCTTGCTTTGTTATATGTCTTATAAATTAAAATTACATTTTCATAATTAAAAGCCAAGCTCATTTGCTTTGATAAGACTAAGAGGAAAGGAGTATTAAATGAAGTTAAATTAGATTTTACCGTCTTTTTAATAAGTTTCAGGCCTGGTTTGATAATATATTCCCAGATGCATAATTTAAAAATGATCTTTTGGCCGGGTGCCGTGGCTCAAGCCTGTAATCCCAGCACTTTGGGAGGCCGAGGCGGGTGGATCACGAGGTCAGGAGATCGAAACCATCCTGGTTAACATGGCGAAACCCCATCTCTACTAAAAATACAAAACATTAGCTGGGCGTGGTGGCCGGCGCCCGTAGTCCCAGCTACTCGGGAGGCTGCGGCAGGAGAATGGCGTGAACCCGGGAGGCGGAGCTTGCAGTGAGCCGAGATCACGCCACTGCACTCCAGCCTGGGCGACAGAGCGAGATTCTGTCTCAAAAATAAATAAATAAATAAATACATAAACACATAAATATGAATTTAGTGAGAGCTGGTTATAGTTTGGAACCTCATTTGTGAAATAAACCATATTTCAAAATATTTTAAGCAGAAATACATTTAAGTTTTAGCCTATAAATCACCAGAATTTATCCTAGTCACCTAAATAAAAAATATAAAAGTTCTACATTTTAACGTCCTTTCAACATTTTATGACCAGAAAACCCAGCAGATAAACAGCTCAGGTCTTAATGGGAAATGATAACATATAAGATCAGAGGCATCCGCATAAATAAATTTGTATCCAACACAAAACAATTACATACGCTTTAATCAAAAAGAAATTACCAATGGCCAACCCCAATCCCACTACTTTCAAAAAAAAGTCCTCAAGCTTTCCTTTCCAGTTGAATGTACACTGATGGAAATGGTTGTTTTATGCAGACAATTGATGTTTTTAAATGAAATGTCTAATAGGGAAGTCAGTGCATTACACTACCCATTCGAGAAAGCAGCCTTCCATTGAATTTACTCAGACAAACTAATTGCTGAATTAGATGACCATGGAAAGTTATTGAGGGCATATCCAGCGCTTCCTTCTGAACCAAAACTAAATCAGTTTTGGTCAGTACTGCATTTCTATTCAAAATCAAGAACTGTTCGTCTCTCTGGAATATTAGTATCATAAGCCTGGGGAGGTGACAATGTCATGTAATGGAGTTGTGGGGAAAGGAGTCAGAGTGTTGTGGCAATTCCCCGACCAAGGGAAAGAGTCTGTAGAAGTTCATAGAATCAGCTGACGTGCTATGGTCAAAGAATTCGGAATTAGCAATTGACCAATCAATTATGATTAACTCATTCTGTATGTCTATCATAGGCTATTAAAAATAGGAAAGGGTGTTTCTAAAGTGTGTTTCATAACAAGTGATTTAATGATAAAAGCTTGGACAGTTTTCAGAATACAAAAATTCCGAGATACTAATATCTTTAAAAACTCCTGTCATTGTGTGTGTGTGTGTGTGTGTGTGTGTGTAAACACTACCTGTGTAATCATCTATTGAGATTTAAATTAGAACTTTTCTCAGTGTATCACAGTTCTAAAGGTACTATTTATTATATTGGTATCCTAGGAACAGAGTGAAAAAAGGCAAAGAGGTAATTTAGCACAGTCTTTTTCTACTAAAATCAGAGTGTCTCTCATCTCTGCCTGAATCCACTACATTGTGATTACTGAAATACATATTATAGAATATCTACTTATTTTGTGGATTTAGGCAATGATTATGATTATTGCTTTTCTCACATCTAATTTATATTATACATGAAGACATTTTGTAAAGAAGTTTTGGTCTCTATAAAAATGAATGCTTAATAGAAACGTAATATTATTTTATGTTATTTGAATTGTTAGGTTTAAGAAAATAAAATGTTTTTTAAATCTATTACTTTTAACGACACTGTAACATTTATTGGTTTTGCAATAAAATAAATCCAGAAAATTGCTGTGATATTACTTTTTATGTTTCTTATTGAAAGTAGGTCAATTAATTTCTAAGCAATGGGGCAATATAATTGTCAACTAACAGTGCTCAAGCAGTTAGGATTTTAACTGCTGACATTATTTTCTTTGAAAAATGATAGATGTCATTTAGTGTTTAAAGATAAATTGCTGCATAACTGTGACTTTTTTGCTGATAACTTTGCCGTAAGCAAACATAATATGACCAAGAAATTTCAAAGTAAGTTTGCTAGGTGAGCAAATCTAAATTAAAAAGGGTCTCATATTTCCTCAATCAGATATACTAAGATCAACCAAATGTTGTTTTCAATCTATAATATTAAAGGGCAATTGAGTCTGACTCAAACATCTGGAAACGTTAATGTTAACACTTAGGAATATGTCTCCCCATAGGAAAATCTTCACTGGCCATGGGCTATACCACATTTATCACAGGTGATTTTCAAAGGGACAAATATTGCCTATTTCACAAACAGGTCTGGAATGCAGGAAACTGCCAGAAATTAAGTGAGAGTTTGCACAATGGCTGACCCAGAGGAAGATGTCAGAGTCACAGATGGAAAAGGGAGGTTCATGACTCCCCTCTGTTGCCAAGGTTCCCATTCTCAATTCAGAAGGATTTGCAGAGGGGGTGAAGGAATATTGAAGTTTCTGAGATATTCCTTATGGACCAAGCTATAATCCAGTTATCTATTTACATCAGATCTCAGCTTTTTTTTTTTTTGAGGAGGGTGTGGGAGGGGATGTGTGCAGAACATACATATAGGGCTTGTCCTAAAGGATGAAATAAAATTGTGTATGCTATGACCTCTCTAGGAAGCCTCTAAACTTTTCTTATAAATTGTCTTCTAACTAAAATATTTCTTTTGGTCATCCTTGGAGTACTCCCAGGTGACACACAGCTCAGGCTAACATTTCTACAGGACTGCTGCCTTGATCTCTAGAGAGTCCAGTGGTGTTCCATACCAATATGTCTGAGAGTCACTGCCAAGCTTCCACCCACAACCTTAACACACAGAGAAAGCTGACACTTTCTGTTATCTATAATTTTCCTTGAGAAAAACGTGGCAATATGTATCAAAATACAATTATTAGTTTCAATATGTAGAATGTATTACAAGAAAATAAAAGATGCCAAAAACATTTTATGTCTGCTGATATTCCTATTAGTCTTTATTATCATGAAAATCTGGTCACAAGCTAAATATCCAACTTTAGGTGACTGGATGAAGTAAAACTGTAATCTTTCCATATGATAGAAAAATATGCCAGCACTGACAACCAGATAGCAGGATATTTAATGCCATGGTAAAATATTTGTTTTGTGTGGTCAGGTGAGCAGTTCAGATCATAAAATCAAACGTGCCCTACGGTCTTATTTTTTTAAGTAAAGTATTGATGTATTTATATGTATAATTAAGTATAGAAAAAAGCCTAGATGGCTTCTCTTATAAGTCTTTTCATTGTTTTATAAATGTATCAATATTTATTTTTCACTTTTTCCATCAGATTTCCTAGAATAATAAAATTCAATTCCCTCTGATGAGCATTCATTATTCTTTTATTTTTTGAGACGGAGTCTCACTCTATCTCCTGCAGCTAGAGTGCAGTGGCCTGATCTCAGCTCACTGCAGCCTCCGCCTCCTGGGTCATTATTCTTACAGTAAGAAAAAATGAATGTTACTAAGTATCTTCTCTGTCCTAGATCAACTAAGTATATACAAGGTGCCAAATACAATTAATAAAATGTTTTATCCATTCATAGGTTTTTGCAGTACAATTTTTTTTTTTTATGATTCCATTGTCTTATAGTCTCCACTAATAGTTTTGGTGTGAATTTATACTGTAAAGGAAAGGTGACAGCCTTATACAATCTCAGAGCTTAAGTACTATCCACATGCTAGTGCTTACAAACATACACTTTCAGTTGTGTGGTCTCCCTGAGTTCTGCACATCCCTCTTGGGTATCTAATAAGCATCTCACAGTTAACAACACCACTGATTTCTAATCAATCCCAGGGACCCTCTGCCAGGCCTGCTCCTCTCTCAGAGTTCCTTTTCTCACTTAGTGACACTATCATCCCACCAAACCTCGCTATCATCTTTCTTCTGTCTCCCAAATTTCCAATCCATTAACAAATCCCAATAACCCTGCTTCCAATATTTGTCTAAATCTATGCACTTCTCAGCTTATCCACTTTTATTATTCTAGTTCCAATTATGTGGTCTTCTGTCTGTATTACTTTCTTTTTTCATTCTTTCATGCAGGGACCATTTTTCATAGTGAAGTCCTCATAAAACATAGATTAAATTGTATCAGCTTCTGCTTACAGTTTTTATTTATTTATTAAATTTGTGATGTATTTGTATTTATTTATTTATTTTGAGACAGAGTCTTGCTCTGTCACCCAGGCTGGAGTGCAGTGGCGCGATCTTGGCTCACTGCAAGCTCTGACTCCTGGGTTCAAGCGATTCTTCTTCCTCAGCCTCCCGAGTAGCTGGGATTACAGGCATATGCCACCAAGCTCGGCTAATTTTTGTATTTTTAGTAGAGACGAGGTTTCACCATGTTGGCCAGGCTGGTCTCAAACCCCTGACTTCAGTTGATCTGCCCACCTCAGCCTCCCAAAGTGCGGAGAGTACAGGCATGAGCCACTGCGCGCAGCTAGCTCTGCCTACAGTTTTTAAATGACTTCTTAGTCTACTTAGGAGAAAATATAAACTCTTTACCAGAGCCTACTGGACTTCTCAAAACATGATGTATGTTTATCTCTTCCCTTTAGCTCACTTGGTTTTAGCCGACTGACCTTCTGTTCTCTGAGTAAAACAAACTTATTCCTGCAACGGGGCCTTTACGCCTACTTTGCCTTCTGCCCCAGAAACAGTTCTCACAGGTTTTCCCATGACTCTTTTCTTCTCCTTATTCAGCATCACCCCAAACATCTCCCCCTGAGTGGCCTTCGCCAGGACATTCTTCTTAAATATTTTTCCTTACCTCATCCTGTTTGGTTTTGTTTATAACAGGTGTCAGCTACAATACTGGTTTTGTTTGTTTATTTACTTTTTCTTACAATGGAAAGCCCATGAGAGCAGGGTTGTGTCTGCTTTATTCACAACTTTAACCTCAGTGCCAGTACAGAACCAGGACCGTACTAGAAACTCAATGAACATTTGTTGAGTATTTTGAATGAATTAATTATTAAAACATTAAAAAGTGCCATTTTCCAAGTAAAAATCTTTTTCTACTTCCTTAATGATTCTAATTGCAGACAATTCTAGGTAGAAATGAGGTTCATATTAATGGCAGGCCGAGAAAGGCATTTTTGGGTGAGTCTATGCAGGCAATTTTTGCTTTTATGGCTGATTTCCTTCCATATACTTCAATACAGGTATGTCCCTATTGAGAGAGATGGCATTTTTCATAGTATAAAGGTGGACAGTGAACTTAATATTATAATAAAAAATAAAGTAAATTTTATACAAACACTAAGAAGTGATCATCTAAATCTACAGTTTAGAATCTGAAACCTATTCCTATGTTGACATCTTCCATGGCCCTACTCCTAAATTAATAAATTCTGACTTACAGAAGGCTATTTTCTGAATCCTTTCGTAGCTGACATTGTGGTGGGTGCTGTTACCCATTCCTTGATACTGACAGTACAATGGCCATCCCTGCCAGGGCACGCGTACATTATCAGTAGTCAAAAGTTTGGCAAAGTAGGCCGGGCATGGTGGCTCACGCCTGTAATCCCAGCATTTTGGGGAGGCCGAGGCAGGTGGATCACCTGAGGTCGGGAGCTCGAGACCAGCCTGAGCAATGTGGAGAAACCCCGTCTCTACTAAAAATACAAAAAAAAAAAATTAGCCAGGCCGTGGTGGCACACGCCTGTAATCCCAGCTGCTCTGTAGGCTGAGGCAGGAGAATCGCTTGAATCCAGGAGGCAGAGGTTGCAGTGAGCCGAGATCGCGCCATTGCACTCCAGCCTGGGCAACAAGAGCGAAACTCCATCTCAAAAAAAAAAAAAAAAAAAAATGGCAAAGTAAAACACTTCTCTTCATCTCCAGGAGAGCAGTTTATGAAAGAGCATACTCTTACACATTAAAGGTGAATGTTTCAGTGACACCTGTGCAAGATAGGACTTTCTGCTCTCCTCTATAAAAATCTAAATTTCTGTCATATAATTCTAGCAGACCTTAAAAGGATAGACCTCAAAGGCAGCGTTGCATTTGATATTCTCTTGCAACCCCAGAATGAAACTTAAGCATGAATAATTGGAGATCTGCACACTTCCATAAAGAAGAAAGAATGGGACTCAAGTTCACACAGAAACTAAAAAAGAAAGGCAGGATGACTTCCCTCTGCCACCTTGAAAAGGCTTTGAAACCTACAAAACAAGAAATGGGGAGGGGAGTTGCTGAATGGGTAATAAATATGTGAACCCTCCTCCTAAGGGTTTTTATAATCCTTTCTATCTTGGGTATCTACGTGTTCCTCTGTGAATGTGTTTACTTCTAACTGCACTTCTTATGGAACAGCTCCATCCTTGTTATCCACAACAGGGTTTCTGTTCTGCTTTCATCTTGTATATATCTTAGAAAAACAACCTGAACAGATGTCCAGTTAATATGTATATTTATGTATTTATAAATTATATGTATGTGCTATTGCACTAGTATATTACATATTTTATATACCTTACTACAACCAAAGAAATATAAAAGAATGAGATGGAATAAATATATACTTAAGGTCTAGGTTTTCTTCCTCCACCCTCTGTGGAATGCTTACCCCACTTAAGAAACCCCTAAGATTTCACCGTGTCCTCACAGTGAGATTGTACTCACTCCTCAATGAGAGGAGCTGATTAATGTTAAAGCTCTTTTGGTTTTGTTATCAATTATGCACTTGAATTTTCAAATAATCTAGCTGTACATATTATACTACAGTGGGCGATACTATGAGGTACCAACTGGACCAGCTCAGCAGAGGCTGGGAGGTTTGACTCATCAGTAGTCATGACACCACTTCTCTCTTAGACTTTTCCAGTAGAATTTATTTTTGGTTTTGACAGCAAGGGTGACAGCTCTGTTCTCTATAGGTATCTATGGTAGAATAAGCATTGTTACCTCGCAGAAGGGAGAAGTCTATGGTATTCGACACCAACCCCCAAGTCCTTCTTACACATCCTCTCTTTGAGATATAGGGACTCTTGTGAAAAATGGAAACCCAGGAACTGGCTCTGCATAAACTTAAGCTTCGTCTTGGCAGGACAATTATGAGAAGCCTACCACTGACTCTGAAATATGTTGTATGCAATAAAAACTCTGTACTATTTAGGTGTTGTTTCTGACCCACGATACTAGAAATAAGCATCAACTACCCATACAAAGTTTTGCTTAGGAAAAATGAAAGTATATTCAAATATAAATTTTTATAAAATGACCATTAACTAAAAAGAAAAGCCTTCCTTTCCCCAAACATCAATAGATGCAGAGTGGAGGATAATATTTACAACATGCAACATAATGTTTGGTTCTAATTAATAGACTATTTCAATGAAATATTATTTTGATAAATATGTTCATGCTTCATTTGCCATGTATTAAAAACAGCAATACACATTCACTTGATGAAAAATATTATTGAAGATAAGACAGAAGTATTTCATAAACAACCATTAGGTAGATTATAAGATAACATACGAAAGGTGATATTGTAAATCAATATTAGAAACACATATTCTTCATCTATGACCTAACTTGTATTGAAATGCTGCAAAAACCTTAGAGCAACATTCAGAGAATTACCTGAAAGATAACTCTGGCATCTTCCATGGCCTTACATGTGTTTTCTTTAATGGTCACAGTGATTCCCATGTTCAAAGTTATTCACTGAGGACAACGCATGTCCTGAGATTCTCATCATTGAAAGGCCGAGGCTGAGGCTTGCTTTTCACATATACAGATTGTCCAACATTAAATTACAGCTGCATATTGACTGCATACAAAAATCATTAAACTAAATCTTTCCAAAAGTCCTGATGCAAATAATGTGCTACAATATTTTAGGTAGGATTATCTGATAGGATTAACAAATTTATCAAGTATAACAGAAAGTAACCACTTATTATTTATTATTGGCTATACCAAAAAATATAGGATCAGGACTTACCTGAATAACATGCTTCAGTTTATCAATAATCTGATTTATCACAGGATCAGTTCCTTTGACTTTGACTTCAGGAGTTCCAGACTGGGCTTTGATTCCATTTCCAACCACACGCTGAGTATAACTAGCAAAGGGAAATGTGGAAGATATATGACTTAGTACCTGATCAGAGTATTATCTGCCACAGCTATCTGAACATAGTTGAGGTCAGAATTTCCTCCTTTAGAGAATACACCAATGTATTTTTTTCTTGGAACAGAAACTGGCACAGCTATAATGTTTTTCCAGGTAAAATGCTAAAATGTTTATCGTGCCATTAGATCATTCTAAAAATAATGTTATTCTCTCAATGGACCCAACCAAAAATTACTTGTTTTTTAATACTACTTAACAATATGCTACAAAGAGTTAACATATATCTCACTTTGTTACCAGTTCTTGCTGAAGTATACGTATGTCTGTACCCCTATGGTCTGGGTCAGCTTATTTTAGGCAGTCCCAATCTTATGTTTTAAATATTAGGCTACTATATATGTGTGTGTGTGTATTTATATAGAATACATATATAGACTATATATAGAATTATATATAGAATATATAGAGAGAATATGTAGAGAATACATAGAGAATATATAGAGAGAATACATAGAGAATATATATAGAATATATAGAGAATAAATATATAGAATATATAGAGAATATATATATAGAATATATATAGAGAATATATAGGATACACATAGAGAGAATATATATATAGGATATATAGAGTATATATATATATGGAATATATATATACACACACATTATATATATTTCCTAATTAAGTCCTTCAAGAAATAAGTGATTAAACTTTTTAATAATGATAGTATCAATTGGACATGATAAAAAATAATATTATTAATAAACTCTTTGATTTTTAAAATAACCTTGAACCCATTTTTTGTAGGCATAGAGGGGCTTAGAGATAAGAATTTCAGTATCCATCAGGGATTTGGCAGTATACACCAATAACAAATAGTAGAAGGAAAACAGTTATATCTATTTTGTTAATGTGTAATAATATTCTTTATTTTAGAAAAATAAAATTATACATAGTATAACCATATGCAATATATAATATGTAAACATATATATAACTGTACAAGTCAATATCATAAACTATAACTGTACAAATTAAAATCATCACATTTATAAGCAACTAAAATACGCAAAGTATTTCCTAAGTAGAGGAAACAATCCGCTTTCACCTAGGTTCACCTAAACAAAGATCTGGTAAATCATGTGGTATGTAAAAGGGTCATTTCACAGGTGGTGAAAGCCATTTGAAATTTCACTACCTTCCCCAAATTACAATCATATGTCAACTTAGAATTAATAAAAATATTTAAATTCATTAGTCACAAAGATGTCTTAAGTGCATGCTATATTCCAAGTCCTGTAGGAGGTCTTTAGGATTATAAGAAGGTGTAAGACTCAATTTTTGTCCTCATAATGCTTATTACTTAACCAAGAATATAATATATTAATTAACTCATTCATTTGTATGTTTATTCATTACATTTTATTACACTTAAAAAATACCATAGATTTCAGCCATGCGAATACCCTTGTTTGCCTGACAGAATAGTGAAATATAAACACAACTGAACCGTTAAAATACAACATTATGAAAGTAGCTGGAAGGAACTGCACGTGCCAAGTGTGAGGAAAAATAAGACAAGTAGTAGATATTCTGGATATAGAGAAGTCCATTTGGACTCAGACACTAGGGAAAAACTAAAGGAGAAGTTATAACTTGAGGTAGCCTTGGATGTATTGAGGTAAGAAGAGGACATCTATGGTATGGTTAATGAGAACTTCAGGGCAAACGATGTCATCCTAGCAAGGAAAACGGCAAAGGTACGTGAACAAGGCAGACAGGGAGAACGGACCTCTATTTACAAAGCAGAGAGTACAAACGGTGGAAAGCAATGGATAGAGGGCCACATCCTGAAGATTCCACCGTGAATGTTGAAGACTCTCCACTGAGTGGTATAATGGGCTCTGGAGATTCGTAAGGGGGAAGTTGGCAGGCGGGTGAGGGATTAAAAAAGCTACATGTTTGGTACAATGTACACTACTCAGGTGACAGGTGCAATAAAATCTCAGACTTCACCACTATACAAATTATCCACGTTACCTAAACCACTTGTGTTCCAAAAGCTATTGAAATAAGACATTTAAAAAGTTAAAACAAAACACTATCATCTGAGTAATTTGTTTGCTTACATTAAATATCATAATACTTTTCAGCAAAAAAATATTTTAATGTAACTTTCATTCCCTATATTTGAGCAGAGTACTGCACTATCCATAAACACCCTCTGAATTTTCTACAGTAATGGAAAAAATCTTTGAAAAACATAAAAGAAGGTTCTATGTTTGAGAATATGGCTATATGAAAGGGGTTTCAAGAAATATCCAGTTCTTCCCAAGACGATGTACTTCCAGTGACCAGTTTTAAGAAGTGGAACAGGCCGGCAGCCGTGGCTCACGCCCGTAATCCCAGCACTTTGGGAGGCCGAGGCGGGCAGGTCACGAGGTCAGGAGATCGAGACCATCCTGGCTAACATGGTGAAACCCCATCTCTACTAAAAATACAAAAACTTAGCCGGGCGTGGTGGCAGGCGCCTGTAGTCCCAGCTACTCGGGAGGCTGAGACAGGAGAATGGTGTGAACCCAGGAGGCGGAGCTTGCAGTGAGCCGAGATCGCGTCACTGCACTCCAGCCTGGGTGACAGAGTGAGACTCTGTCTCAAAAGAAAAAAAGTGGATTGAACATTTCCTAACTAGGTCCTTCAAGTAATAATAAGTGATTAAACTTTTTGATAATCATAATATCAATTGGACATGATAAAAATAATATTAATAAATCTTTCGATTTAAAAAATAACTTTGAACCCACTTCTTTTTGTAGGCATGGGGGGAGCTTAGAGTTAACTATTCCAGTTTCCGTTAGGGATTTGGCAGTATACATCAATAACAAATAGCAGAAGGAAAATAATTATACCTGTGTCTCATATATATATATATATATATGTATATATATATGTATATATACATATATATATGTATATATATATGTATATATATATATATATAGAGAGAGAGAGAGAGAGAGAGAGAAACCGTTTCTTAAATTATCTGTAGCACTGCTATGTTATTCTTTACTCTCCCAATACCCCAAGTAGATTGCATATGTGGCTCTTTTATTAATGTGTTGAATATTCATAATGATAATGAATAATATGAATAAATAAATCGATAAGTGCATAACTATGATTTAGGCATTGCTTTACTCTATCTGGAGATTTCCATTCATAATAAACATCTTTTAGTGACCGTGAGTAAGAAACTCATAGAACTTCATTAGAGAAATGCAAATCTAAACCACAATGAGATACCATCTCACTCCAGTTAGAATGACAATCCTTAAAAAGTCAGGGAACAACAGATGCTGGAGAGGTTGTGGTAAAATAGGAATGCTTTTACACTGCTGGTGAGAGTGTAAATTAGTTCAACCATTGTATGGAAGACAGTGTGGCAATTCCTCAAGGATCTAGAACTAGAAATAGCATTTGACCCAGCAATCCCATTACTGGGCATATACCCAAAGGATTATAAATCATTCTACACATTCTCACGTATGTTTATTGTGGCACTATTCACAATAGCAAAGACTTGGAACCAACCCAAATGCCCATCAGTGATAGACTGGACTAAGAAAATGTGGCACATATACACCATGCAATACTATGCAGCCATAAAAAGGATGAGTTCATGTCCTTTGCAGGGACATGGATGAAGCTGGAAACCATCATTTTCAGCAAACTATCACAAGATCAGAAAATTAAAGTCTGCATGTTCTCACTCATAATTGGGAGTTGAACAATGAGAACACATGGACACAGGGAGGGGATCATCACACACTGGGGCCTGTGGGGGGTGGGGGGTGGGGGGTAGGGGAGGGATAACATTAGGAGAAATACCTAATGTAGGTGTCGGGTTGATGGGTGCAGCAAACCACCATGGCACGTGTATACCTATGTAACAAAACTGCAAGTTCTGCACATGTAACCCAGAGCTTAAAGTATAATTTAAATAAATAAATAATAAATAAATAAATAAACTCATAGACCTCAAAGTATGGGAAGCCTAACTGCCTACGGCCACTTGCTGCTTCACTCTAAAATCTGTTTCTGCATCTGCCCCTCAGTCAATGACTGAGGGCCACAAGGTGGCTAATGCACATCCCTCTTTAGGAGACACAGGGCTTCTCTGAGGACCAGTCTTGGCTCAGGATTCCTGAAGCCTTTTCATACCCTTCCTTAGACTGCACATTACGCTCCAATGCTTCCACTCAACCTTCCTTTCCTCTTTCCTTCATTCTAGGTCAGACTTGCCTCATAGTTGAGAGCTCTTCCAGGCTTACTCAGCTTCCTCTCCATTTTCTCTCACAGGGATTTCCCTTAATAAAATCCTCTTGTGTATAACTCGTTTTCAACATCTACCTCTTGGAGGACCTGGACTAACCCACCATATAATATCTGTATTATAATTACTTCCATTCTACAGGTTGAGAATCTGGGATCTGGAGAAGTTAAGTAACATAAGTTACTCAAGTAAGGCCACACAGTGTATATAAAGTGTGCTGCAAGGAGTTAAACCCAGGGAAAGCGCACTCCAAAATAGAACCATCAATAAGTGTCAATCCTGAAACCAACTAATAAAAGGTAAAGATACAATTAGCTTGGTGCAAAAATGTTATTTTTTTCTCTAATTACATTTTCTAAGGCTTCACTGGTTGTAGTTAAGAAGGGATGAATGATTTTCATCAAAACTCTCCTCAACAAGCTGGGTTTGGTGGCATGCACCTGTAGTCCCAGCTACTCAGGAAGCAGAGGCAGGGCGATCATGTGAGCCCAGGAGATTAAGGCTGCAGTGAGCTGTGATTACATCTCATTGACCATGTGACTATGAGTATAAAACTCATAGACCTCAAGCCTGGGCAACAGAGCAAGACTCTGCCTTAAAAAGTAAAACTAAGCAAAACAAAACAATCCTCCTCAACAAATGGTTGCATATAACCAGCTAAACAGTAATATAACAGTTGTTGGCAGGGTGAGAAGAAACTAGCAGACTGTAGGTTTGTCATACTGTTTTTCTGTTCCTGCAGAAACACAGATATAATATAGGCAATGAAAACTGAGACTCATCTCTTAATTTCAGTTAAGCTATTAATTGATTTACATCATTTACTTACAGGCCAGAAAAGTTTCTTTCAAAAGGCAGGAATGTTGTTTCATGTTAATCTAAGGACTTGCTTACCTTTTGTTTCTGTTCTTAATGATCACAGTTACTAATACAGTAAAATAATATTTAGATAAAATACATTAGAATTATAGCTGATCAAAAATCTCATTCCAAGCTGTTATATTGTTGACTATCTCACAATCACTCTTCTTATGAATCATGTAAATAAGGGAAAATACTGCAAAGTAGACACACATTACTTCAAATGAAATATGATTTAATAAAATCAGTTATTCTTTGCCAATTTTGTAATGTTCAAAATAACCACAATTGAAATAGTGACACATACACATCAGAACAGTTCAAATGAAAAAGAGAAATGATACCAAGTGTTGGCAAAGATGTGGAGCAACTGGAACTCTCTCCCATTGTGGATGAAAATGTAAACTGACGGACACCACCATTTCCCATGTGTGCTAAATCTAACCATATTCTATGACCCTGAGCATATACGCAGCAATATTTACCAAAAGACAAATACATGAATGCTCAGAGAAGCACCGTTCAAAATAACCACGAATTGAACATTATATTTGTATAATGGTATAGTATATAGCAATGAGAACTAACAAGTTACAACTATATGCAAAAAGATTGACAAATCTTATAAACTAAATATTGAATGAAAGAAGCAAGATACAGAACATATTCTATGATCTAATCCACTAAAAATTGTAAAACTAATCAGTTATGTTCCAAATTACCATAGGAGCTACCCTATGAAATAGTGTCTAGAAGAAGTAATAATATAAAATTTCATGATTTGAGTACTGGATACGCAGAAGGGCTAAGTTTGTTTAAAAACAAAAAAAGTATTGGGCTGTACAGTTAAGATTTGGGTATTTTACTGTTTGTACGTATTTTCAGCCTTAGAAAATTATGTTAAAAAGTCTTTATGCTCTTTTTCTTAATATATTTACCATAGACAAATTTTCATTAAGCCACAGTATAAATAAAAAAGACCCACACCAGTATTTTTAACATGACGTGGATGAAGTGGTTCTGTCATCATTAAATGAGTACTTTCGGATCCAAGTCTGACATAAAAACTTACTTCCCTGAAGACTTTAATTTTGCATGCAAAATACACTGTTTCTAAATTAAATTTTTTTGTAACAAAGAGTTTTTGAGTTCCCCTCATGAAATTTTAATAAATCATTAATTTCTTCTTTTTCTCTTTAATGCACAAGCAATGGATAAAACATTTCAAAGATCCCTACAGATGTTTCTTCACTTGAAATATTGTTCACATTACAATGAGAAGGATGGAATAAAACATAAAAAAGATAGGCAGTTTTGTTTTGTTTTGTTTTGTTTTGTTTTTAAGATGGAGTCTTGCTCTGTCGCCCAGCCCGGAGTGCAGTGGCGCGATCTCGGCTCACTGCAAGCTCCGCCTCCCGGGTTCAAGCTATTCTCTTGCCTCAGCCTCCAAAGTAGCTGGGACTACAGGCGTCTGCCACCACGCCCAGCTAAGTTTCTGTATTTTTAGTGGAGACGAGGTTTCACCGTGTTAGCCAGGATGATCTCGATCTTCTGACCTTGTGATCCGCCTGCCTTGGTCTCCCAAAGTGCTGGGATTACAGGCGTGAGCCACCGCGCCCAGCCAACAGGCAAATTTTTCGTTGGGGAAGTAGTAGACCAACCATCTGTGCTTATTTCTTCTAAACAGAGCTAAGAATGAGTGACAGCAGTTGAACGGGAATACTTGCTCCCCAAGCGCGACTTGTTTTTCATGAACAAGGAAAAAAGGCAAAAGCCCTGCTACATTTCCATTCACAAAATTGTTTTCAAATGATGATTAACAAGATCTTAGTTCCCTCTCTGTTGAACACATAACATATTAAAAGGCAGTGCTAATAAATCTATATACGGCACGTAAGGAGGAAGGAGGAAGTCATTTCTCCTGACCTGACCAACTTGTCTTATTTGAAACTGATACCAGGCCCTATTGGCTGACAGGAATTTCACTTTATTTGGAATACAACAGAATTTGGCTCAGATTCACACTAAAAGTATAGTATTTTGATGTCATTAACATTACTTTAATAAAGGTATTATCATGCTTTGTACAGCAACCAACACGAAAATGTTAACATACCACTGCAATAAATAGAATAAAAACATGTTCAGAAAGACTTAGAAACTCATTAAAGAATGGATATTAATCACTTTTCACCCTAACTCCTCATTTGGCGAGGTATGAATCTATGCATTCCAGTTTAGTCAGGTGGCAAGTAAGTAGTCCCATTGCATTTCATAAAATAAGCTGCTGTGTGAATTTGAAAGATAATATTTCCACATGAAAAACTAATGACTGCACATGTAAAATCAGTAGTGTTTAGGAAGCTGTCATTAAAAAAAAAAAAAACTACCTAATTAAAAAGTAGCACAAATGAACTTTTGCCTATGTAAAAAAATAGAACATTGCTTAGCCTTTTCTTAAATCTCTCCCCAATTCTTACCAAGAAAGGATAAATACCTTTATTATAGTCAAAGCTCTGTTTTTATGGTTTTAAATTTTTTAATCTAAAATTCAAAGCAAATAATAAATCCTTAATTTATAATTATCCCAATTGGATTCAAAGTGACGGTCCAAACATAAAATGATCAGTCATAACTATAATCAATCAGATAATGCTATATGAGTTTGAAATGTTAATCTAACTTGCCTTTTCCAGGTATGCATTTTAAGATTAAACTCTTCTCAGTAAGATCAACGCTATCCTTCATGGATTTATGATGTTTGATAATCACCACGTTGTACTGATTTGCTGTCTCACTTCACTGTTTGATATCAACATATGAAAGTAAAAATGCTATTGAGGGGATAACTATTATCTGAGCACTAATAAATTAAATGCTATTTTAAGCCAACAACAAAATTGTGTAGGGTACAATTTTTATTTAACCAACTTTCCATTATAAACATTATAAAATTCTGAAAGATCCTAGAATCTTATATAGCTATTTTGTATTTTTTTCAAATGTAATTGACACCAGCAAGAATTAAATTTCATATTTAAAAAGCTTCTGACTACATTACAACATACTTAAAAATGACTTGCAAGATATGACAATTCTAAGATTACCAACATATCATGCAAATGAAACACCCAGGTACTTCCTACCAACACATGATATAATAAAATCCAGAAGAACTTCTGAATTAGAGTGTAGTAGTTGCCTAGGACCATCATACCTAATTATCACACACTTGGTGGGTTAAGAGGACAGAAATATATTCTCTCATAGTTCTGAAGCCTGGACCTCTGAAACTAAGATGTTGGTGGGGCCATACTCCCTCTGAAGACCCTAGGGAGGAATTCTCCCTCGCTTCTTCCTGGCTTCCAGTGGCTCCTGGCAATCCTTGGCCTTCTTTGATTTATGACTGCATAACTCCAATTTCTGTCTCCATCTTCACATGACCTTCTCTGCGTGTGTCTTTTCTTGTATCTTATAAGGACATTTACATTGGATTTAGGGCCCACCTTCATCCAGGATGACCTCATCTCAATCATTGGGTTAATTATATCTGCAAAGACCCTACTTCCAAATAAAGTCGCATTCTAAAGTTACTAGTGGACATAAATTTTGGAGGTACGGTATTTAAATCACTACACAGAACATGTAAAGACAAAAATCTGGAAGCTACCTAAATGAAAATGGATATTCCCTTGAACTTCGACAAAATCATACTCTATTTTTCCGTGAGAAACATTCTATTACTATAAAACAATATTCATATTTCACAAGTACACCTCTTAAATTATAGCTTGGCCTTAAGAGAAATAATTAGCTTTGAAAATTATCAGTACGTGATATCTAATATTTCCTGTATTTTTGATAACTTCTACCTCCTAGCAAAAATAAACAATGCAATGGACAATTTCTGTGTTCTAAATTCACACACACAAACAGGAAAGGCACTTTAAAAAATGATTTGTTCTCTTTGAAAGCAGAAGTCCAACCACCTGCTCTGAATCTAAAAGTTTCCTGAAAGCAATGAAGGGCTAGTTTATTATGAAGTTGTTGATAGCTGATTCTGTGGAGACTCACAAAGAAACAAAGAATAAATTTTAATCACACTGAATGCTAATGTGATAGTAAGGTTGTGATGATATTCAAATATGACTAATTTCATTAAATTAACTACACTCAGGCTTAGCTTTGTTGTCCAAATTTATTACAAATAGCTCAAAATAAATAATTCAACTCTTCTGTTTTCTATTTATTTTTGTTGATGCTTAAGAGTAAAAAGGTATTTCAACTGAATTTTTTTTTTTTTTAGCAATCAGTTCTCTTGTTTTATCACCATAAGACTGTAAACGGCCGAACAGGTCACTGCCTTCAACAAGAAATGCACCTAGAGCAGGAATATAGTACTTGGCACTCATCTCTAGACCTATAACCTAATAGATTTTTTTTTTTTGTCTTTGGTGACAGTAACGTAAATTTAGAGCTGGAAAGGACCTTAGAGGTCATCTAGTCCCACTCAAGTATCTTTTAAAACAAAATAAAGAAGTATGTTGGCCTGGTGCGGTGGCTCACACCTATAATCCCAGCACTTTGGGAGGCCAAGGCAGGCAGATCACAAGGTCAGGAGATCGAGACCATCCTGGATAACACGGTGAAACCCCCTCTCTACTAAAAATACAAAAAATTAGCCGGACATGGTGGCAGGTGCCTGTAGTCCCAGCTACTCAGGAGGCTGAGGCAGGAGAATGGAGTGAACCCGGGAGGTGGAGCTTGCAGTGAGCCGAGATCCTGCCACTGCACTCCAGTCTGGGCAACAGAGGGAGACTCCGTCTTAAAAAAAAAGAAAGAAAAAAAAAGAAGCATGTTTATTTCATCATTTTGTACTTATACACTGTGTGTTTCCAGAAAAGCCTCTGAGACAGCTTAGAATGAAAGGCACAGACGCTATAAAACAAGGGCAAAATGACAGAATAATGAAGAGAAGGAGGTGACAATTACATGGGACAACCTAGGGAAGGAAACACTACCCTTCAGCCTAAAATTTAGTCCTAAGCCTCTTGTTCTTTAGGGCCAAAAGGAAAACCAGAATTCAAATAGGTGTCGTTAGTTAATAAAATAGTATCTGCATATGTCAGCAGCTATTTTTTGGTAACTCTAAACTCTTAAGCAAAATATATAAGTCTTTAAGCAACAGACAATGGACAATACAATAAAAATAATCTTCAATAGTAATTTCAAAACTTTTAAAGATGTAAGTACAAATGACCTTTTCTTACAGGATGCTTTTGAAAGCTGCCCGCATGATGGTATTTTAAATTACATGATGTTACATTGCCTCCATGATGGTATTTTATTGGGACCTCGTTATATGACTTGGTGAAGAATGTAACCTTTGAGAACTTAGAAGAGTGAATGGTTAATATTTCTCTGAATTTTTTTGTTTTTAATTGACATTTTATTTTATCCCTCATAGACAATATATGTTCTGGGAAATATACTGAAGTATAGTAAAAAAGAATCTCAGGGTTAAAGTGTTGAGGTAAATGAGAAAGCAGAGGTTGTGTCTGAAGAACCGTGTGGTCGGTCGCACTGCACCACACAGCAAACAAATATGCGTGAGCACAGGCCGGGCGCGGTGGCTCACGCCTGTAATCCCAGCACTTTGGGAGGCCGAGGAGGGCGGATCACGAGGTCAGGAGATCCAGACCATCCTGGCCAACAATGGTGAAACCCCGTCTCTGTTAAAAATACAAAAAATTAGCCAGGCGCAGTGGCGGGCGCCTGTAGTCCCAGCTACTCGGAAGGCTGCCGCAGGAGAATGGCGTGAACCCGGGAGGCGGAGCTTGCAGCGAGCCGAGATAGTGCCACTGCACTGTACTCAGGCCTGGGCGAAAGAGCGAGACTCTGTCTCGAAAAAAAAAAAAAAAAAAAAAATGAGTGAGCACTTTACCAGCAAATAAACACCAATGAGAGAGGGAACAGCAGTCACAAGATGTGTTTTAACAGAGATAGTTAATTAAATATTTTCTAATACACTTATTGAACCTAGATTTAATGGAATTTTTTTCCTTTCCTGACTTTGGCAAATGTGTGTATTTTTATAGAGAACATGGTTTTACATATGCAATTTTCAGACTTTAAGTCAGGCCCATCACCAACGCTCTATGAGTTGAGTGGCCTTGATATGTGGTCCATGTATTTTTGAATCAGGGGTGGGAGGCTATCAAATGAGTCAAAAGCTGATTTTCCTAGCTTTCATTATGAACACCTCTCTGGCTGCTCTTCTTTTTGACTTTACCAAACAAATTAGTTAGTATTCCTAAATGCAAGGTATATTAACATAAGAACTAAATAAATTTTTAAAATAAACACACACACAGACACACACACACACACACACACACACACAGCACTCTCCATATTTACTTCTACTTTGAATAGCAAACAAGCTGTGTTCCTGGGCCTGTGGAAGAAATATGAAGTTTGAAAAGATTTTTAAATAACTTTTTCTTAATGAAAATAACTCTGTAGTAATTACTGTTTTAAAAAGCCATTAGAATTTGAGCATAACACAGTTTCAATCTTGTCTCTATTCCAACTTAAAGTCCTGTCCAACAATCTCATTTTATGTTCTGTTGAATCACAAAATAAAAATTTGTATATTTTAAAGTATTTGATGGAGGAGGAGGAGGGAAGAAAGAAGAGGAGGAGGAGGAAGAGCATGCCAAATGCAGCTGGAGAAGGCCATGAAAAGAGAATTCTCACGCACATATGCCTGATAACAAGAACTATCACGAAAGACTGCAAAAACCACAATCTTGCCATTGCAACCTTGTAAAAAAACACTTCTGCAAGGACATATGTCCAGCAAATGCCTGTCCAACCTTGGACTGGCACCACCCTTGTTATTGATCCTTGTAATCAAGGATAACTATGTCAAAACAATTGTGTAATCCTCCACATTTTTTCTTTAAATACCTTTGTCTTCCTTTACCTCCCTGAATGCATACATAGTTGACTATGGCACATGTATTCCTACTGAAATACCCTATCCCCAACCCAGTGTTCTTTACAGAGTCTCTCTCTGTTCGTTATTTAGGTTGACACCTTGCACCTATTGATTGATAACATTTATTTTCCAGGATGCACTTATCATTGTTGTAATTAAGTATTAATTGTGCAATCATTTGCTTAATGCTCATAACTTCCTTCTTGACTGTACATTTGTTGAGGTCAAGTAGTATGTCTGTTTAAATCATTCCCTAGTTCCAGGGCTTGGCAAATTCCTTGGACCAGATGAGCTCAATGCATATTTGTTATGTGAGTGAATATATGACTGATACTAAAGTAACTTAAAAAATAATTTATACCAATGATTTATCTCTCTCTGAGTTGGTCCTTATAAATGCTATATGAATCACTCCAAAACAGTACCGACTCTCGTAACAAATCCCATGAATGTGTAATTTCATTTTAATGCTGAATTGGCCCAATTTTAAACAGCATCTGGATGATCCTTTGTAATGGAGTCCCATCTAAGTTCCTATTAAAAAAGAAAGAAAAAAAAATCAGTAAAACAAAGCAAACAATGTAAACTTAAAACAACACTAATTAGTAAAACTGACACCCAATATGCAGACTAATCTAGAAGGAATTTTTACTAACTATAAGAACAATTAAGTTAAACTGGCCCATCCATATTTTGTTTTATGAAATGGAAGAATTTCCTCAATATAAAACTCATGTAAGACGGTAGTTGCCTCTTCCCAGCCTGTCCCTGAGTCAGACTCTCGGAGTGTCCCAGAAAATGGACACTTACTCCTTTACGGCTCCATTCTTACTTTTTGAGGGGACAGGTCCTAGCCACTCTCACATATCTTACATACTAAGCTCCTAGAAAGATAGAGGATACAATAAAAACCAACCAACCAACCAACCATGTGTCAGGTGCCTGTCAGGCCTGGGCACACAGTTCACTCAAGAAAAGCCCTGGGAGGGGAGGCAGCAGAATTGCCAGTCTAGCAATTTGTAACTCCAGTGGCCCAGGTCTTAGCCACATGACCTGGCTGGCATTGTTCTCTCCCTTCTTGCTTCCCTCCAAGCATGAACTCAGCCTCTTTTCTTTCCTTCCCTCCCTATGTTACATTGTTATTTCATACAATGGGATTTTAATAAGTTTGGGGAGCCAGTAGAGAGGGATTATAAAGCAAAACAGGAAACTACTGATAAGCAACTTGCATCATACCAACTGGCCGTTGAAGATTATTTTTCAAGTAAAATACAGCCTTCCTTTAGAACCTCTACCCAGAAAGCAGTAACATCAATAATCTATAAAGTAGCACTCATTCTTGCCACCACCAGCACGCTGCATTATCCGTGCATGCTAGGTATTGTGTATGTCTTGTACGACAAGCCAAACAAAATACTAGAGGTCTCCACTTTAGCTTAGCTGAGCTATTCCAATAAATACTTGCTCACTACTGAGAGGAGCTGTGCATCCCCTGCAGATCAGAGAAAGGGCCTTAGCCAATTTCTCAAAGGTAGAAGAATCATTTAAAAAATGATCATTTCCTGTTAGATATTAATGATATGGTTTTGCTGTGTCCCTACCCAAATTTAATCTTGAATTGTAGTTCCCATGATCTCCATGTGTCCTGGGAGGGCCCAAGTGGAGGTAATTGAATCATCAGGCTGGGTTTTTCTATGTGCTGTTCTTGTGATAGTGAGTAAGTTTCACAAGATCTGATGGTTTTATACGGGGCAGAAAGGGAAGTTCCCCTGAACACACTCTTGCCTGCCACCATATGAGACATGCCTTTGCTCCTCCTTCGCCTTCGGCCGTGATTGTGAGACCTCCCCAGCTACCTGGAACTGTGCGTCCATTAAACCTCTTTTTCTTTGTAAATTACCCAGTCTCGGATATTTCTTCATAGCAGTATAAAAATACACTAAGACAATAATTGGTACTGGCAGAGTAGGGTACTGCTATTAAGATATCCAAAAATGTGGAAGCGACATTGGAGCTGGGTAACAAGCAGAGGTTGGAACAGTTTGGAAGGCTCAGAAGAAGACAGAAAAATGTGGGAAAGTTTGGAACTTCCTAGAGACTTGGAGGGCTCAGAAGACAGGACAATGTGGGAAATTTTTGAACTTCCTAGACATGTTGAATGGCTTTGACCCAAATGCTGATAGTGATATAAACCCTAATATCTGGGCCGGAGATGGAGATGAGGATCTTGTTGGGAACTAGAGCAAAGGTGACTCTTGTTAAGCTTTAGCAAAAAAGACTAGTGGCATTTTGCTTCTGCTCCAGAGATCTATGGAACTTTGAACTTGAGAGAGATGATTTAGGGTATCTGGTGAAAGAAATTTCTAAGTGGGAAAGTGTTCAAGAGGAAGTAGAGCATAAAAGTTTGGAAAATTTGCAGCCTGATAATGCAATAGAAAAGAAAAACCCTTGGCCGGGCGCAGTGGCTCACGCCTGTAATCCTAGCACTTTGGGAGGCTGAGGCGGGCGGATTGCCTGAGCTCAGGAGTTCGAGACCAGCTGGAGCAACATGGTGAAACCTCATCTTTACTAAAATGCAAACAATTAGCCAGGTGTGGTGACGTGCACCTGTAGTCCCAGCTACTCGAGAGGCTGAGGCAGGAGAATTGCTTGAACCCAGGAGGCAGAAGTTGCAGTGAGTCGAGATTGCGCCACTGCACTCCAGCCTGGGCAACAGAGTGAGACTCCGTCAACAAAAAAAAAAAAAAAAGAAAAGAAAAAAGAAAAACCGACTTTCATTAAAGCCTCCTGCAGAAATTCGCATAAGTAACGAGGAGCCAAATGTTAATCACCAAGACAATGGGGAAAATGTCTCCAGGACATGAAAGACCTTCACATCTTCACAGCAGCTCTTTCCACCACAGGCTCAAAAGCCTAGTATGGAAAAATCATTTCCTGGAGCAGGGCCAGGTCCCCCTGCTGTGTGCAGCCTAGAGACGTGATGCCCTGCATTCCAGCCACTCCAGCCATGGCTTGGGTGGGAGACACCATGGTACAGCTCAGGCCATGTCTTCGGAGGTTGCAAGTCGCAAGCCTTGGCAGCTTCCACAAGCTGTGGAGCCTGCAGATGCACAGAAGTCAAGAATTCAGGTTTGGGACCCTCCACCTACATTTCAGAGAATGTATGGAAACACCTGCATGTCCAGGCAGAAGTTTGCTTTGGCAGGGCGGGGGGCAGGGGCGGGCGCAGGGGCTCATGAACAACTTCTTTTAGGGTAGTAGAGGTGTGAAATGTGGGCTCTGTCCCCCATACAGAGTCCCTACTGGGGCACTGCCTAGAAGAGCTGTGAGAAGAGGGCCACCATCCTCCAGACCCCAGAATGGTAGTTACACCATCCTCCAGACCCCAGAATGGTAGATCCACCAACAGTTTACACTGTGTACCTGGAAAAGCCATACAAAATGCCAGCTAGTGAAAGCAGCCAAGAGGGAGGCTGTGCCCTACAAAGCCACAGAGGCAGAGCTGCCTAAGGCCATGGGAGACCACCATTTGTGTCAGTGTGACCTGCATGTGAGACATGGAGTCAAAGGAGATCATTTTGGAACTTTAATGTTTAATGACTGCCCTGTTGGATTTCAGACTTGCATGGAGCCTGTAGCCCCTTTGTTTTGACCAATGTCTCCCATTTGGAACAGGTGTAAATACATTGGGGGTACCCAATACCTGTACCCCCATTGTATGTAGGAAGTGACCAACTTGCTCTTAGTTTTACAGGCTCATAGGTGGAAGGGACTTGTCTCAGATGAGACTTTGGACTATGGACTTTTCAGTTAATGCTGAAATGAGTTAAAACTTTGGGGGACTGTTGGGAAGGCATGATTGATTTTGAAATGTGAGAACATGAGATTCAGGAGGTGCCAGGGGAAGAATGATATGGTTTGGCCATGTCCCTACCCAAATCTCATCTTGAATTGTAGCTCCCATAATCCCCATATGTCATGGAAGGGACCCAGTTGGAGGAACTTGAATCATGGGGATGGGTTTTTCCCTGTGCTGCTCTTGTGAAACAGAATAAGTCTCACAAGATCTGATGGTTTTATAAAGGGGAGCTCCCCTGCACATGCTCTCTCTCTTGCCTGCCACCATGTAAGACATGTCTTTGCTCCTCCTTTGCCTTCTGCCATGATTGTGAGGCTTCCCCAGCCATGTGGAACTGTGAGTCCATTAAACCTTTTTTTCTTTATAAATTACCCAGTTTCAGGTATTTCTTCATAGCAGTATGAAAGTGGACTAACACAATATCAAGCCCTGGTTTGGGGTAATAATCACTACCTTCTAGGTAACCAGAATGCAAAAAATATAACAGAAAAAAAATCCTAAAAATCATCCTGCATACAAGAAAAATGAAACCGCCATTCTCCATTCTCAATTAACCAGGGACACAATGCACTGCAGAAAGCCTCAGGGACCTCTGCCCAAGAAAGCCTGGGTGTTGTCCAAGGTTTGCCCCCACTGAGATGGGATAGAAGTCTCTGACTTCTGAACTGGACACAGGAGTTCTCAAAATCACCAGTCAAGGCAGTGAGATGGCATGGTAAATGGTAAGGGAGGTCTCTTTGCGGTTGAGATAAGAGGAATGCTTTGGTCTCCTGCTCATCCCTGGGAATGGAATGTCTCAGTGTAAAGCCGACCATTCCTATTCATTCTATTCTGAGATAGGAGAAAACCACCCTGTGGCTAGAGGTGAGATATGCTGGCAGCAATACTGCTCTGTTACTCTTTGCTAAACTGAGATGTTTGTGTAAAGAGGAACATAAATCTAGCCTATGTGCACATCTGGGCACAGTACCTTTCCTTGAACTTATTCATGATACAGATTCCTTTGCTCACATATTTCCCTGCTGACCTTTCCCCACCTGTTGCCCTGCTACACTCCCATCACTAACATAGTAAAAATAATGATCAATAAATACTGAGGGAACTCAGAGGCCAGCGCTGGTGCGAGTCCTCTGTATGCTGAGCACCGGTCCCCTGGGTCCACTGTTCTTTCTCTATACTTTGTTTCAGTGTCTTATTTCTTTTCTCAGTCTCTCCTCCCACCTGACGAGAAATACCCACAGGTGTGGAGGGGCTGGCCCCCTTCGATGTCTATTATGGTGGAGTGTTTCCAGTTCTGTCTTTCCTAATACTGCCCAATAGAAACTTGACTCCTAGAGTTTGTGTAATTTTAATATATTTTAGCCATTTCCCTGTCAATTTTTGTACCATACAATAACAAGGAATTTGACTAAATCTCTTAGGGTTTTTTAAAAAATTATATGAGAAGCTAAAAAATTTATTTTTACTAAGGTAAAAGAAAAAGGAATAATCACAACAATAGCCATAATTCTTCTGTCTATGAAGAGCCCTTCAGGTGGTGACATCAGAACTCACAACAACAGCATAAGGGAAGTAGAACAAATGCAGCCAAAGTCCCCCGTACACCTCCCTTTTCTCTTCTAACCACAGAATTCAATCGTGTATCCGTTTACTCTGGAATGAAAGTATCTGTAGAAACCATGAATGTTTCATCTGTTTTTCTTTTCTTTTCTTTTCTTTTTGAGACGGAGTCTTGCTCTGTTGCCAAGGCTGGAGTGCTGGTTGCTCTGTTGCTCTGTTACTCTGTTGCCCAGGCTGGAGTGCAGCTTACATCTTTGCTTCCTGGGTTTAAGTGATTCTCCTGCCTCAGTCTCCCGAGTATCTGTGACTCCAGGTGTGTGCCACTATGCCTGGCTAATTTTTTGTATTTTTAGTAGAGACCATGTTTCACTCTGTTAGCCGGGATGGCCTCAATCTCTTGACCTTGTGATCCACCCGCCTCGGCCTCCCAAAGTGCTAGGATTACAGGCATGAGCCACCGTATCCAGCCTCATCTGTTTTTCTAATGTGTAGTGTCCAGCCCTACGGGGTTTAGCAGGTGTTCTCCCTGTGTGCGGAGACGAGAGATTATAATAAATAAAGACACAAGACAAAGACATAAAGAGAAAGCAGCTGGGCCCAGGGGACCACTACCACCAAGACGCAGAGACCACTAGTGACCCCGAACAGCTGGACGGGCTGATATTTATTGCATACAAGACAAGGGGGCAGCGTAAGGAGGGTGAATCTTCTAAGTGATTGACAAGGTGAAGCAAGTCATGTGATCACAGGACAGGGGGCCCTTCCCTCTAAGGTAGCCGAAGCAGACAGAGAGAAGGCAGCATACGTCAGCGTTTCCTTCTATGCACTTATAAGAAAGAACAAAGACTTTAAGACTTCCTTCTACCATTATCTACTATAGACTTCAAAGAGGAACCAGGAGTATGGGAAGAACATGAAAGTGGACAAGGAGTGTGACCATTGAAGCACAGCACCACAGGGAGGGGTTTAGGCCTCTGGATGACTGTGGGAAGGCCTGGATAATTTATCCAACCTCTCACAAGAAGCTGGTGGAGTAGAGTGTTCCCTGACTCCTCCAAGGAAAGGAGACTCCCTTTCATGGTCTGCTAAGTAATGAGTGTCTTCCCAGACACTGGCATTACCACTTGACCAAGGAGCCCTCAAGCGGCCCTTATGGGGGCATGAGAGAAGGCTCACCTCTTGCCTTCTAGGTCACTTCTCACAATGTCCCTTCAGCACCTGACCCTATACCCGCCGGTTATTCCTAGGTTATATTAGCAATGCAATAAAGAGTAATATTAAAAGCTAATGATTAATAATGTTTATAATAATGATTGATAATTGCCCATGATCATCTCTATATCTAATTTGTATTATGACTATTCTATTCTAACAATTTTCTTTATTATACTGAAACAGTTTGTTTCAGTCTCTTGCCTTGGCACCTTGGTGACCTTTCGCCCACACTAATGGTCATATAATATAGTTTAGATGTCTCCTCCAAATCTCATATTGAATTTTAATCCCTAATGTTACAGGTGGGGCATGGTGGTAGATGGTTGAATCATGGGGATAGATTTCTCATGGCTCTGTGCTGTCCTTGTCATAGTGAGTACTCACGAGATCTGGTGGTTTAAAAGTGAAGCATATCCCTCCCTGATCTTTCCTGTTTCAACTCCTACCATGTGAGATTCCTGCAGCTCTTTCATTTTTCATCATGATTATAAGCTACTTTAGATGTTAATATTGTTACAAAATTTCACTGAATTTTCTTGTAAAATTACCTGACAAAGTTTATGTTATTATACCATTAATGTGATAAATAAATATATTATGACATTACAACATATTATGATATCATAATTCATATGTATTATGACATCACAATATATTATGACATCATAATGCACACACAACATGACATCATAATATATTATGGCATCATAATTTATACTACAACATCACAATATATCATGACATCATAATGCACATGTATTATGACATCAAAATTCATAGGCATTATCACGTCACAGTATATTGTGACATCATCATCAGTATGTGTTATGACATCACAATATATTATGACATTATACTTCATATGTATTATGGCATCACAGTACATTATGACATCGTACTTTGTATATAATATGATGTATCATGAATTATTATGTAATTGATATGTATTACATATCTATTAGATGGCTCTGGATGTCTTGGGCTCTGTGGGGCAGGCTGGGGGTCAGAGGAGACACACATGCTGCAGATGGGGAGACTGGGGCACAGGGTCCTGGGGTTCCAGGAGCAGTGAGGAGGCCAGGATTGGCCTGTGGGGACTTTGATGTTGGCTCTGGGTGAGGTGGCTACTGTAGGTGTGAGCACAGCAGTGCTTGGGGGCTCAGGTGGCTGCCAAGGGGCAGATGGATGGAGGGGACAAAAGCTACAGCCCAGCAGGAGGGCAGGGTGGCCATGAGGGTTGTAAAAGTGATGCCAACAGCATTTGTGGGGGATTGGCTGTGGGTGTGAAACAGCAGCAGCGGAACAATTCCCAGTCATTCTGGCCTGGAACAGTGGCAGGTGAACTCTGCCCAGTTGTGGAGGGGTCTGTCAGGAAGATGGGGCTTCTGGTTTCAGAGGAGCCCAGAGATGTGCTCAGGCAGATGAGGGTCCTCATGGGATAGGCATGGGAGAGGCAGCTGCAACTTGGGGACCACTGGTGGTGGGCTGAGCCCCTGAGACCTCTGGAGTGAGCAGGAAAGAAAGTGAGGAGGAGCCAGCCAGGGAGCCAGAGGCAGAGGGAAGAGAGGAAAGTAGACCCCGGGAGGAGCAGACAGGAAAGGATGAAAATTTCCCCTCACCTGCCTCAACAGCCTCTGCCCCTGCCCACACACCCTTGTGCACTCCCCCTGAGTCCCTGCTCACCTCTGCCTACCCAGCCATCCCAGGATGGTGTGGGCTCAAGCTCTGGGGGTAACTGAAGAGCCACTTTAAGAAGGCACAGTCTAGAAGTGAGCAGCATTGAGTCACTGTTGTCTCCCAGTCCTGGGAACATCCTGTGCCACAGTTTGCTGAGCTGTCTTAATCACCAGTGGGTCCCCATCTCCCACCCCTGGAATCCCAGAGGACAGCTCAGAGTTGTGATTGGTGCCTCTTCCCAGCGTCTCTCTACACAGCTCCCGGCTGTGCTTCAGCATCCTCCACCGAAAGGTGGGCCTGTCGCTGCATGTGAATGGCAAGGAGGTCACTGTGGGGAAGCGGCTGCCTCCTTTCTCTTTCCTGGGCCCCTAGTGCCTCTCTCCTGGGGGTAAGGCAGTTGAGCCTACCCACAAGTCCAGGCAGGAAGGCAGCCCCACCCCAGCACCCAGAAATTAGAAAAACTAGCTGAGGTGTGAGAGGGGGAATGGTGACAGCCCTGGAAGTCAGGATAAAAAAGAGACGAAGCCTCCAGGCCGCCATCCTCACCAGTGCCCGCCGGGCCCTGAAGCTCTGCAGGGGGTGGCTTATGGGCTCAGAGGCTTGTGGACCAAGGCTTCTCAGCTGCTTCTGAGGCTCCCAGCTCTGCAAGGGGCTGGGTTTCTTCTCCTGGTAAACTGCTCCCAATGCCTGTCCTGACTCACTCACTTAGCTGGGCTACCTGCTGGGCCTCCTTCCTGGTGGGCCCTCCCCATGTGCCTCCCTGTGCAGGTGGGGTATCCCCTCGAGACTCCATTATTCTTTGAGGCTTTCAGGCCAGGATGAAGAACCCCAGCCTCTCAGCAGGAGCAGCCACTTGGGGGAAGCAGAGGGAATAGAAAGGCACACATTGCCAGCTCTGAGCATGACTGGGTGGGGACATTGTGTTGAAGCTCCTGGGAGCCTCATTCAGCCCAAGTAGATGTCCTTGAAATGTCAACACTCTCCCTACACAGGAGAAAAACATGAGACTCGGAGTGGGCAGGGTGATCTTGAATCGGGGGTCTGGTCAGATTGGTCTCTGTTCCTCACCTCAGCTATGGCCTTCATGTGTGCTTCCACCAGCAGAGACCCCTTCCTGGACTTTGCCCCAGTGGATGGACAGGAAACTGCCAGCCATGCTGGCCACCACAACCAACTTTCACTGCCTGGCTCCTAGCAACCCCACTCTCTCCATCTCCTGGCTGAAGAACCACAAGAGGTCTAAGGAGAGCATCACATCAGGATATTGAGGTGGGCCTGGAAGTTGGTGGGAGTGTGGGCTGGATGTGGAAGGTGGGACCTGTCTTTTGCTTACCTGTCCTTCCACCTGGAGCTATGGCACCAGAAGTAGACCCTGATCATGGAGTGTGGTGCCCTCAGACTGCTTTCATCCCACCTCTGTGATGAAGAACAAGTGCAGCAGCCTTCAGCAGACATGCATGCTGGACAGCTGGGTGAGGACTGTGGCCTGTGGGCAGGGTGCAGGGAGCTAGGCAGCCTCTGAGCTCTCATCTATTCTCTCAATGTGCCCTCCTGACCAACTCTTTCTACCTGCAGGACTGCTGACCAACCAGATGCAGTAAGGTGAAATTCCACTGCAAAGTGTATGGCAACTTAGTATGTGGAGGTGAACAACAGCAAGGTGGGTGTCAATGGCATGCCCTATGTGACTGTGCTTAGGTTAGCTGCTGCTGCTTGTCAGGAGCATGGGGATGGCATGCCGATGCTCCACTTCACTAAACTCTACCATCATTATAGAAGTTTTGGAGTAGCCTATGAAAGACAGAATCATGTCATTATCCAAGAGACAAAATCCTCTAGAGTAAGCAGTTCTCCTGGATATAAACTTGGTGCTGGTTCATTTAGCATTTGCTACGAACCAATGTCTAAAATTAGAGGCAGTTTCTCCTAAAGTGAGATGACATGAGTCAGTTGATAAAAGTGTGAAGCACTCCTGTGAGTATTGTCCCTCATAATTCATTCAAAAACATTTGCTTCTGTCTTTGCAACTTCATGCTCTCTGAATTCCCACACTGAGTAAAAACCTCCTTGGTGGGCTTATAATCAATCTCACGTATTTAACAATTTGGATTTTATCTTACGTTCCGCTATAAAATATGGAACAAAATCGGTTTGATTTACAGTAGATGTAAAATAGAAAAATTAGGATGGGCTATTCTGGACATGTAGAATTAGTTCCTTTTATGAGTTTTCTACAAACCTGTATTTATTACACTAAAATAATGCTAAAATATATTTTGTTTTATTGTGTGGAGTTTAAATGGATACACTGGATAATGGAATAACATTAACTAAATAAACATTGATGCCTATTTTTTTCAGTGTTTTAAAATTTTTTAACAAAGATTTCTTTTTACGGTAAAATTGCACTTCATTAAATCTACTCCTAAATATTTCTTTCTTTTTCATACATACACAAATGGATTGTTTTTTTAATTTTATTTTCAGGTTGATCATTGTTAGTACATAAAAGTACAATTGAACTTTGCATATTGATTTTGTATCTTGTGACCTTGCTGAACTCATGTATTGGTTTTAGTGGGTTTTAATGAGTTTTTTATAAACTTTTATATTCACTTATGTCCTCTGCAATGATAGACAATTCTAACATCTTATTTTCCCACATTGATGATTTTGTTTTTTTCTCTCATGTAATTTCTTTGGATGTTAACATTTTTGCCTTGTTCTAAAATGTCAAGACACAACAACCAGTATTTTACTATTATGGCGTTAGGTGTAAGTTTTTCATTGATGCTCTTTAGCAGATTTAGGAAGTTTGCTTGTACCCTTCCTTTCCAGGGAGATTGTGAATGAATATTGGATTGGTCAAATGCTCCCTGTGTCTGTTGAAAGGCTCTTTCTGTTAATTTCCTTTATCCTATTACTTTGTGTAAGGCACTGATTGATTATCGGATAGATCAATATTGCATCTGTAAAATAATTCCATTTGGTCATGGTGTACATTCATTTTGATATATTCTTGATTCATTTCGCTTTTTTGAGAATTTCTCTGTGTGTATTCATCAGGGAAATTCGTCCATACACATATTTACTTCTGATGCTTTTGTCTGCCTTTAGTATCAGGGTAATACTGGCCTCACAGAACAAATTGGGAAGTGTTCCCAATAACTGTCCCATATTTTCTGGAAGGCCTTGTAAAGAGTTGGCATTAATTCTTCATTAAATGTTTAGTAGAATTTACCAGTTAAGCCATGTGGCTCTGGGCTTCTCTTTTTGTGAAGATTTTTAATTAATTGAATCTCTTTACTTGTTATATGTGTATTCATATATTCTGTTCCTTCTTGGATTTGCTTTTATAATTGGTGCCTATTGAGGTATTTATTTCTAATTTGTAGTATTTCATGTGTTTAGGTTTTCTAGACAGTTGGCACAGAAGATTCAAGAAGTTTAATGTAGGAGAATGTTTAATGTAGGAGAATGAGGCTTTGGTGTCATCAATGAATGACTTAAGTTTCTTATGTTGTAAAGAAAGATATGACCGTAACTGCCATAGTTAATATTTATTGTGCAAGTCAAATAAGAAGGCAGGAGGAAAGGACATCCATCACTCAATCACACACCAGTGTACTCATTAAAGCCTTTGAGAAGGACCCTCAACATTTTCCAAGAGAATTCCTTTCCTGGAATCACCATTATAGAGAAACTGGCTAAACAGACAGGCATTTCAGAGTCCAAAATTTACATTTGGTTTCAGAACCAAAGACCTCAGCTCCCAGGCCACAGCAGAAGCGGGCTTGTGAATTCCCTGGCAGCGGGTCCAAGACCAAGACCTCATCTGACTGTTTGGCTGGAACAAAACATGTGCACTACCCCAGGCAGGTCTCATCTTCCTGCCTCCTATTCTGTCAGCAGCCACCTGTCATTTGTACCAGCTCTTCCTTCACCTCCCACAACCTGTGATTTTTTGGATCCCTCTGCAGGCTGTGTGAGCCAGGCACCAAGGGTCACGATGCACATAGCACCCTGGCTGTGCAGATGGGAGAGTTCTCTCAACCTCTTCTGGCACTTAGGAGTCATATGTCAATGGTACCAACTCTAGGAGGGAGGCTCTCCCATACACAGACTTGTTTCTGGCCTCAGTCGAAAGGAAAACTTTAGGATGACAAGAAAAATAAGACACTGGCCTGGAAGTTCTGCCTTAAAGGGACAGCCACAGCCTGGTCATCCTTAGCCACAATTTTAGAGTCTGGGTCAACAGGACACATCCCACCTTCAGAAGTGGTGGAGCTTAGGCAACGGGTCCCAGGATGCCATGATTCAATGGCAACCTGGAGCAGGAGCACCTTAGTAGCCCATGCACATAGGTCTACCTGTGGCAGAAACAGGCACAAGCCATGAAAGAGCCATCTATCTGCTGGAGCAACCACACCAGTCATCTGCATGATCTTCTACAAGTCCCAGAGTTTCAGGAAAAGGCACAATCTTTTCAGAATGCAGATCCACAAGAGGAGGGCCCTCCGTGGTCTGAATCACCACTCAGTGAGAAAGAATTTCAGGCTCTGCTTAACAGGCTGCAGAGCTCACCAGGGGATCAGCTTTAGCAGGCAGGCATCCTTCTCAGCACTGCCATCCAGGACTCTTTCCCTTGGACACAAACAGCAAAATGCCAGGAAGACGGGACCAGGAACACAGTGTGGTCAGAAGCAAGACTGATGCAAGAAGCAACCACTTGGAAATCCAAAGGGAGCATTTTGGCCCTCTCCTGTGGGCAGCCCTCAACTTTGGTGCTCACTTCCTAACCTCAGTGACGGTTTCTGAGCTTCATCCTGCCTCTGGAGTCCACATGGGCTCCAGGTGGTGAACAGTTTCACTGAATCCTGATGCAGCAAAGCAACATTCTCATGACAAACAGGACCTCTTCACTTTGATCATAAGCTCCTGGGCCATCTGGACAATGCACAAACTGGAAACCCAGCACGGGGAGGAAAGTAGCTCTAAGGGGGACACATTCCCACTTCTTTCCCTTCTAGCAAGTTTGAAAGCTAATTGTAAATGCAGGTGGATATGTAGAAAATGAGGGCATGCTATAACATCTCATCACATGAGGTTGTGACCAGGAGTTTTTAATCCTAGCTCTGAGAGCTGCAAATGGGAATTGGAAGTTTTTCCACTAAGCATCTATCAATGACTGATTGTGCAAGCTTATCTTCATCATGCTGAGGAGTCTTCACTGAGAATTTTCCTATTGAACAAATAAACATAGAGATAGTGACAAGTAGGCCAGGCATAGAGGCTCACGCCAGTAATCCCAGCATTTTGTGAGACCAAGGTGGGCAAATCAGTTGAGGCCAGGAGTTCGAGACCAGCCTGGGCAACATGTCAAAACCCCGTCTCCACTAAAAACACAAAAAACAGCTGGGCATGGTTACTCATGCTGGTAATTCCAGCTATTCGGGTGGCTGAAGCCTGAGAATCTTCTGAACCCAGGAGGCAGAGGCTGCAGTGTGTTGATATTTTGCCACTGTACTCCAGCTTGGGCAACAGAGCAAGACTCTGTCTCAAAAAAAAAAAAAAAAGAAGCAAGTGAGTAAGAGAGAGAAAACTATAAAATCACTGAACAAAGTGTAAAGATGTTAATTTTCCCACAACGTTAGAAATTTTGTGTATATTTACATGCATATCTACACATAAAGCTGATCTCCTTATATGTTAAATCAGTTACATGTTCAGTGAAAAATACATTATTTTCTCTGTTTTAACACTGAAGAGGGGTGCACGTGGTCCAGACATGTCCTGTTGGAGTTGAATGGGGCATGTTCTGGGAAAAGGGGAAAGGCAGAGTAAGGGCCTGGTGCATTTAGGTGGGGTAAAGTGGGAACCTAATAGAGAGGCATCCAGGGTCTGGGCCCTAGCAACACTGAGGCTCACGGGGGCTTCTGCAGGTGAGGGAAATGGTGCAGGGTGCTGAAGGCTAAAATATCCTGTAACAGGCGAAGATCTGGCCAGATCGTCCTGCATCCCAGCATCATTGCCAGCCAGGCCTAACTTGACCCTATATTGAAGACACCTGGGATGGACAGGCGTGAGCCTCCAGGCTTCAAAGAGCCCCCAAATGAGATCTGCCCTGCGGCAAGGGTCCAGACCGTTACGGCCAGGCCAATTTAAAAGAGCCCCATCTCCTCTGTTCTCAGAGGCTTATGCGGGTGGAGAACAGATAAGAAGTGAACTGAAGTCTCCTTGAAAAAAACAAAGTCCCATGGGGTTTGCCGCCCCCTCCCCCCACCCACCTAAAACTGGAACCAGTCAGCCACCTCTGTCTCTTCTCCATGCCAAGAACCTCTGTTCAGGGCTCCTGGCAAACCCCTCCTCCCTGCTGCCTCCCCACCACAGTATGCTTGCCAGGAATGCCCGAGATCTGGCACCTGAGCATGTTGCGTGGCAGGCGGGGGAGCAAGCGGGACAAGGGCGGCGATGTGTCCTGCACAAAGGCCCAGGCTGCAGACCAACTCGCCTCGCAGCAGGTAGCAGCTGTGTGCCCCCTGCCAGGCCACTCCCCCTCCCGGAGCAGCAGCTCCCGCTGCCACTTCTGTTTGTTGAACACAGGATGTATGAATGACGGCTAGGGGGCCAAGGATGGGGATGGTGGCGACATCTGGTACTGTTGTAGTAAAACTCCAGCCAAGGAACACGAAGAGACCTTTGGAGACCAAAGAGAACTTTATTTAATTCAGGCACCTGAGCCAACAGCAGGCTCATGCCCAAAATGGCTGCCGACCCCTGCAAAGAAAGCAGGCTTGCTTAAGTGCCGTTTGAGGCGGGAAAACAAGGCAGGTTACAGGTTTCAGACAAAGACAGTAAATTATCCAACCCGTGACAATTCGGAGAGAACTTACAATTTAGTTATTTTGTCCAGTCAACTTTGAAGCTGAACAGAGCTGGGGTAAGGGAAAACACGAATTACAGGAATATGCGGGGGTCTGGAGGCAGGCAATAAGCTTGGAAGATTGAGATAAGCTCGCAGCTGCAACTTGTTAGCAATGCTGGAATGGACTGCTGGAATTTCTTAGCCTATGTATAACTTCTAAGTAACCTATGCTGAATGTTAACTATTACCTATGTTAGGTTTATTATTTTAAACTTTATTATTACTTATTTTATTTTATTTTCTTTCCACAGTATCTCTTACCATCCGGCCCAGGCAGCAGCCAGCCCTGCCTGGGCCGCGGCCGCCGGCCTCATGAGCCTGGCATTCCTGTCGCCCCCTCTCCCCATAGCTTGCCTCCTCCTTCTCACAGTCGGGCGCCCGGCTCCTCGAGACGCAGGACCACCTCAGATCTCCAGTCCTGCACCTGCCGGCTGAGCAAACGAGGAGACGGGGAGAAAAGCTGTCTGTCGTTCCTGAAGGAACAGGACCTCCGCACTCCAAGAAGGAATCGGGCGCCCAGTGGGGGCTGCAGGAGCAGAGGACGGTGGCGGCAGTAGCAGGAGAGGCAGGAGTAGGAGCAGTGGCTTCTCTGGAGGTGGCACTGTCTGCCCCCTTGAGCCTCTTCCTAACGCAGTCTTGATTCAAAATCCCTGCTCACCACGGATGCACAGTCACAGCTGAAGATTGTAGTTATCTAGGAGGATTCTTTCTTAGTTGTAAATCTATGTTTTATATAGGAGTTTTTTCGTTGTTTCTCTCATTCTTTCTTGAAATTTCATATTACTATTTTTTTTTTCTTTTTTGGTAAGTTCCTTGACATTCGTGTTTTGTGAGTTTGGTTTTACCTACGTATTATGATTTTGGATGTAAATCTGCAACTCTATGTACATGTTAAGTCAATGTGATGTTTAATCAAAATATGAATCAGCCATATCTACCACCAATAAAATCGTGTGTTTGTTTGCCTCTGTAAGTATAGTCTATTTCTTCTTAATTATCTTGCATATTTCTCTTCTTGGCTGGTGTCAAAAGTTGTTTTATCTTGTTCAGGACAGTAGTCATATAAGTAGTCTTAACTTACCCACGTATTTATTGAACAAATCTATATTTTCTTTGTGTGAGGAAAACACATTTATAATTTGAAGGTAATTTTCCAAAAAGTTTGTAACTCGGTATCTCTTTTATGTATCACTTTACAATATTTTAACTGTAATAAAACACAACAAAATTTACCAGTCTATACATTTGTAATTGCATAATTTATTAGTGGTACATATATCCACATTGTTATGCAACAGGCTTCTAGAGCTTTTCCATTGCAAAACTAAAACTCAATACCCATATACGTCAACTGCCCATTTTACCCTCTCCTGAGCCCTTAACATTTTACTTTCCATTTCTGTGAGTTGGACTACTTAAGATATCTCATAAGTGGAATCACACAATCACTGTCACTTTGTTTCCTGGCACATTTCACTTAACATCATGCCCTAAAGGTTTATTGTCATTGCAGCATGTGATAAGATTTCCTTTTAAAATCATATTTCATTGTATGTATATATCATATTTACTTATTTATCTGTCAAGGGACATTCAAGTAGCTTCTACCTTTTGGATTTTTAGAATAATTCTGTCATAAACATGGGTATGTAAATGTTTCTTTCAGGTCCCGCTTTGCACATTTAGATAGATATCTAGAAATGGTATTGCCAGACCACATCATAATTCCAATTTTAATAATCTGAGGAAACTCTGTACTATTTTTCATAATGGCTGCATGATTATTTTTTCCACCACCCAGTGCACAAATATACCAATTTCTCTACATCCTTGAAAACACTTGTTATTTTCTCTTATTTGATAGTGGCCATCCTAATGAATGTGAGGTAATATCTCACTGGGGTTTTGCTTTTCATTTCTCTAAAGATTCATGATTTGCAGCATCTTTTAAAATTCCTCTTGGCCGTTTGTATATCTCCTTTGTAGAAACATGTGGGTGTGAAGGATTACCTAGGTGCCGAGGCAAGAGACTGAAGGTAAAAACTGTTGCAGTATAATAAAGAAAACAGTTAGAATAAAGAATAGTTATAACACAAATTAGATATAGAGATGATCATGGACATTATCCATCATTAGTATAAACATTATTAATCACTAGCTTTTAATATTACTCTTTGTTGTATTACTCATATAACCAAGGAATAACTGGTGGGTATAGGGTCAGGTGCTGAAGGGACATTGTGAGAAGTGACCTAGAAGGCAAGAGGTGAGCCCTCTGTCACACTCACATAAGGGCCGCTTGAGGGCTCCTTGGTCGAGCGGTAATGCCAGTGCCTGGGAAGGCACCTGTTACTTAGCAGACCATGAAAGGGAGTCTCCTTTCCTTGGAGAAGTCAGGGAACACTCTGCTCCACCAGCTTCTTGTGGGAGGCTGGATATTATCCAGGCCTGCCCGTAGTCATCCGGAGGCATAAACCCCTCCTTGTGGTGCTGTGCTTCAGTGGTCACGCTCCTTGTCCACTTTCACGTTCCTCCCATTCTCCTGGTTCCTCTTTGAAGTTCTTAGTAGATAGCGGTAGAAGGAATAGTGAAAGTCTTAAAGTCTTTGATCTTTCTTATAAATGCATAGAAGAAAACACTGATGTATGCTGCCTTCCCTCTCTGCTTTGGCTGCCTAAAAGGGAAGGGCCTCCTGTCCCATGATCACATGACTTGCTTGACTTTATCAATCACCTGGACGACTCACCCTCCTTACCCTGCCCCCTTGTCTTGTATGCAATAAATATCAGCGTGCCCAGCCATTCGGGGCCACTACTGGTCTCTGCGTCTTGGTGGTAGTGGTCCCCCAGGCCCAGCTGTTTTCTCTTTATCAGAAAGCTTACTACATTTGAGGTAGACCCATTTTCCTGCTTTTTTCTTGTTACTTCTGCTTTTAATGTCATGTTAAAAAAATTATCAAGACAAATGTCATGATTTTTACCTTATATTTTAAGACTTTTATAGCGATCTTACTTACATTTAAGTGTTTAAGATAGTTTTCTATATGGTGCAAGTGAAAAGTCCAATTTTATTTTCTTCCATTTTGATACTCAATTTTAGAACACTATTCTGTTCTTCCCTGTTGTTCGGTCATGGCAGCCTGATTGAAGATTATTTGATGATATTCATAAAGGTTTATTTCTGGGTTCTCTATTCTGTTCCATCATCTATTTGTCTTTCTGCTTGTATTGCTATAGCTTTATAATATATTTTGGAATCAGGAAGTGTGATACCTCTAACTTTGTTCTTCTCCACAGCTACTTTGGCTACTCATTGTCCCTTGAGATTCCATATGAATTTTAAGACTTAATATTTCTGAAAAAAATGTAACATTGGGATTTTGATAGAAAATACTTTGAATTTGTGCTTCACTGTGAGTAGTATTGACATCTTAATAATATTAAATTTTTTGACCCTTGAACAAGAAGTCAAGAGTGTTCTGTTTTAAGTTTCACATATTTTTTCATTTGCCAGTTTCCTTCTTCTTGTGATTTGCAGCTGAGGTCTTTTTACGCTGCCCATGCTGGTCTCCAACTTTTGGGCTTAAGCTATTCTCCCTCCTCAGCCTCCTGATGTGTTTCAATTACATGGATGAGCCACTGCACCTGGCCTCTTTATTGTTTTTCTGATATTTTTAGGATTTGAAGGTAATTTTTGAAAAGATTGATAAATATGTATCTCTTTAGAAAGTTTTTCACTATTAATGTAGTCAAAACCACATAAAATTTACCATCTTAAATATTTTAAGTACATAGTTAAATAATATTAAATATATTCACATTGTTATGCAACATATCTCTAGAATGTTTTTATGTTGCAAAACTAAAATTCAATAGCCATGAAACAACAACTACCCTTTTATCTCCTCCCCTGAGGCTCTGACTGATACTATTCTACTTTCTGTTTCTAAGAGTTTAACTATTTTAGATATTTAACTGGAATCACACAGTGTCCTTTTATGACTCATTTATTTTATTTACATAATGTCCTCCAGATTTATCCTTAGTGTAAAAATAATCAGATCTCCTGCTTTTAAAAAACTGGATAATATTCCATTATTTGTATATTCCAATTTGTCTTTATTCACTGATTCATTGAGGGACATTTGGGTTGCTTCCACCTATCAGCTGTTGTGAATAATGTTGTGCAATGAATATGGATATACAAATAACTCTTCATTTGGCCATATATATGACAGTTTATTTCTGTGCTCTATTCTGTTCCATTTGTCTGTGTGTCTGCCTTTATGTCAGTACTAAATAGTTTGGTTACTGTAATCTTGTAATACATTATAAAGTCAAGGAGTGTGATGCCTCCAATATTATTTCTTTTTTTGAAGGTTGTTTGGCTCCTGAGAGTCACTTTAGATTCCATATAAGTTTTAGAAATGTTTTTTGTATTTCTGCCAAGTGAAATGACAGTTAAAATTTGATAGAGATCTCATTGAATCTGTAGATCATTTTGGGTAGTGTGGACATCTTCACAATATTGTCTTCCAACCCTTGAACGAGAGCATGCAGAAGAGTGTGTTGTTTAATTTCCACATATTTGTAGATTTTCCATATTTCTTCTGCTATTGATTTCTAATTTTATTCCCTTGTAATAAAAAATGATTGTAATATTTTAATCTTTTTTTTGAAACAGAGTTTTGCTCTGTTGCTCAGGCTGGAGCACAGCGGCTCAATCATGGCTAACCAGAGCCTCGATCTCCCAGGCTCAAGCAATCCTCCCCCGTCAGCCTCCTGAGTAGCTGGACGCACAGGCATGTGCCATTATGCCCAGCTAATTTTTAAATTTTATATTTTCTAAAGAGAGGGTCTCTTTATGTTGCCCAGGCTGGCGCCGAACTCCTAAACTCACTAATCCTCCCACCTCAGCCTCCCAAAATGCTGGAATTATAAGAATGAGCCACAATGCCTAGCCCATATTTTAACATTTTAAAATTTGGTAAAACTTGTTTTGTGTCCTAGTAGGTTATCTACTCAGGAGAATGTTTCATGACCTATTGGAAAAAGTGTGTATTCTGATATTGTTGTGTGAAGTGTTTTTTTTTCTTTTTTTTCACTTCTATTTGTAGCCTACACAGACCTATTGGACTGAACAAAGCAGGGTGAATGCAGGAATAAAAGACAAGAGACAAAGGGGTATATTTGGAAAAAGGGGTCAGGGGCATCTTGCCTCTAGTGAACAAGGTACCTGAGCTTTACACAGCCCTCCATATTTATTAGGTAAGAGAGATAGTGAGAAGCGGGGGGTGGTTTTCCACCAGCAGCTTGATTCACAGCTGACTCGAGAGACTACATTCTTAGAACAATAGGCACTGGATTTCTCAGTAGATAACTTCAAGGAGCCTGGTGCCAGGGAATGAGGCCCTCAGCAAACCTTTTGGTGGCAGGGCAGTGTGAGTTTGCCCACATCCTGCATTCATGATAAACAGTTTGCTGTTTGATCATATAGCCTCCAGTGGAATGCTGAGTTGGTCATGTCCCATGGGCCTTCAGCTTCCTGAATCTATTCACTGTGATGAGTGTTTTCTATATGTCTGTTCGGTTTACAGAGTTTGCTACTGATAGTCGGATAATTATGTCTCTTACTATTTTTGCATAGCTATTTCTTTCTTCATCTGGGTCGATCTTAGCTTTATACATTTGGAAACCCCGATGTGAAGTGTACATATATTTATTATTAACACAGCTTCCCCAGTGAATCAACACTTGTATCATTATATACTATCTTTATTTGTCCTTTAATTCAGTTTTGACTTAATGTGTATTTTGCATAATTATGACCCCTCTTGCTCTCATTTGATTGCAATCTTCCTAGAAGATATTTTTCATACTTGCACTTTTAGCCTATCTGTGTGCTTAGATCTAAAGTGAGTTTCTTATAGACAGCAGAAAACAAATCGTTTTTTCTTTCAATCTCTTTAGCCAATTTACACATTTCTGTTGGAAATTTTACTCTATGTATATATTCATTTTAATTGTGAAAAGAATGGACTACTTCCATTTTGTTAATAGTTCTATTTGTTTCTTGTAGGTATTTTCTCCTCTTTTCTGCTCTTACTGCCTTCCTTTTTATTTAATTGATTTTTATAGTGACATATTTCTATTTAATTTGCCAAGGCCAAGTTGCAAGATAAAAAGTTTGCCTTTAATCTAGTCTCTCCACATCAGATCAAGCCTATGGACAGATCTAAAAACATGAGGTTTCCCTCTTCGGGGGCCCCACTTTTTGGACTGCTGTATGATCTCTGGAGGATTGATGAGTCCACACCAAGCAAAAGTGGACAGCAGTGTTCTACCTGTGAACACTTGTTTCTTGTAGGCCCTACTGTCTCTCAGGGCACCACCTCTCTTATCCTTTAAACAGGAGTGATATTGGCAGAGAAGGGGCATTCACTCCTATCTGGCAGAAAAGGAGGATTCAGGCCCTTTAACCTCCCTAAGGTCAGAAAAGTCAGAGCCCTCAGAGATGCACTTGCAATGTGGCAGCCACTGGGCACAGGGGCTACTGAGCAACTGTATTGTGCCCAGCATGAACTAAGATATGCTGGGGAGAAATACAAGAAAATATTTAAATATTTAGTAACATATACAAATGTGCATAAAAATATATAATGCTGGGTTAAAGAAACATATGTCTATGTGTGTGTACGTATATATGTACACATATATATGTTTCTTTAATTATTTCATTCTGATTATATGTTAAAATATTTTGGATATATTGAGCTATGTTGTTAACATCAATTTCACTCATTTTTCTTTTTCTTTATGCTGCTACTAGTAAATTCTAATTGTCACATGTGGCTCACATTTTACTTCTATTGCACATTGGTGCAATAGAGGATTGCCTAATTTCAAAGCTCAGTTTGCCTCAAAAGCCAAGAGGCCAGAAAGATTGTAAAATCTAAAAATTAAAAATAATTGTAATTGGTTGGGCATGGTGGCTCATGCCTGTTATGCTAGCACTTTGGGAGGCCGAGGCAGGCGGATCACTTGACCTCGGTTCGAAACCAGCCTGGTCAACATGGTGAAACCATGTCTCTACTAAAAATACAAAAATTAGCTGGGCAACATGGTGGGTGCCTGTATCCCAGCTACCTGGGAGGCTGAGGCAGAAGAATCACTTGAACCTGGCAGGCGGAGGTTGCAGTGAGCCAATATCTCATCACTGTACTCGAGCCTGGGTGACAGAGTGAGACTCTGTCTCAAAAAAATGTAAATAAAAATAAAAATAATTGTTATTATTTTGTTTCTATTTTGAATAATACACACACACACCCCTCCCCCTTCACACACACACAAATAAGGCAGAGAAAGAAAGAGAGAATCTTGTTCTGTCACCCAGGCTGCAGTGCAGTGGCCTGATCTCAGCTCACTGCAGCCTCTACCTCCCAGGCTTAAGTGACCCTCCCACCTCTGCCTCCCAAGTAGCTGGGACCACAGACACGTGTGACCATGCCTGGCTAATTTTTTCATTTTTTTGTAGAAAAGTTTTGATGTGGGGCCCTCACATTCTGTTGCCCAGGCTGGTCCCAAACGCCTGGATTCAAGAGCTCCTGTCCCCTCAGCCTACCAAAGTGCTGGTATTAAAGGTGAGATCCACTATGCCTGGCCACATATATACAACTTATAAATAAAAATAACCTTATATACAAGGTTAAATGCAAATATCCCACAGTGAAGGCCGGGCTTCAGCATAAGGAGGAAGTCCTGCCTGAAAAAGGCTGCGGCTTGGAACATTTTACCCTGTTGTCATCTGGCTATGAGTTGGCTCACATCTTCTCTCATTCAGAACCTGAAGGGGTGGGGCCTGGGGCCGTATTATCCAATCACTAGTGCTGGGGTAAAAACTGTCTTAAAACTATTCTTTTAATGCTTAGCAATACTAATTTTTAGTGAGAAACTTAAGATTACTTAATTTAACATAACCAGACTTTAAGATTTTAAATTACTAAAAAAAAAAAAAAAGAAACTTAAAACGATGACAGAGTTACTTCCTCTAATGTTTTTTGGTGAGGGTTTCAAATACCTATGTCATATATTGAAACCTACAGTTCTATAAGCCCTACCCTTAAATCAAAACAACCCTGATGCTATTGTGAACAGGTACTTAGCATAAATCCTACCCTTAGGCAAATTTATATAGTGATTTCAATTGTCCTTCACATTCCCTTTCCTGTGATAAGTGTCTGGGTTTAGGGGGTCACAGTGTGAGGTTCCACCATCTTCAGCTATCTGAGACATAGCTTCTATTAATAAATGTTCCTCTTAAATGTTTCTTTCTGAGAAACTTGATTTGTCAGCCTCATTCTTCAAACTCTCAGCTCCTTTGGCCTTTAAAGGTAGGTATATATATATATATATATATATATATATATATATATATATATACTCACAAGAAAACACCCTCATATATATAGTCTGTCAATTTCTCAAACATTGTTATGTGGTTCATGACTGTAATGTGTGCCACATGTAGTTTTGTACATGAATAGTATATTTTTTATAGCTACTTTCTATTACACATCACTAAAATACATGTTCAGTAAGTGCTCACTTAACATCATTGATAGGTCCCTGGAAACTGACTTTAAGTGAAACAAAATACTATATGCCATGGAAAATTAACTCTTGTTTATATCAATTAGCCAATGGTAAAATTGGTTTTATTATATAGTACATTGTTTTACTTAAAGTCACAGTTTCTGAGAATCTATCAAAAAAGGGAGAACATACTGTCATTAGTATTACAGTATATGGTACATTATAGCATTACACTATTATAGTATGTTATTGTAGTCTTAGCAATTGGTAGTATAATGTGTTTCAGTTTCTCCCAAGGTCACAGAATTATCCAGACCAACCAATAACAACTTCCTGTGGGAACCAGGTGCATCTCACCCTCTTGATACTACAAAGCCTTCCCCAACACCCCCTGTTTGTTCTCTCTGCTCCCAAGTGCAATCCCTGTGTGGGTCTGTATACCTTATATAATTTCCTTCTTCCATGATTATATGTAACGAATAACTGCTGTCAATCTCATTTGTCCAATGATTGGTGCCATGGTTTTAACTGTTCCAGTAGTACAAGGGTGGTAATTTATCCCTCACCAATGGGGTAAAGGGGAGGCTAATCAAACAATTCACAATACAAACTGGATTAACCAACTATGACTGAGGACATCGGCTCAACTTTAACTGCTTTTGGCCTACTGATTTCATGATACATTAAAAGTCACCTCAGTCAGAGCCACCAGTTTCTGGTGGGCTTTTGCTTTGGTCTAAATAGCCATTTGTGGCCTTTATCATGAGTTGCCTTCCCTGACCACATTAAAGCACACTCATCACCTAGACATATATGGTCAGTTGACTCTGCTGCAGCCTGATGTGTCATCATATTTAGCCTTTGTTTGGCATGCAGCTTGCAAGACACTTGCCTTTCAAGGCAGTGAAAACACAGAACCTTAATCAGTGAGTACTTCAGTCCTGATTACCAAGAGTCAGGCTATATCCCTGTGGTCACTTCATCTGGTCTGCTTACCATTACTAAATGCCCGGGTAGTCATATGAACATTGCTTATTATTGCACACTCTCAGGAAAGGCCCAGGGATGGTTTTTTGTAAAATTGCAAAAAACAAAAAGGACTTTTACTTTGGAGAGAATTATGCACGTCACTCAGTTGCTCTAACAAGTGCTACCGTCATGGGAGCAAGAACAGTGACCTTGTCTTTCCTGAGCTGCCGCTTCCTTTGCTCCTGTCACATGCACTCTCACGATGAGGGGCTCATTCCTTGTGCCTTATGGTTCAGGCACTGATGAGAAATAAAAAAGAGAAAGATAACTTAATATTAGTCCCTCCCAAAACTTACTGGGTAATTCTCTCATCCTAAATCCCCTACTCATCGTGTAGGCTTTTAGCACTGCTGCTTACCAGTATGCTAAAGGTGCAGACTTAGGATCAGAAGTTTGATGAACTCAAACAAAAAGACCACAATGCATATGGGTGCTAATCCCAGTGAAATGGAGTGGCAGTAAACACCTTCAACCAAAGAGAAAACAGATCACAAATAAACAAATAATGACACAACTCAAGAAACTAGAGGAGGAAGAACTTATCCCAACGTTCCCAGATAATAAAATTAGTAAAAAAAATCGGAGCAGAAATGAATACACTGAAGATTAGAAAAACAATAGAAAATGTAGAAAAATTGTAAGAGCTTGTTTTATGAAAACATGAAGTTGACATATCTTTAGCTAGACTAAGAAATAAATGCTTAAATAAATAAAATCAGAATTAAAGGGAATACATTACAACTGGTAAAACAGAAATAAAAAAAGGTCATAAGACTGCTATGTACACAGACTCCTATGTACAATGATATCCCACCAAATGGGATAAGGGAGAAGACATGAATATATTTCTAGACAAGTACCACCCACCAAGACTGAAGCATAAAGAAATAGAAAATATGAATAGATCAGTAATGGGTAAGGAGTTTAGATCTGATGACTTTGTTGCTGAATTCTACTAAACATTTAAAAAGAACCAAATCTTTGAAAAAATTGAAGGAGGAGGAATACTTCCAAACTCATTTTATGAAGCCAGCATTACACTGATACAAAAACCAGAGATGGACATTACAAGAAAAACAATTACAGGCCAATATCCCTGATGAACATAGATGAAAAATCATCCACAACGTAGTTGCAAATGAAATTCAAAAGCACTTTAAAAGGATCATTTATTATGATCAAGTTGGATTTATTCCTGGGATGCAATAATATTTTAATATGTGGAAATCAATAAATGCCATACTCCTTATTTACACAACAAAAAGATTAAAAATCATGACTTTTTTATGCATGCCTAAAATTATTTTGACAAAATTTAAAATCCATTCCAAATAAAATCTATAACAAATTAGGTATAGAAAGAATATACCTCAAAATAAAGAGATATGTTCTTTATAAGCTATAGGACAATCCCATGGTTAACATTATTGTCAATGGTGAAATTTTGGAATTATTTTTAAGATTTATTATAAGAAAAAGATGCCCACTCTCACTACTTCTTTCAACACCGTATTGGAAATCCTGCTCAGAATCTAAGACAAGAGAAAAAAGAGCATTTAAATAAGAAACAACAAGTTCTTCTATTCATGGAGATTAACGCTCAGGTTTTTGCAGATTAGATTTAACAGCATGAAATCTGGTACCATCCAGGAATCAAAGGATATAGGACTTTAGGGCATCAATTATTAAGAGGCTATAGGAAAGCAGAAATGCTCCTGGATGTTTCCATTGTCCACACACAAAATTTCAACAGACCAGCCCCAGGAAGTAAAGGCACATTCCTGACTACTGTTAGTTGATGAGCTTTTCACCAAAAGCAGAGATGTGAGACCTGGCAGGTTTCAAAGACCCCTCAAGTGCTCCATACCTTGAAATTCACTTCCACAAAGCTAGAACACCATCTGTTCCTGAGGGATCAGGTTATCGTCTGTTTCTTTTAGGCACTGGCCAGTCAGGCTTTAGTGGACACGAAGCCACAGATTTTTAGTGTAAAATGCCTAATCTATCATAATCTTTAGGTAGATATTTGGAGGCCTGCACACTTAAATGGGTTGGTGAAATGTCATACCAGACACATGGCTGGGAATTGGGTTTTTCTCCTCCGCTCTTAGCAGCACCTTTGTAACCCAGTGATTACCCCCCTCATGGCTCCACGGCCACATCCGCAAAAAGGGTACTGGTGAACGTGACATTTTCACGAAGCCACAGCCCATGGTCACTCCCTGCAAAGCTCTGAACTTGCGCATTCCCAGGCCAGGCCGTGGTTGTCTTTCCAAGGCGGCTCAGCTTGTGCTTTGCTTGGAGAGAGCGGAGGGCAGCAGCACAGTGACAGCGTCTGGGACCTCAGACCAGTTTCCACAGCCACTTATGAAAGCAGACGGCTCCATGGGCTGGAGGAGGTGGGACGCTCTGGAAAGAACTCGGGTGCGAGTGGGAAAGAAAATCGAGCTGAGCAGCGGGAAGTCGAAGTCGCGTGAGTGAGGACCAGACACTCTCGATTTAGGCAAAGGCGGGGTGCACTTCCCAACAACACATCCTCCTCACTGGCGAGACCAGGCCTGCCCTTCAAGTTCCTCTCCTGATTTAATCCCCTTGGCGAGGGTTTGGCATGAAATCAATGGCCAGCAAGCTTGGTAAACGAAGCCGCCTACACCGCCCTCCCCCTCCCTGCACGGCCGCGCCCCGCCTCCGCTCCTGTCTCAATCTGGGATTGTCCTCCTGTAGCCCCACCATCCACCGTGGGGAACGGTGGAGAGACTACAACTCCCAGTATGCACCGCGATGCGCGCCTCACCCTGCATCTCCCAGCCCGCAGCCAGCTGGCATCCTAGACCCTCTGCCCTGCGACCAACAGCCGGGAGCGGACCAGACACCAGAACTCCCGGAACGGTTGAAGACGGTTCCGCTCCCTGTCCCGCCTTTCGCAGCCCAGCAGTTTCGCCCTGCGGAGAGGAGCCTTGCTGTTTCCAAATCTCTCCTGCTGAAGAGACATTGGAGCTAGGGCGGCTAGTTTCACCTGGTAATTGTGACACCCTGTCTCCTCGAGCTGCAGGCTTTTATGCTTGTCATGTTCGAAGTTTGATACCTTGCAGATCAACAAAGGGTCGGTGGCCTCTCACTGCCTCCGCGGCAGGGTTGTCAAGGTAACGCTCCTCAGACAAGGGTGGGGCGCGGCCCGCCCCTTTTCTCACCCCGCCTCCTCCTCAGCCCCACCCTCCTTCGCTCCTCCTCTTGTCACTCCCTTTCAGACATGCGCAGTGCGGCCCGTCCCTAGGGCTGGGTTAAGGGCCGCGGATGTGGCAGTTCTCAGGCCTCTTGGGATCGCCTCAAGAAGCCCCCTCACGAGTGTCTCGATTTCCTGTCAGCCAACAAAGGGCCGTTCGCCTTTCATGGCCTCCACAGCAGCGTTGCCGTGGTAACGATCCTCCGCCGGACGTTGGCCGCACCGCGCCCCTATTCTTGCCCATCTCCCGCTCCGCCCCGTCCCTTCTCGCTCCTCCCTCTTGTCACACCCGTTCAGACATGGGTAGTGTAGCCCGTCCCTAGCGGCGGGATAAAAGTCCTGCCCTTTCACACATGCGCAGTGCACCCATTCCTAGGGGTGGGGCTAAGGGGCCTGCCCTTTCGGAAATGCGCAGTGCAGCCCGTCCCTAGGTGTAGGGTAATGGCGGCCGACCTGGCAGGTCTCAGGCTCCTTGGGATCCCCTCGAGAAGCCCGTTCATGAGTGTCTGAAACTGTCACTTGACTGCCAGAAGTGAAAACATCGTGTCCCTAGTCACCTGCCATTTGCCTTTTCAAAACCATTTCCTCTGTTCTCTAGGCTGTCACAAATTCTCTGCACCCCAGGAGTGCCGCTTGGACCCCCGGGCTCGCTGCGTGGTCCATATCTAGGTCGGGCCTCTCACGGAGACTTTCCCACCAGTGTAATAAAGAGGAGAAAACGTCACAGCGGAAGGGCCTGACCCTGCTGCATCCACTAAGGAAACAGCTACGGGGATGGGACCCTGGAAGCTGCTGTGGGAGCCTCATCCACCGCTTCTCTGACCCCACCCAGGCTGCTTCCCAGGCCTCAGGGTCTTAGTGTGGACCTCCGGGCCGTGATTAATGCAGGTCAGCAGGACCAGAGCGCCCCTTGGTCCCTCCCAACACATGAGGGTAGTTTGTGTGGTGAGGTCAGGGATAGTGTCTGCGCTTCTACCCTGAATAGGGCTCCCTTGGAAAATAATATCTCTTTTTAAATACCCCCTTGGACCACTTTTAATAGTTTTCTGATAGAACTAAACAGTGATCATTCTCTTAATTCATGTTTCCATTAAGTTTTTCAGGTTAAGTACTGCACGACTACTCGCTTCTGAAACTGATAGACACTGCCTCAGCTCCGTGCAGGGCAGACGCACAAGAGCAGAATCTCCGTGGGACATCTCTCTGGAGCATCAATATTACTGCAGTATTTGGAAGAAACAAATTTAAATAAGTTCTAAGGTAAAGAATGGAACATTTAAGACAAGTCTGGAAAGTCATCTGCCTTTAATAACTGTCGTTTGTCCTTAACGTCAGACTTTCTCCAAGACAAAAACTCTAAGAACTTATTTCCATTCTTACAAATAGTAAAAATGATAAATCATATCAAGTCAATTGAAAGTCCTGCCTGCTGCTTTCCTAAATCACAATATGGCCTTGGTATGGTTTTATTTGTACTTTTGTGGGGGATTCGTGGATCTTTAGATTAAAAAAAAAAATAGGTTTTTGAACAATTTTTGCAAGTTTGCAGCTGTTAGTTATTGATTTATTTTTGCAACCCATCTAATTCTTCTGTCTCTCTCCTCTCCTCAGGCTCAATAATTCCATGGGTCTCTAAGGCTGTGTTTATTTTCTTTAAATTTTGTTGATTTACTTTTATACTCCATTTGATTTTTTCTATCTCTCACCTTTTCTCAGACTCAGTCATCCCACAGGTCTGTAAGGCTCTGTTCATTTTCTTTAAACTTTTTTTTTTCCTCTCCTCAGATTGGATAAATTATATTGCTATGTCTCTGTTTCTGAACTATAGAAAAGCTCAAAATTACTATTTTTATTTCTCATTTTTTATATGGCTATTTTTTCTCTGCTGATGTTTCACATCTATTCATTTATGAGAATATTTTCCTTTGCCCTCATGAGCGTGTTTATAATAGCTGCCTTCAAATTCTTGTCTGCCGTTTACATCTTGGACATCTTGGAGATGGCTACTGCCTGCTTTTTATCTTGTGTATTTATTACATTTTCACGTGTCTTCACGCATCTCTTGAATTGGAAATTGTGCCCTGGAGACTGTATACAAGACTGGATTAAAAAGACTGGATTCTGTTTTGTCCCTGTGAAGAGTGTTGTTTTTAAAAGATGGTGTTAAATGGGCTGGATTCTATCTTCAATACTTATCTCTCCTATGGAAGTCATAGCCAAAATATGCATTCAGTTTTTATATACACATATTTCATGTATGTATTGTATATAGAAATGTTTCTATAATGATATATAATAATTTACCCAGGATTCATCATTTTTCTGTGTGAGAGTGTTAGTTCAGTTAGCTACTTCATCATTAGTGGAAGCCAGAACCTCAGTTTTGATTTTTGAGTGTAATATAAAAAATTACACAGTATGGATACTTTTACATCAATTTTTAATGCAATATTATATTTGTGATATTTATGCTGTTACAGATATCTACAGTTTGTTCATTTAAAAAAGTCCTTTTTTACATTGTGGTAAAATATACATAAAATTAACCATTTTAACAATTTTTAAAAGTGCAGGACAGAGGAATTAATCATACTCACATTGTTCTACAACCATCATCCACATTCATAGGGAAATTTGTTCATTTTGCAAAACTCAAACTCTGTTCCCGTTACCTTCCTTTTGGCCTCTAGGAACTACTCTTCTACTTTGAGTTTCTATGAATGGAACTACTGTAAGTACCTCATATGAGTGGAATCATACAATGTAGTAAAGAAATCACGAGGAAGAATAATACACACTGTATAACATGCTTATTAATTTAAATAAACAGAGATCAGTAGTACATGGTGATTATAGAGAAAGACAGATAAAAAAGAAAAAGCAGTTAGAAGGGTGTGTAAAATTTATCACTATGGTGTCTCAAGTTTTAGAGCAGTGAGGCCCCGGCCCCAGACACATTACTGGTCATGGTGAAGCTGGGAGCCCAGTGCAGCTGTCTGACTCCCAAAGCCAACACTCAGGCCAAATGTCACTGAGCCCTGAGGCACTCTGCCCCTGCCAGCCCAGGCACTCAATGGCCCTGAGATTCACCATGGCCTGTTCTTGGTCTTGAGGGTGTTGCTGGCCTGCTGGAATAGGGGCCCGTCTGACAAAACAAGTAGGAGGAGCTTCAGAAAATAGTGGCAGCTGTGAGGCTACCAGGAGCCACACCTCAGGCTTCCCACTGCCTGCCCAGGGTCCCCATGCAGCAGGCCTAATGTTGACCAGGGAGCTATGGCCCCAGGTTCTCTGAAGCTGGCCACAAGATAGAGTCTTCTCCTAGTCTTTGCTAATCTGCTAGGCCCTCATCTTTTATTCTGACTGTGCAGCTTCATGCACTGGAACCAAACCCCAAATTCCTCCTCAGTCAGAAGATGACAATTATCTCTTGTCACTGAAGCAGCTGCATTTCCTGGAGGACTTTGATCTGGAGACAGAAGGAAGGGCAGGATTCTGACAGGTCCTGGGTGGAAGATGACAAAGGGAACTTGTGGGGGTGTGAAGGGGTAGGGACAATTTCTAGGGCCTTTCTTTTAAGGGGTCCTACCCTCCCCTCCAATCCCATGTAGCCCCAACCTGTTCTCAAGAGTTGGATATAAACAGTCCCTCCTCTAGGAGTTTATCATTGATTCTATTCCCCTAATCAAACCCTCCATTGGGATGGGTCTCCTGCTTCTCTGTGTATCAAACCTTCCCAATAAATCTAAGATGCAGAGGATGGAGCCAAGGAGTGTCTTCCTCAGGGTGGTGTCTGACTTTCACATCCCCACCCTCCCTCAAAGCGACAGCGCCAGCTGCTCACCTTCTTCCTTTATTAGTGTTGATTATATGTTCTTAGGAGGTAGACAGCCAAGATTCATGAGAAAGGCTTCCTGACACAGGACTAGACCTCATCCCTTATACTTCCTATGCTGCACCACCACCAGGGCCACCAGGGTCAGAGCATGTGCATAAAACAGGACTTAGACCTGCATCAGGTTCTGGGCTCCACAGAAGGGACACTGAGGCTCAGTGACCTTTCTCCCTGATTCTCTGTGATGATAGACAGGGAGACAAAGGCCTTGGAAACAAAGAAGTTACTCAACAATTTAGGACCTGCCTGTCTTAGGAGGGGCCCAATTTCTCTCTTCTGCAATGGGTACCAGCTAAGGCAGAGGCTGAGACTTAGCTCTGCAGCTTTACTACTCAAGGAACAGGAAATGGTGTCTTTGCTGGAGGCTCCGTCACTCATAGATAAGACGGAACTGACACTGCCATTTACAGGGGCATCTGGTAGGCTCTCAGGAAAGGGGTTTGCTGAGTGCTGCAGTCTCAGGATTCAGTCCAGGACTCTGTCCTCGCAAGCTTCAGGATCCTGGTCCCCACCCTGCCTGCCTGCCCCAGTCTCACTCACATCTATATAATCCTCTATGGCAATTTCCAGCATCTGCAGGTTGTTGAGAAGTGTGCCCGGGGTGGGGGGTGGGGGGGAGGGGAGTGGGGGCACAGCAGCCTGTGTTATCAAGGTGGTAGCAGTGATGAGCACCAATTCTCAGCTAACTGCACAAGACCTCTCCTTTGAACTCTCACCAACCTATTTCTCCTTGACCCCCGTACCCAAGTCTCTCACTCAGAGCATCCAAGGACCTTTCACCTCCTTGCCCAAAATCTTTCCCTCCTCTTTCCACAGCTGACCTCCAAAGACGCTAAGCACTTCTTAGTTACCTCTATGGTGTGATTTTAATAAATCACAAAGTCAGATCGTCCCCACCCTCACTCTTCGTCTAATCTACTCTGAGCCTAGCTCTCCCAGGCCCTTTCTCTAGTCTCTCTAATGAAGGCATTCCAAGCATTGTGGCCACAGGAGGGCAGGGCTGGAGGAGGAAGACACCCAGGTCTCTTGATGTGGAGAACTCCAGCTGGGAGGGAGGAGCCCTGTCCTTGACTCTCTGGAGCCCCTCCCTACCATAGGCCAATTCACCTGCTGCTGCAGCCCCATCTGGACTCTTTAAAAAGGTTCCTACCTAGTAGAGTCAGAAACAGGGTCAGTGAGACTGTGCCTGTCTCACAGTTACACTCCAGCCCCAGCGACCTCAGATCTTGGATAACTGCCTGAGTCAGCCGGTGTAATGCTCCCACCAGCTCCAGTGAGTCCTGATTCTAGATTTACTCCCAGCTTTAACACTCACTGTGTGTGTAACCTTGGGCATGCAGCCAGGCCTTCCTGAAACTGTTTTTTCATCTAGGAAGTGTGATGAGAACAACACCTTCCTCACAGTACCTCCTGAGGACTCAGTTGCATGTGGCTATCACCATTGTTCTCACCATCATCCCTCTCAGGAAGAGGTGGGCACAAGAATTCTGAAGTTTCCTTCATCCTTTGCCCCTTATCATGACCCTGTGAGGCCTGCACAACAGGCTTTCTGCATTTTCCAGTTGAGGAGACAGGCCCAAAGAGGGTGTTGACTTGCCCAGGAGCCCACAGGAGAGGCTGTCTTCTCCTCCCACCTGAAGAGTCTGCCCTACCTGGCTTCACACCACACACCAGCACCATCACTGACCAGGGTCCCATCCTCTGGACTCTGGGATAGATGTTCACATCCCAATCCAGGCCCAGCTGTGGTGGAAAGAAACCTGGTATCTTGGGAGGCCTGGTTGAGCAGTGCCAGCTTGTCCCAGCTTCACTGGAATTGCTATCCCACAAATTGGGTTTGAGGCTATGAAGAAGACTTCACCTCTTCGATGATCCACCGAGAGAGATTCCCACACAGAGCTCTCTCTTTATCCACTCCCTGCAGTTGGCCTGCCAGTGAAATCACACCTGTGCAGTAGTCAGGCCTCCTGGCCCACCCGCCAGCTGCCAGCCTCCAGTGTCTCTGATACCCATGGGTAATCATGCCTTCCTTGGCAAGGCTGCTGAGATTCAGAAGGACCTAAACAGATCTTTGGCTCAGATGGGTTGCTTCAGCCTTGTGTCCTTGGCCATCTTCCCTTGCCTTCCGAAGGGCCCTGCCAGCCTCACTGTACCAAGCCCTGACCCTAGTGGTCTCTCCGTGGGGACCACATCTCACCCACCCTCCATTGCCAGGGCTCCTGCTCAGCTCTTCTCACTTTCCCAGGACAAGCCTGGCTTCACAGACACATCTAGATCCAGCGCTTTTCTCTTCGTGGTGTTCAAAGAAAGAGTATTATTTTTTCTCTAACTTGACCTATAACCTACTTATTTTGAAGATATCCAGGCTGCAGGAGATCTCTACCCATCTACCCAGAAGGCATCAGCCCTTGCTTCAGTACCTTCTCATTCCACTCTGTCACTAAATGTTTATGACCTCAAGAAAATTTGAAGAAGCATAAGCAAGTGCAATTCCATTGGTACCAGGGCTGTAAGGGTGGGGCCAGATGGGTGAACCTCACTGGGGATAAATAGAAATTGTGTACAAGATGGACATTTCAAGGTTGGTTTCAAGAAACACAGGGAAAGCTAACTTTCATAGGTGACAGTATGCACAAGTTAAGCTTCCTAACAGCCACAAGTTCACAGGTTCTTCTATCTAAATGTGGCAATGTGTGACGATGTCTGAATGGCCATAATACACATACATAGAGTAATTTATAGCATTCATTTTTGTATTAGAAATTGTGCATTTCAGCCACAAGTTTTTTGTACATGATGGATAGTCCCACATTGCTTGAAGATTGGAAGAGAGAGCACTTTATGAAATGTCCTTTTGGACACATTTTCATTGACGTTTCTATGTCCCAAGAGGCAATGAGACAAGTCATGATAAACTGGCCGTGTCTTCTGGGGTTACACCTGAACTTCTCGGTGTCAGGACCGAGGAAATCAAGGACACAGATATGCCAAAGGTGAGGTTAGAGCAAAAGTTTAATGGGTGAGAAAAAGAGAACAGCTCTCTGCTGCAGAGAGGGATCCAGAAAAAAAGAGTTGCCATTCTGCAGTGAAATACAAGTGTTTTTATAGATGAGCTAGTGGGAGGGGGTATGTTATCCACATAGGGCATGAAAAACTGGTTAGGACCAGGTGTGTCATCTGCTTAGAGCATGAATCTCTGGCAGCTCACACCCCAACCTTTTATTATGCAGGCAGATTCTCAGCCTGAGCTACTCCAAGTTGCTTATCTCTTTTCTACTGTGCATATGCTACAAAGAGGGGTGGGGCCCCCCATGTTGGATATGTCTGGCCCAAGGTGGTCATTTCTACCCATGCAGCTGCAGGCATCCCTGCCCACACAAGCTTCCAGCTTCCTTTTGTATGATTGCAGCCCAATTTTCCAGGCTGCTCTTTGTTAAAGAGAAGTGAATTCCTGGGTTGCTTTCTGTTAGAAGGGACGTTCTGTTGAGAACTCTTTGCTCTATCTGCCTAGCTAGTTTCTTTCTACATCTGCTCTCAATGACAATTATTCAGTTTTAATGGGGTCCTGGGGGTGGGAACAGATAAATTTGAGACCACAAAGTACCTTAGAATAAGAATTCACCCTTTAGTCAGCTTTAGTGTGAGTTGCACATCTATTATAATATTGGCTTCATGCACTACTGAATATAACAAGAAGGGAAAATGTGTATCTTTTAAAAATCTAGATGACAAATGGACTTTCCACAGATTCTTTGTGTGTTCCTGATTTAGAATTTGTTCATTCCACTGTAGTTTGTTTTCATTGAAATCACCAACTGATGAGGAAGCCTAGGCTGGCAAGCAGGACACTGTGGATTATTTGCAGGAAAGGTGTTTTTGTGGGGACCCTAAAGGGTCAGGCACTGCAGCCCACAGGAAAGCCTCAGCCATGATTCTCTGTGGCACTGCTCTGGTGGGGTAAGGCAGCCATGCAAAGCTCTGATTCCCTGTCCTGAAGGGTGACATTGGCCGGGCAAGCTCCAGCCTTCAGGAAAAAAGGACAGACAAGGGAGTGCTTCACGTTCCGGCCTTGTCATGAGCTCCACCGGCAGCCTGCAGCGGGGCACAGCTTCTAGGTGCCTGGTCAGCTCTGGTCCTTCAGGAGGTGAAAATGACTTTTCTCCTGGATTCTCTGCCCTGTTGGCTGGGCCTGGGAAGGACTCAAGGTCTGCATGGCAGTTTCTGAGTCTCCAGCACCCAGCTGTCTCATTGTGATGATGACAGGGAGAATGACCAGAAGTACCGGGGTGGGGAAAACGAAGAGCCAGCAGGAGAAGGCGAGCTTCCAGAAAGCCCCACCACAAATGCTTAGTGCCTGGGTAGGCACGGGGATCGCTGGGTTTTGCCTGGGAGCAAGTCCATAGGCCCTGCTGGAGATTGCCAAGATAACCACCCCCTGCCAGAGGTCACCAGGGATTGCCTGAAAACCTTCGGAAATGATGCATGCCCCTATTGCTCAAAAACTGGAAGAAGCTGCAGCCTCAGCAGGCTATCCAGGCCACTGAGTGGGGCAGCGGGCCTACACTGAGTGGACTCCTGCATTGGCAGTAGGCAGCTCTCCTGACCCATCCACCAGCTGTCTGCTTCCAGTGAGCAAGATCTTCAAGGCTGATCAGACCTCCAGTTGGCAGGGCTGATGAGATTCAGTGCGACCTGGTCAGATCTTTGGCCCAGATGAGCCACTTGAGTTTCAGTGTCCTGGGCCAACTTTCCTGGCCTTCAGAGGGCCCCTGCCAGCCTGAGTGAGCCAGGCTTGGCTGCATCTTCCTGGGAGCCCCATCTCACCTGCCCTCCATCCCCAGGACTCCTGCTCAGCACTTCTTACTTTCCCAGGACAAGCCTGGCTCCAACAGACATCTCTAGATGCTGTGTTTCTCTTTGTGGTGAGCAAAGAAACAGAATGAGTTCCATTTTTTAATTTTTTTCTAATTTTACCTATAACTTATTTATTGTAAAAAGGTTTGGGCTGCAGGAGACCTGACCCACCCACGCAGGAGGCCTCAGTAGCCTCCCAATCCACCCTGTTACTAAATATTTCCACTCCTAACAATATAGGGGGAAGCAGGAGCAAGTGCAGTTTCACTGCACCAGTGCTGTGAGGATGGGGCCAGAAGGGTCCTACCCAGTAGGATTCAATAGGAATTATATAGAAATAAACATCTCAATGTTTGTTTGGACGGATTGACATGGAGAAATTTAATTTTGATAGGTTCTAGTACACAGAAGTTAAGCTTCCTAACAGCCATGAGTTTACAGCTTCCTCTTTCTGAATTTGGCAGTGTTTTTGATGTCCAAATTGCCACGATGTCTACACATATTTACAATAGTTTATATTATTCATTTTGTATTACTAATTGTGCACTTTGGCCAACAGTGTTTCATACATCATGGTTGGTTTCCAACCTCGCTTGAAAATTGGAAGTGACAGCCCTTTATGGAATGTTGCTTTTGACACTCTTCCATTTAAGGCTCTGTGTCCCCACAGTGTTACGAAGACAAATAGTCATCACTCTTCCATTTTGAGGGGGCCAGGGTAAGCAGATGCAATTTGAGAATACAAAGTACCTTGGAAACAGAATCATCTTTCAATCAGTTTTAGTGTGAATTTCATTTACATTAGAATAGTCTGTTCATGCACTCATAAGATTTCAGGGAGGGACAATTGTCACCTTTGAAGAATCAAAGTGACCAATGGGCTTCCCTCAGTATTTTGTTTATTTGTTTCTGGAACTTAGTCATGCCATTGTAGATCGTTTCTTTTGGAATCACTGGGTGATGAGAAACCCCAGGCTGGAGAGCTGGACACCGTGGAGTCCCTGCGGGAGAAGTGTTATTAGGGTGGCCTAACTTGGAAGGCACTACAGCCTGTGGGAAAGCAGCATCCAAGATTCTCTCTGGCGTGGCCGGGTGCTGGGTGAGGTAGTCAGCCCAACAGCTTATTCTGTGTCTGGAATGGTGACTCCCAGCCTGGGCATGGCTTCAGTTTCCAGGAAACAGGCACGGGCCAGGGAGCGCCTTACCTGTTTACTGCTGCGATGTGTGGGGCCTGTATCCGCCACTGGGCACGCCACCTCTTCAAGTAGGGTCCTGTGCATTCCTTTTGGAGGCTTCAAAAGACTTTCCTCTCTGACTCCCGGCGTCTTCACCTGGACAATGTAGGATCCCAGATCTGTGTGTTTCCCAAGTGTCTATAGCGCCAGGTGCCCCATTGTGACAGGGAAGATGACCAAATTAAGTGATTAGGGCCGTTTGAAAAAAAAGCAGGAGAGATGCTGTATGGAGGAGGCCTGACATGACTGCCTCTAGCCTGCGGCTGCTTGTGCTATGCGCAGGCAGGACTGGTCTCTTCCAGGGTGATGTGATCCGCTGTGCTGAAGATTCTCACCATTTCCTTCCTTTCCCCATCGGGGCACCTGGGTAACCAGCTGAAGCAGTAGTTCCCCATCCGGAACAAAGACTGCAGACCCTCGCATGGGCTCCAGCCTGCAGGACACAAGCGTGAGCCTTGGAGGACCCCACATACCTAGGTGGTTGTGGGCTAGACCTGTGGCCTTCACTGGGTTCTTGACTCATTCCTGGAGTGTGAGGGTTTTGTTCTTTTTTAACTGGAGGTGGCAGATGACTGTCCTTCTGGACTTCCTATATGCTCACCTGACCCCTGCGGGACCTGAGATCATTGGAGTTCCCAGGTCTTTATGGTATCACGCCCCCATTGTGACAACAAGAAGGATGACCAAAAGTATGCCGGTGGTTGAGGAAGAGAAAAAAGAGGAGTGGAGTTGCAGGGAGGAGGCTCGACAAGATCACCTCCAGCCTGGGGCAGCTGGATTGGCAAGTCAGAGGCTGGCTCCTGCCTGGGCAAGACAATAAGCCATGATGAACAATGCCATTATCCTCCTTTTCAGTTGGGGGTACCTGGGCATATCTGAAAACCTTGAAAAAGTGTTTGCATTTTCAGAGCTTAAGAAAAGGAAGAAGCAGCAGCTACAGTGGGTTTTTCATGCCTTCTAGTGGCATTGAAGAACCTGCACTGAATGCCACCTGGAAAACAGCCTGGACCTGCACCTTTGGGCCGGGGCACCCATGGGAGCTCAGCCCTTGCCGCCTCAACCCTTTTTGGATTCTTTTCTCCCCAGACTGTCCCAGAGTTCAGGTCTTCTCGTCTCTTGTCTGCCCAGTGAAGGTACAAGGGTGGAAAGGTGAGGGTGTGGAGTCAGGAGCTTTGTTCCACTGCTGGGCATAGTGAGAAGTCAAAAGAGAGGTTATGATCTCATTGTGCTTGAAGGGGAGAGGCCAAAGCCTAAGACATTCTGCCTTTTTAGGGGAATTACCTTTCAAGGCTTATTTGGTCTTCACTAGCCTTTACATCTGAGGATGAAGGAGTTGAGGCTCTGTTACATGGATGTCTAAAGAGATCATAACTCTCACATTGAATGACACAGAGACTGATAGCTCTAGCACAGTACCTAGGTAATGTGACTCTCTTTTGCTACGTGTGCCCTTCCTACATAAGGAAATGTGACATACCACTGGGCCAAGCACCCAGGAAATGTGACTCTCCCGCCTGTGCCCTGCCTGTATTGGGCAATGTTGTGACACATCTCAGAGCTGAGCACCTAGGTGATGTAACTCCTTTTTTGGGAGCTGTCAATGGAAGGGATTGTGACATATGTTTGGCCAATCACCCAGATGATGTGACTCTCTTGCCTATAACTCAAATTGGGGAGAAATTATATCTTGACAATATTGAGATTTTATGTTCATGCACATTAAATGTCTTTCTATTTATTAAGATCTTCTGTGATCTTTCATGGCTCTTTCATTAGAAATTTGTAGTTTTCATTGTATATAGATCTGTGTGTCACAAAGGTCTATATGACAAAACTGAGACAAAGACAAACTGACGGATTCTTCCAGTTTTTGTGGATGGCTCTGGGCTGGGGCATTCCTTTAACACACATGCATACTGTTGAAAACTTTGCTTCAGTCTTCACTTTCTGCTGAGCTGAGCCTGAAGGTCAGCCAGTGCTGAAAATGAGGGTCTTCTTGGGTCTTTAAGAAAATGTGTTTTTCGTGGTTATGCACAGAGTGCTTTGTCAATTTGCCAGCATACCTGGGTGCTTTTTAATAGCCTAATTTGTAAAACAAAACAAAATCTCACGTTAGCTTTTTATTCTTGGCTTTATGTGACCTATTGCATGTGTCATCTGTAATCTGTTCTCCAGGGGGCTGCTGGCTTTCAGTTTCCTTAAAATACTCCCAAGTAACTCGTGCCAATTTTTTAAACTGATTTTTTTCTGACTTAGAGAAAAAAGAGAGCCTTGTTTCAGACCTTTGGATAGCCCTAATACAGATTTTAATGTAACAACACAATACTTTGCAAGTAAGACCTCCTCTTTTCCCTCTGGAACCACTGAGCAGAGGCCCATACTGGCAACTCAGGATGTTGTTTTTAAGACTGCCATCGAGTAAGGGAAGGATTTGGGCAAGGACGTGTAAAAAGTCCACGAGGCTTTTCTCCTGTTCTTCATTGTTTTTCTTGATTTTGTATTTACATGGTTGCTGTACAACTTGATGGTTTTCAACAGGTTTTACAACATCGTTTCTGACAGTTCTGCTTGTTTTTCCCTGTTTCTGTGGAGGAGCAGGTGTTTGGAGCTGTACATTCTTGCCATTTTGCTGATTTTACTCTCTCTGGGCTCTCAGTTGTACTTCGTTGATCTAAATGACTTTCCTTGTGTCATTACTACACCATCTTGATTAAGGTTGCTTTGAGGCAAATTTTGAAGTTGTAATTTGTGAGTCCTCTTATTTGGCATCTTTTTAAAGATTTTTAAAGATATTCTTAGTCCCTTTTAATTTTATATGAATTTCAGCATCAATGCTTCAGTTTTTACATGGTAGTCACCTTGAATTCTAATTGTACTGAATCTAATTGTACTGGATGTAGACTGTTTGGGGAGTTATTGTCATCATAATGTATTAAACCTACTGATTCATAAACATGGAATGGTTTCTCATTTATTTAGATCTTCAACCTCTTTCGATAAGGTTTGTAGTTTTCAGATTACAAGTTTCTTTCACATTTTTAAAAATTTATTTCTATGTATTTATTATTTAATTGCTATTGTAAATGGATTTGTTTTTGCCTCAACTGCATTATTAGATATTTCGTTGCAAGTGTATAGAAGTATAATTGATTTTTGTATAATAATTTTGTACCACTGACTTTGGTGAATACATGATCTTGGTTGCTTCCAAGTTTTGTGAAAACTACAATTAATATTACTGTAAACTTTTTTGTGCAGGTTTTTGTGTGGACTTACATTTTCAATTCATTTGAGTAAGCTAACCTTTAGGAATTTGTTTGGAGTTCAGAAGACACCACCCTGCCACATAGGATCGAGTTAAGAAAAACTCATTTTGTGCAAATCAAGTTTATGTGGGCCTATGATGAGGTTCATGGAAAAGCACTGTGTATAGTTGTGTGAATTTGAGCCCAGTGATTTATTATGTATTAATCTTGCCCTGTGTAGCAGATGTTCTAGGAGGTGCTGCAATGACTAAAACAAAACAAATAATTCTGCCCACTTGAAGCTGATATTCTAGGAAAGAATAAATATATAATACAAGTAAAATAAACAATGTGTAAGATAGTGGTTACTGCTAATGTGGGAGGAGAGTGTGGTAAAGAGAGCAGAGGTCTAAACTGGGTGTCTCTCTGAGCATTTATTTGTGTGTTTCAGCTGCTAACTCTGACAGTTAGCAAGCTTGTGTGTCTTTGTCTGCATGTATCCACCTTTACGTGCAGTGAAAAGTCTGCTTTTGTATTTATGCCTGGGTGCTATGTGTGTATTTGCTTTGAAATCACTAATACTTTTATGTTCTTGCCTAATTTCCTAGCTAACAGCTTTTTTTTACCATGTTGAATAGATGTCGTGAGAACAGACATCTTTGTCTTATTTCTGATCTTAGGTAGAAAGCATTTTGTCTTTTAACATCAAGTATGATGTTAGCTGTGGGGTTTTTATAGATGTCTTACAATATCTTTTCTATTTCCAGTTTATTTAATGTTTTTATCATGAAGAGTGTTGAAGATTTTCAAACCTTTTTACTTTGTATTTTCCCTATATTAATACCTTGCCAGATGTATTATTAGAGTATTGTTATGGAGTATGTTCTATTATTCAGAGTTGTCCTGTTACTCTATTGATAGTGTCCTCTGAGAGACAAATTCACTATTGATGAAGTCATGTATCTATTTGGTTGTTGACTGAGCTTGCATCATATGCAAGAAATTATTCCCACATCTAATGGTATGAATATTTTGCCCTATCTTTTTTTTAATAGTTGTTCAGGTTTAAGTTTTTCTTTTAGGTTTTCGATGCATTTCGATTTCATTTTGTATACAGTGTAAGGTATAAGTCCAATTTTATACTTCATTATGTGAATATCTAGTTTTCCAAGCAAATTTTTTTTTTCTGAAGACTTTCTTTTCCCACTGAATAACCCTGGCAACTTGTTAAACTATTTTATCATATATGTGAGGATACCTTTCTGGGCTCTATTTTATTTCATTTGTTTGTAGTCTCTATCCCAGTACCACACTGTTTTGAGTAACATGACTGTGAGTAACTTTTGACGTTAGGAAATTTCTCATTATGAAATTAGAGCTTTGAACATTTTTTTCTCTTTTTTTTGCGATCGTTTTGACTATTCTTGGTTCCTTGAGATTTCACTTGAATTTTAGAATGTTAGTTTCTGTTTCCATTTAAAAAAAGTTATTGGGCTTTTGATTGGGATTGCACTGCATTTATAGATAATTTTAGGAGAAATTGCCACATTAGTACTTTTAAGAGAGTTTCCAAGATGGCTTACTGGATGCAGCCAGGAAGTGTTGCTCCCAAAGAGAAAGACCACAATTTTGACTACATCAACATAGTTTGAATAGATATTTGGAGAGAAAATGCATAGTGTGGATGGAGAAAAGGTGCGTTTTCTAAGACTGAAGAGCAAGGAAGCTGGGGTGCCCTTATGGGGTGCCTGAACGCTATGACTGCTTTTTGGCCCTGAGTGGCATCTGGGGAAGAAGTGAGTAAAGGGACTGGGAGGCTGCTCACTCTCGCTGCAGACCACTGGGATCCTGGCTGCAGGAAGCTCCACACCCCCATGGACATGTGAGTTGGCAAGGAGCTCTCCCTGGAGAGTAGATGGAGATGGAGCTGTAGCAGGCACAGAGCCAGGACT